>NC_000016.10:73350378-73653409 GCF_000001405.40 Homo sapiens | reverse complement strand
ATTGAGGTCTGATCAGAGAAAATGCTCTGTATAATTTCAGTTCTTAGAAGTTGTTTAAAACTTGCTTTATGGATCATCATATGGTGAATTTTTGTAAGTGTTCTGTGTGTACTTGGGGAAGAAATCTGTTGTGTAGTTGCTGAGTATAATGTTCCACACAGGTTATTAGGTCAAGTTTGTTAATCATGTTATTTAAATCTTCTTTATTCTCATTGACTTTTTTCTGTCCATCCAATAATTAGCAAGACAAGTGTAGATTAAATCTTTATTACAATAAAGTAACATTCTTTGTCAATACTTTTTGTTTTAAAATCTATACTTTTGCTAATATAGCTACACCACTTTTCTTCTGGTTGATATGTTCACGTTCTTTCTTTTTCTATCTTCTTAGTATCAATATTTTGTATCTTTATTTTGTAGATATGTCTTTTATAAACATCATTATGAATTGATTTTGTTTTTATTCAGTCTGCCATTTATTTTTTAATTGGAGAATTGGGGCTGTTGGTTCATTTACTTTTGTGTTTAATGCAATCAGTGTTAAATTTGCCATTGTATTTTGTATTCTCTAATTATTTTTCATCATTCTATTTTTTGTATTCATATGGAAATAATACACTTTATTTTCATTCTTTTATTTATTTTTCCTAGAAATTGCAGGAGGTATACTTATCAAAATCTAAAGCTAATCAATACCTTTACAGTTTCTCCAGACACTTTCTCCAGCTAATCAATACCTTTAACACGTTAACTTCATTTACTCCCTTTCAAACATACATAATTTTGTCATACATGTGTCTAAATTCTTTCCAAGAATTGTCACTAATTTCGTGTCAATGTTCATTTGAATGAGTCCACATATTTAGCTCTTTCTTTTATCTTCTTCTTGTATCTGAGAACTTCCTCTTGGGATTCCTTCTGCCTTCTCAAAAAATTTTATTTTCTTTAGTGAGAATATTCCAGTGGCAAATCTTCAGTTTTTATTTGTTTAAAAGAAGTCTTTATTTCCTCTATTACTGTTTGTAATAAGGACTCTAACTTCATTTTTTGGTGTTTAACTGCTGACTGCTTTTAAGCCTCATCTTATTTTTCTTTCCCTATGATCCACAACTGGGCAAGCTTATAAAAAAGCCAAAGTGTTCTCTCCTTGGTACGAGTGGTAGCACATAAGCTCCTGCCCACATGTGGGAGCCCTCACTTTGGGTCCACCTCCTTACCACTATAAAAGCCCCATGCCAATCTCCTTTCCTTGCCCTCTAAGCTCTTCCCAGAAAAGACTCAATTACATAAGTAATACATCTTTTCACATCTTCTTGGTGTGTGTATGACATCATCATTCTCAACATCCAAACCAGATTTTTGGTGAGGGTCTATCCTGTCCCTGTGTAGAGGGTTTAAAACACTCTTAAAAGATGTTTTCTCTGGATATGGAATTCTAATTTTTTAAGTATTTTATTTTACCATAATGAAGATTAATTCTACTGTCTTTTGACTTCCATTGTGGCTATCAAGATGTCAGATGTCCAGTCAATTTGTCTCTTTTTTTTTTTTTTTTGAGACAGAGTCTTGCTCTGTCACCCAGGCTGGAGTGCAGTGGCGTGATCTGCGCTCACTGCTCGCTCTGCCTTCCGGGTTCATGCCATTCTCCTGAGTCAGCCTCCCGAGTAGCTGGGACTACAGGAGCCTGCCACCACGCCCGGCTTTTTTTTTTTTTTTTTTTTTTTTTTTTGTATTTTTAGTAGAGATGGGGTTTCACCATGTTAGCCAGGATGGTCTCGATCCCCTGACCTCGTGATCTGCCCACCTCGGCCTCCCAAAGTAGTGGATTACAGGCGTGAGCCACCGTGCCCGGCCTTGTCTTTTTATTATATTATTACTGTTCTTAAGATTGTATATATTGTCTTTAGTATTCTGTAGTTTCATTGTGATGTTTCCAAGTGTGTGTTGCTTTCTTCCTTTTTTATTTAATACTGCTTTGGATCTTAACAGCTTCTCAAACTGAACCTGTGGACAGTTGTTTCTTATTACTTTCTAGAAAACACTCATTTTCTCTTTAAATAATTCTTGCCAATTCTCTCTATCCTCTTTTTAGAACTCCCATAAAATAGATTAGGCCTTCTTACTATATCATCCCCTGAGTCTTAACTTCTTCATTTCCCTGCTTTTTTTTTTTCTCCTCGTATTCTGGATAATTTCATCTGACTAATACTCCCATTTGCCTGCTTTCTCTTTGGCTGTTTCTAATCTGCTGTTATATGGATTTATTGTGTTTTTTATTTCAATTTCTATATTTTTTGTTTCTAGAAGTTCTCTTTTGTACTTTATCAAATCTGTTAGAACATATTTTTATAGTGTCCTGCATATATTTTAAAGCTTAATTTTTATTCTTATTTTGTTTATTACACCTTGATAATCGTAAGTGTCTTATAAACTGTGCCTTATAATTTATGTGTATAGGTCTGTTTTGGTCATTTGTCTTTTTCTATTTTTCTTCCTGACATAGTTGTTCTTTTGCATTTTTCCCTAACATACTTGCATTTCTTTTTATTCTGAGCTATTTAATGTCCTTGAAAATCACTATCTGTGGGTTTTGAGACCTAGGATAAAGGTACTCCCTCCATACAGGAGTTAAATCTGCTTAGCCAGGCACCTAAGAGAAGTACCTTCAAGACCACCCTAAATTGAATTTGTCACCTTAATTTTTGTTGTTATTGTTGTTTCGTTTTTGATTACTTAGCTAATGTGATTACTTAGCTTTAAAAAATGTCGAAGGGCAAAATTATCCATCCAAAGGGTGGAAGTGATTTTGGAGGAAAATAGCTGATTGGTAAAAATAAATTAGAATATTTCTAATCAAGGAATTATTATTCTGCAAATCTAAGTGAGGATAGCTTTTTGATGTCATTTTTTTCTCTCTGCTCTATTCAGTGCTCAGACAACTTTAAGTCAGTCCCCTGAGAGTGAAGGAGGGCTGGGGGTAGCACTTACTCTTATTCTGAGGGTGTTAAGTCTTTGAGATCCCATTTAATTTAGAGAAGTTTGCTTTTTTGTTTTTGTTTTTTTTTTTTGGAAAATGCGCTTAGGGCAAAAAAAGCTTTAGTACTCTGCTTCCATCTTTGGGCTTCTTCTGCTTTCTCTGATATTTTGAGCTAATTTTTTTGCTATGTTTTCAGATCTTTGATAATCTTAAATAGCTACTTAAAGGTTCTTATTTGAACCATGATTCAGGTTATGAATAACAAGTCCTGCTATTCCACTTTGGGAGAAAATTCAGAGTTATGGACAGAAGGTATATGATCAGAGCCTGCCATTTTAAGTTCTTGACTCCAACTTTTTGGGAACCATGGTCTTCACAAGACATGGTTACCATTATTTTTCTCATTTTAAAAATGAGTAAACTGACGCACAGATAAATAAGTTGTTTATCCTTATACAACTATTTTTCTTCAAGTGCTAGAGCCGTGACTCACATCCAGATCTATCTGAACCACACCAGTGCTTCGATCAAATGCAGATTTCCTCTTGCCAGGGTCAGAATTACTCTAGCTACCCTTTTGATTCTACCTCCCTCCTTTGGCCTTTGGACTCTTATGAATTATTGCTATGTTGAGTACCATTAGGCATGAGATATTCCTGAGGCTTGCCCAGCTATCTGCCTCTGACTTCAGAAATTTCAGAACTCATTATTAGATAAGCTTATTTATTTTCCAAAGATGTTATAAAGAATCTAACTGGCTAGGAAGCACGGTGCACTGGATTTGCTGACCCAAACTCTCTGTAAGTCTATAGGTAGAACAAAAACGAGTTTATTAAAATTTTTTAAAATATAAAACTCATACATATTCATTATAGAAAATCAGGATATATAAATAAGCAAAACCAAGAGACCAGAGAATACCTATAATCTTACCCAAAGACAATCACTTGAAAATCCTTCCAAACTCTTTATGCATATACACACTCTGTATTTACATTTATGTTCTGAAAGGGAATCATGCCATACCTGCTGTTTTATAGCTAGGTTTTGGCTGCACTGTATCACATGCCTTAATGATGATTACATGTTGAGTAGAGAACAATAGAGATTGAGACCAAAGCCAGAAACCAACAGGAAGCCAAGCCAGAAGTCTTTTCTAAGACATTGCAAGCTTTACTTTGGGAAAAATGAGTATAATGTGACTTATTTTCCTCACTATTTTCTAATATTATGCAGTAACTCATTACTTGCCTATGGAACATCATTGTAAAGAAAAAACACTTGTTCTCTCTGAAGCAGAGATAGTTATGATGGTTAACATAGAAAGTATTATCCCATGTGGTTAAGGCTATTGTGATATTTTGTTCCTGTTGATCTCTTTCTTCTGAGTAGTTATTTCAAAGCATGTAATATTGAAAATGATAACCGTAATCTCCAAATGTAAAGATATGTGCATCTAGAGGACTTTTTAACATAGCACTTAAAAGCCCTAGAAAATTAGTCTTTATTTCCATTAAACATTTGAAAATCAACCCATGTTGAAGGGCAAAGTTATCCATCCCAAGGGTGGAAGTGATTTTGAAGGAAAAGAGCTGATTGGTGCAGAGAAATTAAGATATTTTTAATCAAGAGATTATAAACAACTGTGGAAACCTTAGACTATCAATTGTCCATCAATGGGGCAAAGCAAATTATAATATTATTTTAAAATTAGCGAACTGGGGTGAGCACGGTGGCTCACACTTATAATCCCAGCACTTTGGGAGGCCAAGGCGGGTGTATCACCTGAGGTCAGGGGTTTGAGACCAGCCTGGCCAACGTGGTGAAATCCAGTCTCTACTAAAAAAACAAAACAAAACAAACAAACAAACAAAAATTAGCTGCGCATGGTTGTGCACGTCTGTAATCCCAGGTACTCAGGAGGCTGAAGCAGGAGAATCACTTGAACCCAGGAGGCCGAGGTTGCAGTGAGCCGAGACTGGGCCATTGCAACTCCAGCCTGGGTGACAAGAGTGAAACTCTATCTCAGAAAAAAAATAAAAATTAAAAACTACAATTAGCAAACTGTTCTATGTTTTTTAAAGCTCAGCTTTTTCTAGTCCTATAAACCCAATTGATAATAATGTGGACTTTGACAAATCATTTAATCTCTCTGAGTCTGTTTCATTACCTGAAAAATGAGTAATTTAGATTATTTCTAGTTATTCGTTATAATTAAAATAATGCATCAGTCGGCATCCATATAGATATATCCTGCACATTTGCTCAAGTGTTTCTGTAGTATAGATTCCTAGCAGGGGAAATAAGTGTATCATAGGGTGTGTGTATTTTAAATTTCGGTAAATAATTGCCAAATGATCCTCCAGAATGTAGCCCCAATTTACATTCTCATCAACAGTGCATGAAAGACCACACTTTTTGACGTTTAATATTATTAACATTTTTCTAAGCAGATCAGTTAAAATTTTTTTTTGTTTATGCATCAGTTGTATTGAGCGTATGTTTTATATGCTTATGGTTTGTTTGTATTTATTTTCTATAAACTGATTTTGCATATTTTGACCCATTTTTTCATTTGGGTTTTTCTTACTGATTTATAATTGACATTTAGGTATGTGTATAATAGATACATTTTGTTTATTTGGGAACATGCATCAGTAGGCATAGAATTTTCTTCCTTCTTTTTTGTTTTTTTTTCTCTTCTGCTTTTCTTGACTCTAAACTGGAAAATCTTTAATCTCTTTCTAAACTATGATACAGTTTTCATAACTTTAATGTATAGTCTATTTCCACACTGCTATAAAGAACTACCTGAGACTGGGTAATTTATGAAGGAAACAAGTTTAATTGACTCACAGTTCCACAGGCTTAACAGGAAGCATGACTGGGAGGCCTCAGGAAACTTAACAATCATGGCGGAAGGTGAAAGATGTCTTAAGATGGCAGTAGGAGAGAGGGAGTGAAGCGGTAAGTGCCGCATACTTTTAAACCATCAGATCTGACGAGAACTCACTATCACGAGAACAGCAAAGGAGAATCTGCCCCCGTGATCCAGCCACCTCTCACCACACCCCTGCTCCAATCTGCCATGAGATTTGGGTGGAGACACAAATGCAAACTATATCACTTAGAATTATTTATCCTTTAAAAGTTGGTACAACCGGAGGCTGAGGCCGGCAGATCACAAGGTCAGGAGATTGAGACCATCCTGGCTAACACGGTGAAACCCCGTCTCTACTAAAAATACAAAAAATTAGCTGCCTGTGGTGGCAGGCGCCTGTAGTCCCAGCTGCTCCAGAGGCTGAGGCAGGAGAATGGCGTAAACCTGGGAGTCGGACCGTGCAGTGCGCCGAGATCGCGCCACACACTCCAACCTGGCAACAGAGTTCCGTCTCAAAAAAAAAAAAAGAAAAAAAAAAGGTTGGCACAACGAGTACTGCCATTTGTCCTAATTCGCCTGAAACATCTCCTGTTTCTCAGATTCTCCCTGCGTAATTACGTTCTTTCACTCTCCAAAGGGTTCCAGTTTGGAGGATAAATTATACAATCCCTCTGAGACGAGCTCACTTATAAAACTGGCTGAGTTTGAGGCATTTGGCAGTCTAGATCTTTTACAACTTTTTCAATTTCCCATATGATTATTGTCTATTGAAATTTTTTGTTTATTTTTGAGCCAACTTAAAAATGTATTTATTTTCTTAGACAATCTTTCATTTCACGGAGGTTTCGAAGTTTGTCAGTATACAATTGCACAAGCTACTTCTTTCAAGTACCTTGTAAGTAACATCTCATTTTGGCTCCTGCATATGAACAGATAAGTGCCTTTTCTATTTCCTAATATTAATTGTCTTTCCTTTCTTTTTTAGGAGACATTTATGTATCTTACAGATCTTTTCATCTATTTTATCAAATTTAGTGTATTTTTATTTTCATCAATCTGCTTTCTCTGGAGTTATCATTATTGTTTTCTCTTCTCTTTCTATCTTTTTAAATTGAATGTTCAGTTAATTTGTCATTCTTTCTTATTTTCTATGAAATACAATATAAATAATAAATTTTGATCTGTGTATCATTTTGGTCATATATCTTAGATTATGAGGTGGGTACCCTCATTGTCTCATCTCTAAGTAGTTTTGATTTTGCAACTGTCTTTACATATCAGTAAATGTGTATCAATCTATCATAGCATTCCATTGTAAAGACACATCCTACTTTCTTTAATCTATCACCTCATGTTGGAAGTTGTTACTGTTCCCAATTTCATTACTGTTATGAATAATGTTATAATGAATATATTTGTTCACCAGTTCACTTATTTCTTTAGAATAAAATCTGAGAAAATTTTGATCAATGTATATGGTCACATTTTTAGTCTTTTGAAACACATTTCAAAATTTCCCATCCAAAAGGCTATATCGATTTTCAGACTGTCATCAGCAAAGCATGAGAATTCTCATTTCCTCACATCTGCAACACTAAGAATTCCTAGGGTTTGGCTTTAGGAGAATGAGCTACACAAGACTAAGATATGGTCGTCCCTGTACAGTTACCATCACCTCCAAGGCTGATAAGATTAAGAAAGAAAGAAATGAAATCATGGGACCAAAATGTTGGACCTGGAAGGACCCCAAAAGTCATGTCATTTAGCCACTTTATTTTTACAAGCCAGGAAATTAAACCAAATGGCTTTTTATGCTTTTCAAATTTTTCTACATTAAGAAATTCTCGATTAAATGTTCTCAAAGCATTATTAATAAATGCTTGTTAAACTATCCATGCTACGTATTTTTATAAAGAAGGGGAAACATGACATATGTATAATCCTCTCATCATCAACATATTTATTAAGGGCTAACTAGGTAAAAGATTTAAATGCTTAGAATAAATTTTGTCGTTAAAGATGGTCCTTTACACTTTGGGAGGCCAAGGCGGGCAGATCACGAGGTCAGGAGATGGAAACCATCCTGGCTAACATGGTGAAACCCCGTCTCTACTAAAAATACAAAAAATTAGCCGGGTGTGGCGGCGGGCGCCTGTAGTCCCAGCTACTCGGGAGGCTGAGGCAGGAGAATGGCATGAACCCGGGTGGTGGAGCTTGCAGTGAGCCGAGATCATGCCACTTGCACTCCAGCCTGGGTGACAGAGCGAGACTCCGTCTCAATAAAAATAAAAAATAATAATGATTTAAAAAGATGGTCCTTTAAATGCTACATTTGGAATCCCCAAGAAAAATTTTAAAAAATTTATTGTTAGAAAATTAACCAGGATTTTTAGCAGTGAAAGCCTTTCTGTTCACCAGCTTTCCCTGGTAATATCTGGTTGCTTGACTAAAATCCATCACTGTAAGTCCCATGAGATGCTCTGGCAAATTTAACATGGACCCCATTCCTCTCTCCTGCCTCCCCTAAACTGTGTTCAGTCATGCCAGTGAATCAGGTATTCAGCACTATTTCCTCATCAATGCATTCATTTCTTCATCAGATAGGTCTTGAGAATCTTCGTGTCAGCCTCTGCTGTGGCTTCTATGAAGAACAACATTAAATATGTTGTGGCTTTGAGGGGGAAGTCACACACAGGGGCTCACTTCTTCCAATGACATGAGAAGTTGTGTGAGGTGCCGCAGAACACACAGAAAAGGGAGCCTCTACCTATTTGGAGGAGTTGAGGGTGCTTTGTAGAGGGTAATGCGTGCAGTCCTGGAGATGTGCAGGGATGTGTCTTATACTGGAAACTGCTGAGGTTTTTTTGTTTAGTTTTGTTTTATTTTGTTTTGAGAAAGAGTCTCGCTCTGTCGCCCAGGGTGGAGTGCAGTGGCACAATCTCGGCTCACTGCATCCTCCATCTCCTGGGTTCAAGCAATTTTCCTACCTCAGCCTCTGGGGTAGCTGGGATTACAGGCACCCGCCACCAGGCCCAGCTAATTTTTGCCCTTTTAGTAGAGATGGGATTTCACCGTGTTGACCATGGCTGGTCTCGAACTCCTGACCTCAGGTAATCTGCCCCCCTCTGCCTCCCAAAGTGCTGGGATTACAGGCATGAGCCACCGTGCCCAGCTGGAAACTGCTGCTTTCAACCGGTGGGTGGTTAGAGAATGGAAAGGAAATGCAGTCTGGGGATGTCTTAAGTTTACAGTAGCTGGGAGATAACCAAAGGGAGATGTGCAGGGAACTATGCCCTGGAGCTTCAGAGCAAGGAAAGGAGGACTCGGAAGTCATCAACATGTGTTTGCATTTTAATGCCTTAACCAAGAGAGAATGGGTATAAACCGGAGAGAAAGGGATTAAATCAGAATTCCAGAACCACCTAGGTCAAAGACCAAGCAGAAAAAGAGAAATAGACATGTTGTTTGTGGTGGGTGGATGGGGTGTGTGGTCCATCCTGCAGAAAGATGAATGAACCTTAAGTCTAAAAACAGGCCATTGGATGTGGCAATTAAGAGGTTGTTATTTTCAATGTGATGATAAGGACAAAAGCTGATAGCAATACTGTTTTGAGTAGAAGACTTAGAAGGAGATGGTGTGGATTATCCTTTCAAGAAATATGCAAGCAAGGAGAGAAGGGTGGAATGGGGTATGACTCAAGAGGGAGATAGAACTGAAAAAGGGCTTTTGTTTTTGGGAGAATTTAAGCTCATTACCAGTCAAAGGACTACAGAGAAAAGAGGTGCTGAAGAGATACGGTGGGGAGAAAAGACTTGGCAGAGTGAGCATTCTGTTAACAAATGTAAGAAACACTCCCTCAACTTTAGCCTGGACTTGATGTCAATGGAAACACTGGAATTGCTCGGAAGGAACACACTAGGATGACTTTTCAGGTTGAGTTTTGAAGCAGTCTTCAGCAGAGAGAAAAAGGTAACTTCACCTTCATGGAACATGAGTTTAAAGCATAGTTCAAGATGTCATTGACTGCAAATGTATATAGCATTTTTTAAAAGGTGTGCTGTGCCTAATATCGTAGCCACATCAGTAGGTAAAATAATTTTGTGCATCAGATTCTGGTTCATTTATTAAATTGGTGGTTGTCTTTGGATACTGGTTATAAAATCTCCTGGCATACATTTTATGATAATTGAGCTGAGGGAAATCATCACCCTTAAAAATATCTCCAGAAAAGGGTTCATTCATATTTGTAATCCTGAAGGGCTGATCTCATTTGCAATTTTATTTTAACCAATAGCCATTCCCAAAAAAATTCTGTGAGGAATTAAATCTCTTGATGATTTCTTCACTTACTGATAAAGACTTTTAGTGTGTGCTACAGTGCAAATGACTTCAAACTGTTTTGCCTAAAATATTGTTTTAGTTCTTTTGCACAAGGTGCTGACGGAGCCTCCAGATAGCAAAATCTCTTATGCTTAGCACTCCTTTTATGTGACCCTAAGAGTTAAACTGCTACACTGGGGGATTTTTCTTTAAAATTAATTTAACTGAAAATCTCTTCAAATTCTATTGTTGGCTTTGGTGCAGGGCATGAAATAATTTTCCATCGTACCCCACCATTCCTCGAAGGTCAGACTTCGAATTGGGCTGTTACTGTCTTGCCGCTGAGTTTCCAAGCTACGTTCATTTTGGGTCTGCCGTTGATGGATGGAGCAGTTTGAATTTTGACATGTAGCAGGCTGACTTGAATAACCTTTAGAGGCAGATGTCAGCCTGTTATTTCATGCCCGTTTGTCAGGAAGGAAAAACAGCGTCTGTTCAGGCTGTACTGTTCTAGGGTACCTATGTGGAAGGGTGCACATATGTACTACGCTTAATATAGGTTGTGGGGGCAGGAGGTATGTGGTATTTATATAATGTATTAACACATAAAGGAACACACCAGTGGTGTGTGTGTTGCATTTTTATATGCCGTTTTATATTTTGGTATATGTAAATATTTCAAGTGGCTGTAAACAGAGCTGTTTATCTTTGAATATATGCGTGATCAAATTGCTTTATGTATTGAGGAATGTATCCATTGATTGTGGACTCATGCATCCTCCCATGAT
Source organism: Homo sapiens (assembly GCF_000001405.40). NCBI lineage: Eukaryota > Metazoa > Chordata > Mammalia > Primates > Hominidae > Homo > Homo sapiens. Next base: position 73,642,442 of record NC_000016.10, on the reverse strand, counting down.
TATATACCTTCCCCATGGAGGTCACTGAGCATGTCAATATGACAGAAGTAAAAAGAGAGCGTGGATCCTAGACAACAAGAGAGGCGGTCCTCTGAAGTCAGGAGCCTGAAGGTGGGAAGGGAGGAAGTGGGAAACCAGAAAGACTGCAGAGGAGAGGCTCCATCTGTATCCTCTCAAAGACTTAGAGCAGAGCTGCAGGCAAAGAATCCATCGTAGAGTAGGAATCGTCTAATGAACCATGTGCTTGAGTAAAAGAAAAAGAGTTCCACTGGGAATCAGAGCTGCTTTCACGAGAGACTGGGAATTAAGTCTGAGTTCATGAACCAATGTGACCTGATGTCCTCGAGGCCACGGACCACCTTCCCTCTTTAAGCAGCTGCCTTAAAGAGAAACAAATTTGGTGGAAGCGTCCCTCACACTGCCTGAATTCAGTATTCTCTGCAGGGAGGAGTCGGAGGAGCATGTGGACCAGCGTCTCCATCCCTGCCCAGAGCTCGCGTCACCTATCTCGTTTGCATCTGAGAATTTCACAGAGAGACCAATTTGCAGAGACTGACGTTTGCTTGTTTACTAATTTCTATTTTTGTAAAGTAATGCAGGCATATACTTTTAAAAAGCCAAGTAATACTAAAAGGCTTATGATTACCAATAGCAGTTCCCATAATCCATCTCCCACCCCAATCCTATTCCCCAAAGGAGGCTGTTTTCCATTCACTTACCCATGTCTTCTGCTATTTATGTATTTCTAAATAATGCTGCTTTTACTTATTGTGTCCATTTTATACATCTAAGGGCTTCTATTTTAGTAGGTAAGAATCAACTCTGTCCCCCCTCCCATCTTCCCTACATCAGTGTATATCTTTTTGCTGTTTATGCTGAATATAATAATGTATTCCATAAAAGTTATATTGCTTTTCTGACACATCTTTTCGCCTGCCTAATTTTCTCAGAGATTTTACCCATATGCTCCAAGACCTTCCCAGTAGAACCTTCCATCGGGTCAGATCTGTGGGACAATATGTAAGCGTGCACTTCAGGGGGCCGCATGTCTCCACTCCAGCGTGGGCAGTTACTTTCTAGGTCTGCTCCAAGACCACTTCCTCTTGTTCTCACTCCTTTGTCGTCACCTTGAAAGCCCCATTTCCTCTCTCCTGGTTTTGTTTGTTTTTCCTGAAGTTTTTTTTATTGCTTTCCCTGGATTTTATGCTTTCTTGCTTGTCTGTTTCTTCTCTCATTTTGTTAGCATACTTCACTGGTAGCTTCCTCAGAAAACACGTGTTGGGAGGTAAATGTCTTGAGAACTTAACTGTCTAAAAATATCTTTATTCCAACCCCAAACTAGGTCGATACTGTGGGTGTAGAATTGTAGCTTGAAAATTATTTTACCTCATATTGTTTAAGGTACTTCCCTGTTGTCTTTGAGCTTCCAGTGCCGCTGCTGAGAAGATCGATGCCATTCTAGTTCCGGCTGCTTTGTATGATCTGCTTTTCTCCTTCTGGAAACATCTAGAAGCCTCTCTAAGATTCCAATATTTTGTGATTTTGCAAAGCTGTGCCTTCATGTGGGTCTGTTTGCGTTCACTGAGCTGGGTACCTGGTTGGAAACTTTTAATCTGAAGTTTTTGTGTCTCTTAGTTCTGGGAAATTTTTCTGAAATAATTATCTGATAATTTGTTTACCTCGGTTTTCGTTTATTCTCTCTTTTGGAGATTTTTTATTAATTAGATGTTGAACTTGCCTGGATATATTCTCCGATTTTCTTATCTTTTCTCCTCTATTGCCTTTTCATTGTACTTTTAGGGAAACTTCTTCAATTTTATCTTCCTACCATTCAACTTGATTTTTAAACAATTCTGAGAATGTGGTATTCTAGTTTTTATTGTTCATATGTGTATAATGTTCTGTTCATGTTTTCTAGAGGCAATGTCCTCTGTTACCTTTCTAAAAATATTACTTCTACTTGAAGTTTTTCTTTTGTTCTCTGCATTGTTTGTTTTTGACTGAGTTCTTTCTTTTTTTTTGCAGTTTATTTCTGTCCCTGTGATTCAGCTTCCTCCAAATATCTTCCGTTATTTGACTTGCTGTGTTCGAGAGCAAGGCACTAAAAAGTTGATTGGGTATGTTTGTCTACTGTAGGATGAGGCAGGGAATGACTGTTTTCACTTGGAGACCACCAAGTGATAATTCTCTTTTTGGATACTGTTGAGTTTCCCTAGAGAAACCTCCTGTAATTTCTTGCCTGGGGAGCATCAATGTCCAGCTTGCAAACTTTCACTGAATGCTCCAGTTCCATTGCAGGCCCCAGGATCTCTGAATCTAGAGTCACTTCTGCTTAAATACTTCCTAAAATAAGCCTTCTGTCTTCTGAAGAAATGAAACAGGAGTTGTCTCCTGGCTTTGAGGGATGGAGGAGAGAACGTAGAGCTCCAAATGCTCTTTCCACGAACTTTTGGCCAATCCTCCAATTTTTAGCCTCTTTCAGATCCTGCAGGGAGAGTCAGTTTCCTTCTCATCCCTCTGCAGAAACTTATTTCAGTTTCCTGTGCTCTGCTAAGGCCATTAATACTCTTATCATGGCTTTTTTTCCTTAAAGATTTGTTGACATTTCTAATCCATTGTTGTCTTTGTTCCCAGTTTCCTTTTCCTTGTGTGTTTATGCATTTTTTAGTCTTTTACTGTTATTCCTTTTTTATTCTCATTACTTTGGTGGGATTGGGAGAAGAAGAAGAGATAAACACATGTTCAATCTACCATGTTTAACTGGAAGTCTATGAGGCTTTGAGTTTAGACTTGCTTTTAATGCCATTAAATTTATACAGGGAAACTCCTGCTTTAGGAGAAAAGAAAAATCCTCATTTTTCATTCTGCCCTTGCCACTGACTCTCAGTGCAACTCAGTAAGGTGGCATGTTTCTGTTTTAATATTAACTTTCATGAAAAAGTATGATTAAAACCACTCTGCTCTCAAGAGCATGTTAATAAAGATCTCTTCAATGACTATTGAACCTTATGGGGCTACTGTAAACCCATGGTTTAGAGATTCTTGGTTTGGAATTTTCTATTTGTGGACAAATGGGTTTATCTTCTCCAAAACATATTAGTGGATTTTCTTGCATAAACAGTAAAGAATAAAAGCAAGAAGGAAAAAAAATACTCCAGTGCAATATATCTGAGCAGGGAAACTGGTACTTGCAGATTCAGACAGGACCACAGCAGCAAATGCTGCTGTGGACTTGATTAAGCTGTGGATAAAGGTTCTAAGATGTTCTACAGTGGGTTCTTGGGTATGAAGAAAGAAGAGTAGAAGGAATAAAAGAAACAAAATAATGTTTTCCCTTTTCTTACTGCAAAGGACCGTTGCATGGTATTTTTTTCTGTATGGCTTCTGTTAGACAGACCACTAGCTCATCTATTTCTGTGTCTAGAAGTCTAACACAATGCTAATATATAACTCTTCCTTTGTTTTTCTTTTGCTTCTCTCTTCTCTTTTCAGTAGGTCTCAATGAAGCCTCAGTATCTCTCATCAAGATTAAAGCCATACCCCAAGACCTACTTTCAGATGCCTTCATTTTTAGACTAGTGTTTTGGAACATAGATATTTAAAAAACACATTTTAGCAGAAAGAAACATGGTTCTTGATTCCTTCATTCAACAAACATTTGTTGAATACCTTTTATATTTGTGGCACTGTGCTTTGTAATAGGGATGTAGAGATGAGTGAATGCTTGACCCTGCTCTCAAAGAGCAATCAGTCAAAGAGAAACACAGACACTTGGCCAACAAAAACACAATGTAACAGGTGCTATAATAGAGGTTTGTTTGTTTAGCATATGTTTATTGAAGGCAAACTGTATGTAAGCATACAAAATACTAGCATTCTTTCAAAGGATGATAACATGCTAACATGAACCCTTCAAAGAGGTCACAGTCATTTGAAACTCATTTGAAGTCATTTAAATACCTAGGGCAAATTCAGGTGACAACCTTTATACTGTATGTCTAAATATTGAAAAGTGACAAGTAAGAACCAACCTGTTAAATAAGGTATTTGCAATTTGCAATGCCTAATTGGGCTGATTCCATTCGTGCTCCTTGACAATCCATTCTGTACAAAGCAATAAGAGCTCCTAATAAATAAATATATGTATATGGTTAAATTAGTTACCTGCCCAAATCAAATCAATCCTCGATTAATTTCCAATTTGAGAACAATTAAAATTAAACTATCATTGAGCATCCTTATACATATATCTTTACTTTACATTCAAGATTATTTCCATGGAATAAAATTCTCTAAGAATGTGATCATTTTGTGACTCTTGAAGGATATGGCTACACTGCCCTCAGGATGTTGTATATAAATTTATACTCATATTAACAGTGTATGAAAATATCTGTTTCCCTGTATCCTACCTAACACTGGGTATTCTTAGTTCTTAAAAATATTTAACAATTTGACAGATTAAAATGACACATCATTGTCTTATTTTCAAGCCTTTATTTACCAGAGAAGCTGAAAATAATTTTATATTTTCTGACCCTTTTATTAAAATTCTTTTTACAAAATTGCCTAAGTCAGTTCTTGTCTTATTTTCTAGTGGGGGATTCACATTTTGTACTGTTTTTAAGTACTTTGTATATATTGCAGATTTTTGTCTTTTATGCAATATGCAAACTTTTTTTTCAATTTGTTCATATAATATTTTCTAATGTGTAAGTTTTATATCTGAGTTAGTTAGGCTAATCTATAAATCTCTTGCTTCATGGAATCCTTTAGTTTTTAATTGTAAATAGTGATATATTTTAAACATTTAAAAAATAACATAATAGCTACTCATGTACCCAACACTATAACATTTAATAAACACATACTCACATTCTTTTCAACCTGTCTTTTTAAAACACAAAATAGTCTGGGCATGGTGGCTCACACCTGTAATCCAAGCACTTTGGGAGGCTGAGGTGGGTGGATCACCCGAGGTCAGGAGTTCAAGACCAGACTGACAAACATAGTGAAACCCCGTCTCTAGTAAAAATACAAAAAATTAGCTGGGCATGGTGGCAGCCACCTATAATCCCAACTACTCAGGAGGCTGAGGCAGGAGAATCACTTGAATCTGGGAGGCAGAGGTTGTAGTGAGCCAAGATCACCCCGTTGTACTGCAGCCTGGGCGACAGACCAAGATTCTGTCTCAAAAAAAAAAAAAAAAAAAGAACAAAAAAAAAATATGGTTTTAACCTCATTTTCTCCCAATTAGTCTGTGCTAGTCAAGCATTTATTAAATATTGGCCCAGCTTTCCTATTGATTTGAAATGCCACATTAAATTATACAAATTCTTATATATATTCAAGTATATTTTTACATATTTTTTTCTGTTGATCTGCTTATTTCTAAACCAGAACTTCACTGTTTTAATTATTGTACTTGTATATATTTTAATATCTTCTAGGATAATCCTTCCTTATTATATCATGTTTGTTCCCAAAATTTCTGGCAAACCTGTGTATTTTTTTCAGTTAAGCTTTAAAATCATTTTATTAAATTCTACCCCTAGCCCAAATAAACTTAGAGATTTTTATTGTAGTGATACTAAAGTTATAGATTAATTTACATGAAATTGATAGCTTTACTATTGCATATCTTTCCATATAGCTACAAACATGACTTTGTCTATTTATCTTTTTAAACCTTCCTTTATGTTCCACTGTGAAGCATTGTAGTTTTCATCATATAGGTGAAACACATTTAATACATTTTAAATACATTTCTAATAATGAAATCTTTTAATTCCCATGGTGAATGAGATTTTTTTTTGAACTGGTTATTGCTAATATATAGAAAAGCTGTTGTGTTTTTTAAATTAACTGCATTTTACAATTTCCCACCTTGTTGAACAGGTTTCATTTTCATAGCTTTTCAGTTCATTTTGTGATGTTTTATCAGGTAGACAATTATGTTGTTGGTAAACAATGATACTTTTGCCTCTTTCTTGCCAATATACATTACATCCTAGTTATTTTTCTTATCTTATTGCTTTGGCCGGAATTTCTAAAACAAAGTTGAATATTAGTAATACAATAAAATTAAGCATCCTTGTTTTATTTTTGTTGCCAGGGTTTCATCATTACAGTTATATTATTTGTCAGTTTCTGATAAATATCCTTCATTATGTTGAGCATGTATTCTTCTCGTTTGTTGTAATGAGTTTAGTTTTGAAGATAATGATCTTGAGGAGTCTAGTAATACACAGTTGGAGACGTCAAGTTAAGGAAAGTGATCTGCTCAGGACTTTCATTACCTATATGAGAACTGAAATTATAGGAGCAGATCTGAAAATATGGGAATGGATAAGTTCACTCATGCAGAGTATATTAAAGGGTGAAGAAAGATCAAACAGGGTGAGGAGCGAAAATAAGCTGCCCTGTTTCAATAGTCTGAGGTCAATGGTGATGCTAAGAGGAAATGACTAACCCTATCAACAACAGATTGTGTGCCATACACACTAAGGCCTGAAGCCAAATTACATGAAATCAGGAAAATGCATATCCAGAAAACAGAGATGCCAACATAAACAACTCTTTCAAGTAGTTTTATGGTAAAGGAAATGAATGAAATAAGGTAGTAGCTTCAGTGGGAAAGTCAAAGGAAGTGTCTATTATTGGAAAAAAGGTTGAAGACAAAGGAGAATATTTGATGGAGATGGATGGTAGATGGGAGTAGTGAGATCGCCAGTGGTCAGCAGGAGACAATCAGGATCACAGGGTGAGAGGTTAATGAAATCAAGATCACAGGGTGAGAGGTTAGCTTTGAAACCAGGATCACAGGGTGAGAGGTTAGCTTTGAAAGGAGAATAGGGAAAAAGAGGAAATATTTTTCTGGGATAACAGTAGAGGAAAGCTTCTTTCACTTCCAACCCACCATTACAAACCTATTACAAGCCTAGGACATCAGCTCCCCTCACAAAATCTGTTGGAACACTGAGTTGCATGTGGGTGCATACGTGTGTGTTTGTCTGTTTCAAAAGGGGTCACTTCTTGGGCTGAGAACTTGAGTAACATGCAGCTCTGGCAGATAGTTGAGTAGTTAATAACCCACTAAATAATTCAATGTCTTTTGGCTTTGGGAAAGAAGGGATATCAGTGAAGTATGCAGTAATTTGATAGAATACAACGTGTGCCTATTCCCACCAGTAAAAATCCTCAGGAGTTTCTTACTTTCCCTTTGTAATTATACCATATAAAGATCTTTGCCTGAATTTCTTTTTAGTGAAGAAACTTTGACAAGATTACCTAGGAAAAATACATGATAGTTTGCAAATTTGAGTTTTCTCCTCTACCTCTTCCACCTCCACCCATCACCTCAAATTATTACTTTTCCAGTTAAATTGATCTTTAATGATAAATGACTCGACACATTGTAACATCATAAAGGAAATAATTTTGGAAAGCAAAAAGCAGATGGATTATATTATTGCTAAGGTTTTGGTAGACCTGTACTTTCACTTTTTTACTTAGAAGTAATTTTAGAAGCTCATAAATACACACACACACACAACCACAAACACCTCTCTTTTCAGTTAATAGTTATACAGATATCCTGGAATAAAATTTCAAGATTTTACGAAGGAGAAGGTAGTCCTGTTCCTTTATCTTTCTCTCTAATTTCTTTGTCACCCAGTGCTATCATTGGTGACTTGGAAGGTCTTGCTTCCTCTAAAAACTATTTATTAATATCCAAACAGCATGTATTTCTATACTGTAGGCCCCTTCTGTTGGCTGTCCTCAAGAGACACTATGAAGAAGATACTGATGTGCCTGTCTTGCTTGGAGGACCCATAGGTGCAAAATGGGTTAAATAACCTGCTGATACAAAATGCTATGAACACAGTCTATACTTTCTAAAAACTGTATCTGTAAAATATCTGGGGAAATAGGCCAACAATGAGTGTTAATGGGGTTATGACTTTTACATATATATTTTATATATATATATATATATATATATATATTATACATAATAACTGGTTGAGTTGCCTTCTCCGTGACTATATATTTCCCCAGTGAAAAAAATGACCCTAAACTCCTCTCTTAAATTTCAGCTAATTCTTCATATAAGTCACATCGACTTATATGTGAAAACTTCTCTGAGGGAAAGGAGTAGAATTCATCCCTTTTTGGCAGAGAAGAAAATAGCAATGTGAAATTGGAGTTCACTGGTAAAACATGATAATTTCCCAATTTTATATTACATATACATCTCCTTTTTACAGTATTGACATGATACAGTGTGTGTGCATAATTATGTATGTATATGTATGTACACATAGATAGATCTTTGTATCCTGCTTTGATAATATATTTTGTTCATTTGTATAAATAAAAATGTCAAGAATATTATTTCAGTCATTTAATAGTTGCTCTTAGATGTATTATAATTATTGTACTATTCCTCTTTTGTTGTACATTTAGGGTATTTTAAATATTTTACTATTAGAAATAATACTTTGCCAAACATCACTGCTCTTAAATAAGCCTTTTTTTTTTTGTGATGGAGTCTTGCTCTGTCGCCCGGGCTGGAGTGCAGTGGCACAGTCTTGGCTCACTGCAACCTCCGCCTCCCGGGTTCAAGCGATTCTCTCACCTCAGCCTCCTGAGTATCTGGGATTACAGGCATGTGCCACCATGCCCAACTAATTTTCGTATTCAAAAGCCATTTTTAAGGCCCTTGGTGCATGTTCCTGATACTCTGAAGAAAGTCCATGCCAATCCACGCCACAATCACAGGCACTAGTACTGAGCAATATTATGTTTTGTTATTTCCTTTTTAAAACAAACTCCTTCAGTTATAGAGAAAAGCCAGAGAATAATGTAGTCAAACCGCATATACCCACCACCCAGCAAAAGAAATAAAACATTACGAATAGTCTCGAAGTCCTGATCATTGCCCCCTCACTTTCCTGCAAAGATTACCCCGGCCTGAGGGTGGTTTTATCATTTTTGCATGCATCTCTGTACTTTTACTGAACTAGTGTTTCTTACACATTTATTAATCTGACAGAGGACAAAACAAGATTGAATTGCTGGTTTAATTAGAATTTCTATGGTGACTTGTGGGTTTGAACATACTTCATGTTTTTTGGCCAGTCATAGTTTCTTTGATGTGAATTATCTATCCCTTTTAAAATGGGCCTCTGGTGGTTTCTCCTTCTCAATTTCGATCTCCTTCATATATTAAGTAGATCAACCTTTAGCCATTTAGGTGGAAAACACTTTTCTTTGTTGTCTTTTAATTTTAAGATGATGTTTGAAACATAGAAATTAAAGTACAGCAAAGATGTCAGTCTTTCTTATTTTTTTTCTTTTTGAGACGGAGTCTCGCTTTGTTGTCCAGCCTAGAGTGCAGTGGTGCGATCCCAGCTCACTGCAAGCTCCTCCTCCAGGGTTCACACCATTCTCCTGCCTCAGCCTCCCGAGTAGCTGGGACTACAGGCTCCCGCCACCACACCCGGCCAATTTATTTTTGTATTTTTAGTAAAGACAGGGTTTCACTGTGTTAGCCAGGATGGTCTCTATCTCCTGACCTTGTGATCTACCTGCCTCGGCCTCCCAAAGTGCTGGGATTACAGGCGTAAGCCACCGTTCCCAGCCACAGCTGTCAGTCTTTTTATGTTAACTTCGTCCATTGCTTTTATGCTCATCAAATCTTTCTATTCTGGAGTCCACAGAATCATGACTTTCTTTTCTTTTTTTTTTTTTTTGAGACAGAGTCTTGCGCTGTTGCCAGGCTGGAGTGCAGTGGCGCGATCTCAGCTCACTGCTACCTTCACCTCCCAGGTTCAAGCAATTCTCCTGCCTCAGTCTCCTGAGTAGCTGGGACTACAGGTGCGCGCCACCATGCCCAGCTAATTTTTGTATTTTTAGTAGAGATGGGGTTTCACCATGTTGGCCAGGATAAGTCTCAATCTCTTGACTGACCTCATGATCCGCCTGCCCCAGCCTCCCAAAGTGCTGGGATTACAGGCGTGAGCCACCGCACCCGGCTCATATGACTTTCTGTTAACTTCTTTTGTAGAGTTTTGTAAGGCCAGGCACCTATCTCTTTGGGCTTAAGTTTTAGGTACTGATGGGGCAAGAGTGAGCTTTGATAATCCAACATATATTCATCTTTACCAATTAATATAACCACTTCAAGGGTAAGAACCATTTATTATTCCTTTTTCTAACCCCATGCCCAGAACAAGCCCTTCAAGAAGACATAAATTGCTCAACACATGTATATTAAATAAGGAAATGACCATTATATTTTGCCTGCAGCCACTTTAGTGAAAACATTTTATGACTCTTTTGATAATCTGTCCTAGGCCATTTTCTTTCTTCCCAGCTCCTCTTTTCATTTTTTAGTTAGATTTGTAGTTTTAAAGAAAATTGCTTACTTGCTTTATTTAAAATAAATGTTACTTATAATTAGAGATGCAAAACTTTGTGTGTGTGTGTGTGTGTGTGTGTGTGTGTGTGAGAGAGAGAGAGAGAGAGAGAGAGAGAGAATCCCACTCTATCACCCAGGCTGGAGTGCAATGGCACGATCTCGGCTCACTGCAACCTCCACCTCCCAGGTTCAAGTGATTCTCCTGCCTCAGCCACCCGAGTAGCTGGGACTACAGGCGTGCACCACCATCCCTGGCTAATTTTTGTATATTTTTTATACAGACGGAGTTTCACCATTTTGCCCAGGCTGGTCTCAAACTCCTGGCCTCAAGTGATCCACCTGCCTCGGCCTCCCAAATTGCTGGAATTATAGGTGTGAGCCACTGCGCCCAGCCAGAGATGCAAAGCACTTTTATTACAGAAAAATATAAAATATAAACACAAAGAAAAAATTAATGTGTTGTTTCTAACCCAGAGATGATGACTTCTTGTTGTCATCTAACCCCAATTGTGTGCATAGATTTGTAATTTATATATAGATAGAAATGATCTCTAGCTAGATGACATATTGATGAAAAGATAAGATGGTAGATACATGGAGATTAAATATTTTAAGTTATAAAAACTACTGGTTTGAAGCTTGAATTTCCTTGCTTTTGTACCATTTATTTTCTCTTGAAATCAGAAGCAGTGTATGCTACATTTCGAGTTGTTAAAGAAAATACCATTTTTTAAAACATATCTGGAGGAGGAATTAATATTCTCAGGTAACACTGGGTATTGTGGGCCATGTTAGTTTCAGAGCCTTTACATATAGATACTCAAGGAGGTGGGTAAAATTCACACCTAAAATTCATACCTGACCTAACAGCGTACTTCAAGTTTCTCTTTGGTGTCCTCAACAACTCTTACTGGTAATGGCCCATTTCACCCATCTCAGGAATCAGGCCTGTGGTTTCTTACCGCTGCTGCAAGTTGAAAATTCTCAGGGAAAGCACTGATGCCACAATGCGAACATCACTTTTAAGTCAGTAAAGCCTTGTGCATCAGCAACCAGGCTCTTATTACCGAGTTAAAACAAACCAAGGAAAACAAAAGTAGACATTCATGTCACCTCTTTCTCTGGGGAATGATTCCCGATTGCATAGCTACCCTTTCTCCCAAAGAAATGGCATTGTCAAAAACATATTTAAATAGCAAGATTGTCATTTCTCCTGAAAACAACCAGGAAATTACAAGTTGAGCACCACCATGCTTTGCCCTTAACCTGGACTTTTCTTGCTTCTTTCTCTGCCAGTTTATGAGTGAACAGTGAAACGCCAGCTGAACGTCCTGTTTCCTGACTGTTGTTCTCTTATGTCACAACTTGGTGGAAATACAACTTTAAAATATCATTAATGAACTGTTGTTTTGTTGGTAAAATGTGGTGGCACGTCCATTCCTCAGATTTGGTCTCTTCCTAATTTATTGCCACTCTTTCCTTTCCTAAGTATGGAGTTGCGTGAAACCCTGTTCCCTGAAAGGTACTGAGCAGCACCTGAAATCATTGGTTAGTGTAAAATTGTCTTAAGCTGCTCCATAGCAAGGTGAAGTTGACATATGAAACCCTATGTATTTAATTTTGCTTGCTATTGCTCTAGAAAAGCAATGTACATGAAGTGAGATCCCCAGATAAAACTTGTTCCTTCTGAGAGCAGGGTCACCCTCTCCAAATGATCAAATTAATTTCCAATTTTCCTTTTGATCCTCTAAAGGGCCTTTTTGGAGGCGAAGTTAAATCTGGAGATGTTTGTTTGTCTTTATTTTCTTGTTAAATGCAAACTGTTTCAAAGAAGGTTGAAATTAGACTAACGTTTTCCAAAGTGTCTACCTTTCAGTCTCACTAAAGAAAACCTCTGGAATTTTTTTTTTCAATGTGCTGAAATATCATGACACCTGTCTAGACCAATTAGAGAGAGAGAGTGGTTGAGTCTCTGTAATAGAAATGATGGATGGGCCGGGGATGGTTTTAGTGACTCATTAGCCAAATGCTACAAGGATATAAAAGTTGTTGTGGTTTTTATTTTCATTTACATCAAGAGCTTGCTTAAATCTGCACCATTCTCTCCATTACCTCTTTCTTGTGCGGTTGAAAGAGACTATCAGTTCAAACCACCTTGAATTTTGTATGCAACCTGTCTTGTCGCCTGTGCCTTTTTAGTTATCCCAATCATATTTTTAACTAGTAGGATTTCCAAGCTAGAGGAGAAAAGTGTCAGGAATTTAAGTGTGCCTTAAATTCATCTCTTTATGTCCATCTCCCAAGCACAGGTGATGGACATGCTATAGGGTTTTTTCCTCCTTTCTTTTTCCTTTCTTTCTTTCTTTTTTTTTAACTTCATGTCACTTTATGGCATTTGGGTTTGCTTTTGTCTTTCATTACCTTCCCAGCCTCCATCTTCTTCTCATTCCCTCCTGTGACTAGCTCCGTGGCAGGTGCATCTTTCTTTGGTGCCTTGGAAAACACTAGACCTTGGCCTTTATTCACATTAAGTCCACAATATCATAAATGAAATTTCGATTTGGGTGTAGAGGTTGCATTGCTTGTAATATGAATCATAAACACCAGCAATGTAATTTTAAGAAGCTGACTTTTTTTTTTCCCTAAGAAGGAGGGAAAATAAAATCTCTGAATCTGCTGGAGTCAGACTCCTCTGCTTACTTGCTCTGAACAAAAGGCTGGGCAATCTCGATCCTTCTGAATACCATATGAAATTCCAGGCAACATACAGGGCAGGGTTGGAAGCGAGTGTGCAGCAGGAGATGGATTACACTTCTCTGAGTATTTACGTATCAGCGGCCTTGTTTGTGCACACACACAGATGACACACGGAAGGTGGGAGGAATGGCTTGCTATTGATACAGATTTATAGTTTCCATCACTGCTCTCTATCCTTTGGGATCAACTTTGTCACGGGCACACCGGCGGGGGTTTATTACAGTGTGTGATAGCAGGTGTGGGCTGTGTGTGCATTGTGGATTCATTGTCCTCCTGTATCAGGATTTATACAGCCACACACCCCTTCTTTCCAAGGGCCTGCCTGGTGCACAGACATTCATATATCTGCAGGACTGGGTCCTGCGTGGTGCCCCTGGAGTCAGTGGTTGGATATCACCCCTGAATTCAGGTTGCTTCTATTACATTTAAACTTCATCTCAGCAAGGGCTGGGAGCACATTTTAAAAGGTCTGGTTCTAAACGCTTGCTGCTTTTAGTATTATATTTTAGATTATTTAAGGAACATAAACGCAATGGAAAGAAATAGGGGAGGCTTACCATGCAATATGAAACTTGGAGGTTTACCAATATGATTCAGAACAATTAAAAGAGACACAAGTGCTCTCTAAAGCTACAAATTTAGTCAAATCTAGTGTTAATTTACTGAGTATCTACTATGGGCAAGGCAGGCCCAGAGCGTGGTAGTAAAAGGAGTGCAAGATAATTTCAATTTGAGAAAATTCAACTTCTCAGGATTTAAATGGTTCAAGTCCCTTACCTTCCTGCTGGACTCTTGTTTTCTGGTGAAGAAATCTTATTTAGGATAAAATATAAGCTCATTTTGGCTGCAGCCCTTTTCTGCAGACTATTTCTGTAAGCTTGAAAAATAGGGTTGCTTTATGAAATGGATGCTCTTATAGATCCATACATTTGAACTCTAGGAATCATCTACTTTTTAAAAGTCTGCTTAAGGGAAGAATTTGAAAAGAAACATTTGAGGGGAAAATTAGGGTCACCTAGTAATTTTTAAAAGATTACAGTACCTCTCAATGATGTGGTTATTAATGAGAAAGCTTATAGACTGCATTCCTTATCCCCAGGTATGTGATAGAAGGAGTTAACGGGTTGGAGGTAGACACGTTGGGTAGTTACTGAGTACAATGATAAAATAGATACCATTGTGCTAGGATCTGGTTACTAAGAAAAACAAGATGAATCCTTGATCTCAAGGAAACTGTAATTCTGGGGATACTTTGCACTCTACCCCACTAGCTTAACCTGCCTCTTCATGCTACTTCTCATGCCACTTCCCATTAACAGCTGTTTTCTTTTCTTTTCTTTTTGAGATGGAGTCTTGCTCTGTCGCCCAGGCTGGAGTGCAGTGGCACAGTCTCGGCTCACTGTAACCTCCACCTCCTGGGTTCAAGTGATTCTCCTGCCTCAGCCTCCTGAGTAGCTGGGATTACAGGCACATGCCACCATGCCCAGCTAATTTTTGTGTTTTTTAGTAGAGACAGGGTTTCACCATGTTAGCCAGGATAGTCTTAATCTCCTGACCTCGTGATCCACCTGCCTCGGCCTCCCATAGTGCTGGGATTACAGGCGTGAGCCACTGCGCCCACCCCAACAGCTGTTTTCTTAAAGCACGTCAAGACTTTCCCCTTGTGATCATTAATATGAACAAATAGATTAGAAGGGTACCCATTGCAGGTTTTTCTCAACATCCTTCATTCAAAAGAGTTCAAATCATAAGAATTAAAAAGCAGGTTTCTCTTGACAAGCTGATCAGTCAGTCTTTGAGCTGTTCCTGTCTCTGTGCCTCAAACTTTCCGGCTTGCAAAGGACATGATGAAGTTTAGGATATTCACTTCCACTATATCAATAGTATCTGCAAATCTGATCCTATCTGGCCCGGTTGACACCTTTCCTGAGCTTAGCAAATGAGACTCTTCATAATATGGCTGCTGCCAACCTCTTCAATTTTATCTCCTCCTGCCTCTCTCTGTCCCCAAGTTCTAACAATCACAGACAGTTTGGAGCACGTGGAGTCAGTTTGCTATTGCCTACATCTGTGTTTTTTGCATGACTCTTGCCCTTTACCCTTTAGTGAAATTTTCTTTGCTTAGGTATTCTTCTAACTTGGAAGATAATAGGAAAAATCTATCTCCTTCAAAACTTTGCATATGCCTCTACTTTATAATCATAACAATATATTATTTTTGTTTCCATATCAATCTTCTCTACAATATAATGATGGGTGTGTTTTTGACATAGAGAACAATAGTATTTATGGCTACAGTAGAAGTATAAGTCCCTCTTTATCCCAGATGCTAAGCAGAGAGTCTGGCACAAAACAGCTGCTAAATAAATATTCACTGGGCTGAACATTGAGGGAGATTATACAAGTTAAATGAAACGACTAGAAAGCAAAGCAAAGCAATAGTATAATGAAAGGTTTAGAGCCCCAGATATGAGTTGCAAACAATTTAAGGAGTGCAGAGTCAGTGAAAAATGGGGGATGGGAGGGATAATGAGTCTTCAAGGAAGCCTCAAGTTGGACATTAAAGGTAGAAAGAGTGTTTGGCAGATGGAAAGAGGGACAGCATTCCAGAGAAAGATGGTACTGACAGCAAAGGTCAATAGACCACTCCTTGGTGATCCTATGGCTAGGTCTTCTAGGTGGATATCATCTCACATCACTGAGTTCTTTTTACTGGAGGTCATTGATCAAATGAATGTTTAAATGTAATTTAATTTCCATACCTTTGTAAGTTTTTTCATATCAATAGATTTGCAAATCAAAATATATATTCCAATATCGATGAGGAAATATGGGTACAAATTTCCTATGAAAATTTGCATTTAGAGATGAAAATCTCCTTTGGCGGGGGGAGGGGGCACACATGGATTCAAGGAAACCAAAGGCGTGGCATTTTCCTTTGTGGCTTTGCTTTGGTTCACTTTCTCGTCAACTGCTTCCATCCTGGTTATGGAAGATAGAGAGAGGTCCCTGCCCAAGACAAAGTGAAAACCAACAGATTTGTCATAAAATGTGTGAAATTTATTATGTAGTCCTATGTTAATATCCTTTAAGAATTTTATTTCGGCCGGGCGTGGTGGCTCACGCCTGTAATCCCAGCACTTTGGGAGGCCGAGGCGGGCGGATCACGAGGTCAGGAGATCGAGACCATCCTGGCTAACACGATGAAACCCCGTCTCTACTAAAAATAGAAAAATTAGCCAGGCGTGGTGGTGGGCACCTGTAGTCCCAGCTATTTGGGAGGCTGAGGCAGAAGAATGGCATGAACCCGGGAGGCGGAGCTTGTGGTGAGCAGAGATCGTGCCGCTGAACTCCAGCCTGGGCAACACAGTGAGACTCCATCTCAAAAAACAAAAACAAAACAAAGAGAAAAGAATTTTATTTCACAGAGGACAGGCAGCTTTTAGAGCTTCGCTGCTCGGTGGTTCTGGGACCACCAACATCAGCATCACTTTGGGAGCTTGTTAGACATGCAGATTCCTGGGCCCCACCCTGGACCTAGTGAATCAGAACCTGCATTTGAACAAGCTCCCAAGTGACACAAATGCCGCTGGTCTGCAGACTGTACTTTAAGTAATGAGGCTTGCCTCCTTTTCACAACCAGCCATCCTTATCTAAACCACAGAAACACAGAAGGTGATTTGAGAGGCTGTTTTCTCACTCTTCCAAAAATACACGAGTATTACACTCTAGGTGCAGGGGTAAGAAGTTCATTCATTATATACATAATGGATATCTTGCAGGATGACGGCTTAATTCTTTCATAGAATCCCAATTGAGAAAGGCACCCAGAATCCTGAACTTGAAGATAATTCAGGTTGCTTCTATTACATTTAAACTTCCTTAAGTATGAACACATTGAGTTAGGCAGGTGTGAGCTGTAATCTTACTGTGAGATGTGTGCCTTCCCATTGGTGAAGTGGCTGTTTTTTATTATTCTGAATTATCAGAAAACATAACCAGCTCACTACAAACAGCAGCATTCTAAAAATTTAGCAGACTTTGCATGCGTAATTTACAAACCCAAATGGTGCAGATCTAGCTGAGGCTGAGTTGAGCAAATAAAAGTATGGTATGTTTCTTGCACAGTTCCACATCTATATTGTATTTAAATAATTTTAGAATCCAAAGACATTTTTCTCAGACACCTAAAATAAAAATGACTCTTTTTCCTCTAGAAAGTGTAGAACAGCCACTGGAAGTGTGGTAACAGGAAAAATGAAATTTGTCCATCTTCTGGGCCCATGAAAATGGGACCATCAGCAATACATTTTGGCGACTTTGTCCATTAGCGTTCATTACTATAGCACATCTGTCCTGTGCATGGAAGTATGTGTAAGATCGGATTTGGGGAAAAATGAAGCATCTTTGAGCATGAAGCAGCATCTGGCCTCACTACCTGGAGTAAGAAATCAGGGAAAGCGGAGGCACATTAACAGCCAGGGACTTCTTACGGTGACCTCCCGCAAAATTGGATCAGGCTTCTCCCTGGCAGTTGTATTAAGCTCACACATTTGATGAAATGTGCTTTATGAAGTCGGCATATTTCGCTGCTTTCTTTCTTTCCTTTTTTTTTTTCTGGGGGATAGATTCTTTATTATCTGCTGAATTCATTTCACTCTGTCAATATTCTATAGAAAAAATGATGGACATTCTATAATTTTGACTTTGATATTAATTCATAATGTTGATGGTTCTAGCTTAGGGCTGCTTTCTCTCTCAAAGCCTTTCTTTCTTTTCCTCCCTCCTGCCC
Source organism: Homo sapiens (assembly GCF_000001405.40). NCBI lineage: Eukaryota > Metazoa > Chordata > Mammalia > Primates > Hominidae > Homo > Homo sapiens. The sequence goes on along the minus strand of NC_000016.10, from coordinate 73,624,467 downwards.
CCTGACTCTAGGTCTCAGGTTGTTCCATTCAGCAGCTGAGTTTATGACAGCTGCGTCTCTCCTTATTGCCTTAGCACACGGCAGGTCTTTTTTCATATTAAACTCACGATAACGGCAATGAAATTCAGATTTATAGCTTGAAATCAGCCTATTTGTAACATAAACATAAACATTGGTGCATTTGAAACAGCTAAAGAATTTTTTTTCCTTCTTTGTATTTTTCCTTTCTTGGAACTTCATGACTTGAGTCTCAAACAAGTGCTATTTTAAAATTTTCTGGCACCATGTAATGTAATTGATAATAATGTTTAAGCAGCATCTAATATCATCCAGCGTAGTGCAAAGTGAGCCATCCTAGGATATGAGCTTAAAAAATTACATTAACACTTAGACAAAATGAAATTTTTATACTTGATTTGCTCATGGTTGGACGGATGCAACTAAACACAATTTGAGCTGTCACTTTGCAAAGGGGAAAAATATATGCAACTTTGGAATGTTTCAAATGAGCCCAAGATTAGATTCTATAACTCAGAGTGACACAGGAAATACTATTTGCAACATGATTGGTTCATTAATATTTGGTAATTGTAGTACATCATTTTAAGGGGGAAATAAAGTGCAAACAAATGTTCCTAGCTTCCAGTCAGTCACGGCTGCTCAACTGCCACCACCAGGAAAGGTTTGGAAGCTAAAGGATACATGGATTGGGGGATGTTATATTTTCCCCTCCCCATTTTCATTTTGGAAGAATAATTTTCATCATAAACCAACACGTCAGACAAAGCATCTACATTTAAAAAAATATTTCACGATTTTTCACATGCACATTTGATGTAAACCCTGGAGGTGTATTCCCTGAGTACCTATTACCTCCATTTTAGGGAAATTACATTAAATTATTAGTGACAAATTTACTTGTCTGCCAATGTATTTTTCTGGAATTTTACTACAACATCAATACTTGCCTGTTTTATATGGGCCCTCATTTACCTGTCTTTAAAGGCAGCCACCCCTTGGGGAGCTCTGTCTGTCACTAACAGAAGCTGGAAAGAGTCTTTAAGTTTAAGATTCACAGTTTTGAATTAGATGGAAAAAAAAATATGTTGCACTTCAAAAATACAATGTGCCCGGCCGGGCGCAGTGGCTCAAGCCTGTAATCCCAGTGCTTTGGGAGGCCGAGGCGGGCGGATCACGAGGTCAGGAGATTGAGACCATCCTTGCTAACATGGTGAAACTCCGTCTCTACTAAAAATACAAAAAATTAGCCGGGTGCGGTGGCGGGCGCCTGTAGTCCCAGCAACTCGAGAGGCTGAGGCAGGAGAATGGTGTGAACCCGGGAGGCGGAGCTTGCAGTGAGCCGAGATAGCGCCACTGCAGTTCGGCCTGGGCGAAAGAGCCAGACTCTGTCTAAACAAAAAAAAAAAATACAATGTGCCCTTCTGAATTTTACAGTTAGGCAACTTGTTTTGTAATCTATCGCCTCACATTTTGGACGAGGATAAAAACAACGTAGATCACCCCCAGGTACTAGGGTAGAAACAACAGGCATTATTCTTAGGTGTGAAATATGTCTGCTAGGTAGCGACAAGACAAGACAGGAAAGATGTTCACATTTCTCCGGTTTATTTTAGGGAAATTCGCAGAGCGAGTTTTCTGTGATGCAAATGAGCCATAGACTTCAGGGTCCCTCTTGCAGGGTGCCCTTAGAGCTGCTGGGAGTCATGAAGGCTGTAGGTTGGGGGGGCGATACCAGAGTGTCACTGGGAAGCCCCCAGAAATCTCAGAAGAGAGGGACCTAAGTGTCCAAAGCCCTAGCACCTGATTCTGATTTTCTCATTTTAAGTAAATATTAATGTTGGAAGATAATTCCAAATTCTTTCTTTCTTTCTTTCTTTCTTTTTTGGAGACAGAGTCTCACTCTGTCGCCCAAGCTGGAGTGCAGTGGCACGATCTCGGCTCACTGCAAGCTCCACCTCCCCGGTTCACACCATTCTCCCACCTCAGCCTCCCGAGTAGCTGGGACTGCAGGTGCCCGCCACCACGCCTGGCTAATTTTATTTTTGTATTTCTAGTAAAGACAGGGTTTCACCTTGTTAGCCAGGATGGTCTCGATCTCCTGACCTCGTGATCCACCCGCCTGAGCCTCCCAAAGTGCTGGGATTACAGGCGTGAGCCCCTGTGCCCGGCCCCATATTCCTTTCTTACAGAGAACTCTCCAAATTCTGTAAGCTTCAGGCCTCCACAAAACCTGGATCTGTGGCTAAACAAGGATGCTATTTTTCTTTGCATCCTGGATTATAACAGAGTTCTGGTAAGCAGAAGACGCCTGTCTGTGTCATAGAACAAAAGTTACATGTTAAATTGTAAAGTCCTGTTGAAGGAAGTTTTGGGTCAGGTGAGCCAGAAATACATGGAAAGCTTGAAACAGAAACAAAGGGGAAAATGAAAAATAATAAGCAAGAATGTAAGTTTCAGGGAAGGGCTGTGTCCATCTCTCCAGTTTCCTGTTGATGTAGAATTCTCCTCCATTAGAATTTACTGAAGCAGTGTTTGACCCTGATGACATTTCATATCCTCCTGTCTTGTGCTGTTCCTGGTTCTCTGGTTTGCATATCTATTTTTATGTTTGAAACTCCTAAGCTGTTCGGTGGAGGATTTCGGTTCATTTTTAATGGAAGATCTGGGGTCTTCAAGCTGATCAAACCTTTCTCTCTCTTGGCATTACCAAGAATATGCTAATAATTTGTTATTGTAGATATATAACCTGGAGTTGAGAATTATGCAGACTCCTTTTTTCCCCCTAAATTCTCAGGAACTGTTTTTCTGAGATGTGTGCAGCTCCCTGTGGTTCAAACTTTGGTGAGTTACTGTTCTCCCTCCCCGATGCTGTGCTAGCCAGGAGCCACTATTTGTAAAGGCCTTTCCCTTCCTTCCTCAAATAAACACAACCATTTAGATTAAATTAACTAGAATATCTGTTTCAACTGACCTAAATCCATCCTCTGCTATGGCTTGGGAGATTTGACCTTAATTAAACCTCTATTTTGCCAGGGAATGAGACTGCTGGAGGGAAAGACCATATGAATTTCTACTTTCATTTAAGGTGAAACATTTGTAGCACCTGGGGACAGATTGTTAATGAAATATTTGCTTTATCCAACAGCATTTTATCGAGACCTAGAAATTTGGCAGTTTGGCAAATTTTAAATGGGGGAGAATCGTAGGTAACGCTGCGGAAGGGAAACGATAAGAGGCCAGTACTCCTGAAGGAGTTAAAAGGGATAAAGACTCAGGATACAGTGGAGGGAGACTTACACATGTTATGACAGTAGGATTCCCTTTCTAACTTCCTCCCCAAGACCTCTTCCTCAGTAATGGCCGTTGGTGCTAGACCACTAAAATTCAGTATGATTTTAATAATTACAACCCCCTTGGAAGATGGATGCTACGATCCCCATTTTTCCCCCAAGGAGACCAAGGGGCAGGAAGATGTAACAATTTGCTTAAAGTCATCTAAGGGTCTGGCTGGGATTCCCACCAAGCTGTGTCTCACCCAAAGATCTGGTCCTTTTCTCTCACCCAAAGATCTGGTCCTTTTCTCTTCTGCTCAACCATCTCTCGTGCATCTACTAACTTTGAATGTTGACCTGTTTTGAAATGTTTATTCTTGATTTTTAGCCAATTTTAGTATATCTTGAATGGTACTTTGTAGGATTCAAAGATATTATCAGAAGTGGAACAAAAAGAAGTTAATAAATAAGGATGCACTTCAACTAACTTTGGTCCCTAAGGTATTGTCGTCACTTAGGGGAAAAGAATCAATTCTGAACTTGGGAATGAAATTTCTCAGAAAATTGGACAAACTTGTACTCACCATCTTAAACTGCATCAATTCTGAAAGTATGTAATAAAGCACTGTGGGTTCACATTTATTCAAACCAGGAATGCTGCCCTAAGTGTTGAGACATTTTTGCTAATATCTCCTGTCCCTCCACCCCTGACAGCCACTGAAGCTTCATGATTACTTTAAACCAAAGGTTGGAATTGGTGAATGACAGCCACCTGGTGGAAATGTCGTCAAAACCTTTTGTTTTTTTCCCCCATTTATTGCCATAAGAACAATATTTATGTTCTTTGACACTTGAAATCAGTGCTTCACTTTATAAGTCTCAACCTGAGAAACACATGTGTACTATTACACTGGTGCTTTTGTGCTTTTGTCCTTAAGGTGTTACCAAAACAGAACCTTCTTCTTTTGCTACCTCTAGTATGCTGGGTGCCCCCACCCATCAAATGCAATTGTAGCTCTGGGACTGAAAAGGTAGCTTGTGTGGATAAAACTGGACCATGACTAAGTATTTATTAAAGCCTGCTAAGAGCCTGCATGGTGGTGCACACCTGTAGTCCCAGCTACTTGGGAGACTGAGGTGGGAGGATCCCTTGAGCCCAGGAGTTGAGTCCAGCCTGGGCAACATAGTGAGAGCCCCCACTCTTAAAGAAAAAGCCTACTAGGGTGCTAGATATTTTGGAGGTACAGAAAAAATATAAACCACATTCCTAAATTTAGTTAGAGAAACAACCAATAGTAAGGTTTATGGAGACTCACATGAGAAAAACTTGAGACGTGGGATAGAGACTGTTGTGCATATTCAGGAAAACCATGTGGGAGCCAGTGATAGTTTTGTGGAAGTGGGTGGGAGTGGGGTTTGGTAGGCAGGAAATGGGGTAGGGTATTCCTGGTGGGAGGCACAGTTTGAGCTGGAGGGAAGAATGTCTGCATTTAAGCCTGGGCATCCAGAAAAGGTAGAAATACACTTGGATTTGGATAAGGAAGCCAAGGACCATAAACTTTGCAGGATGTCCATCATGAGACATTAAAAGAACATTGACTCTCTGAGTTCAAAAAAGGCAATGCTATTGAAAGAAATGCTGATAGCTTACAGACATATATATATATATATATAATTTTTTTTTTTTGAGACACAGTATCGCTCTGTCACCCAGGCTGAAGTGCAGTGGCACGATCTCCGCTCACTGCCAGCTCTGCCTCCCGGGTTCATGCCATTCTCCTGCCTCAGCCTCCCGAGTAGCTGGGACTATAGGTGCCCGCCACCATGCCCGGCTAATTTTTTGTATTTTTAGTAGAGACGGGATTTCACCGTGTTAGCCAGGATGGTCTCGATCTCCTGACCTCATGATCCACCTGCCTCAGCCTCCCGAAGTGCTAGGATTACAGGCATGAGCCACCGCACCCGGCCACAGACCTATATTTTTATTTTCTCCATAGTGCTTATTTTTATTAACATTTATATAGCTTTGGGAAGAATTTTGAAAGTGTCCTTGTCTTGAATCTTCTCAGAAGACAGCTTTTATATTGAATTTTTCTTATCTTCCCATCTTAAACACCCATTGATATGAGAGCTAATCAATGTTTTAATAAACTAGGATGTTCCTGATTTAAAATATGCTCTTCTTTCCACCTCCCTCCTCCAGAAGTACCCTCTAAATTATCCATGGTAGTCAGCTGTGACAAGTCATGGTCCCATCACATCTCATGCCCCTTGTCACAAATTAGGCCAGGATTCTAGTTCAAAAGTGCGATTTTCTAAACTACCGAGGGAGAGCAACAAAACATGAATGAATGTCCAGGATTGAATCAATTGGTACCAAAGATCTAACATGTCCACCTGGCCTCTCTGGGGTCATCCTTAGTTTAGGTGCACTGCTTCACCTTCAAAGAATTATCAGAGCTTGTTTTGCCTTTTTCAAAGTTCAAATCTGTTTCCATCAACAGGAGACTTTTTCAGATATAAACTAAGGGAGCTGGAGTTGCAGCCATCTGTCTGTGGTTTGAAATCCACCTGTGAGTCTTGACAAAGCGCTTCTCAGCTCTTTTATCTCTCCATAAGGTGATAGAAATAAATCTAATTTTGAATATCAACCTTGTCATTATGAGCTGTGGAAACTTGGATAAGTTACTGAAATTTTCTAAGCTTCAGTGTCCTCATCTGCAGATAGAGAATGACAATAATCCTCCTAGGCTTATTATTTAAAAATTACATTAAAAATGTCAAGAACCTGGCCAAGTGCTTGGCTCTTCAGAAGATCTCCTGAATCTTATCTATCTTTGCATTTGTGGTGAGATAGAATTTTCCAATCACAGGATGTGTTACAGTTTAAGTTGGTGGAGAATCACCAGCGGGTTTTTAAGGGCACCAGAGGATGGTGATGGTCACCTAACCTCTTACAGTCTGGCATCCTCAGATAACTCAAATATGAGGAACTGCCCTGAATGTTGAATACTGTAATAATGATCATTATCGGCTGGACTATAGACGCCGGACCACACTGCTAGTGTCCAGTTGTAACAAATTCATTTGCCAGGCACAAGAAGACCCTGTGGATTGCATGGATTTTCCATTATGAGAGATCTGACAGTGCCTGAACATTAGTTAATGATGTAGAAAGAAGTGGCTCTATTGCAGTGTAGGCCAATGTGCAGAGCCAGAGGTTCATGGGTAGCACTGCCTTGGGAGTCAACGTGAGATGACAAGGACATTATTTAAGACACTCAAGGGGGACTGCATGAATAGAAAGGATAGCATCTGGGTAGCTCTGAAGGGAGGCGTTGTCATTTTCCTACCCAGAAAAGATGTCAATTCTTATGATTTGAGTGAGATTTTTTAAAAAAAAACAAGTTAACATTTTGAGAGCCCTCCCAATGGTATACTTTTTTATAACACAGTTGCCTATCAAGGTTTCCTCAGTGATTTTCTCCTGTAAACACAGTCCTAACAAAGACAATACCTTTCGCTAATAATGGCTCAAATGACTGTATTTATTTTTTTCCATAAATTTTAATAAAGAAACAATTTTTAGGCATGTACATCTCATGGAAATATCTGTTAAGTAAATTGTAGAAATGTATCTTACTGCTAAAAAGCATTGAAGTAGATGGTCAGTTTTCTTGATTTTGTTTTGTATATTGTATCATATAACTGCTAAGCTATCAGGACTACCTATTTAGTATACAAATAATTATGTCGTAGGTACCTATGTACCTGCACGATCCCCAGTGTATATTTCAGCAACTTCTCTGGGAAGAATTCACATCCTGAATTGGTCTTAAATATTCAGTGCCTTTGATTTGCCCTTTTCTATTTCCCTCACCTCATTGTCAGAGCTTGATCAGAAGTCAGCCACCGCGTGGTCTGCAGCTAGATTCCCACCTTATAAGCAGCCCGTCATATCAATTACAGCTAATGATAGGGCCCCTTCCTCCCAGTTGCAGGACTTCTGTACCTTTCAAGATGGTGGAGAAATAGGGGTTTAGTTTAGAGCAGAAAGAACTCTGTGCATTTGCTGTTTACGAACTCATCTGCACCTAATCTCTCATTGCAGCTCAAGATGGAGGGTTTATGATTAATAGAGTTGACACAGAAAATGGCCGAGTGCTTGGCTTCTTTTAAATATATCATGCTTAGTGCACACAGACCTTGAGCATCCGTTATAGAGAAGTGACAGCAGACTTGACCTTTCTCTCTGAATCGCATGTGGAAGAAGGGAATTAGCTTGCTACAATAGCACTTGAACTTGCTTTAACTTATCGCCTTCCTCTTTAGAAGGAGGAATGTACGTTAGAAATGTGAAATCACCTTCAGGCCTCATGTTGTTTAAAATGAAACTAAGCTTCTTCATAATATTAAATCGGATGTGTCTTTCGAAAGAATTTGCTAAGGGGATCATAAATAACATCCAAGATTTCTTTTCCCATTCTTTCTTTCTTTCTTGTGAAGTAAACCAATATTTACATTTAGTGTTGACATGCGTTTTATACATGTGCATATATGTACACACACACATTGAATTTTGCAACGGCCATTGAGCTTCCCCAGGAGAACACAGGAACAATAGGTCCACTAGTGAGGTGTGAGTTACAAAAGCTTTTAAATTGGCTTCCATGTAACTGGAAACCAAATAAATGGCTATGGAAAATGCAAAAGGAGACCTAGCAGCATTGGTGTTTTTTTTTTTTTCCTCCATAGTTGCCAATTACTGCTATTAGATCTAGTATGCTCCACTTAGACCCGAAACAGCTGTGATTGACACAGACTTCAGCCAATCATAGTGTTTCCTTGTCAGCTGTCATTAACCTGTGATCAATTACCGTGATTTTAGACTAACTTGAATGGAAAGTAAAAGCACATTGTTACCCAAAAGCTCATCAGGTAAATATGCCATATAAAGAAATAGATCTTCTCTGACCTCTCTGACATTTTCAAACTGTTTAAAAGCTGAAGTTAATTCTTTCTGATGGCCTTTCATCTCTAGTTGACAACAGAGAGCCCCAGAGTGGTGACAGCCCTTGTCAAGTGGGACTGTCTTATCAAAAACAATACCCTCCGGATCTTTCAATCCAAACATTCTAATCTAAAATAATTGCATTTAAAATTTCATGTTGCTTTTATGTCTCCCCTGAACCGTCCTGGTATGAAATCACACAAATCTCTTCCTTTAGCCCACGTGAAGATTCCGTTTTTCCATACGGCTAGTTTAAAAAAGCATCATAGAGGGGAACAGGCGAGTGTTGAAATTATAAAACTGTAGCTGGAGTGAACGGTTACAATTTGTTCCGCTGTGTCTTTTATTTGTATCTACATGCTTCCAAGGTGTTTCTGCGAGTGTCAGTCCCTGTTCTGTCTCTGTATCACTGTACTTCGTGTGCTCAGCCCCAGCAGCATAAAATTACGTCTCTGCAAATATAGCAGAGATCCTGGATTTAGTTGTGAGTTGCTGTGAATCATCCACTGAGTATTTAGAATTTTAACACTGTGTTTTAGTTATATCTTCCGAACTCTCTTCAATTTGGGATTTGGAGGAACCCTGTAATTGACATGTAATTGTAAACAAAGTGATTTCAGTGCACAGCTGCACTGGATCCCAAGTCACTTACAAAAGGATTTTGCTAGTTTATAGATTAGATGGCAAGTACCCCTCAGCTGTTACCAGCCCCTTTGAGAAAGATTCCAAAGTTGCAAAGGACTGGTTTATATTTTGGTTTCAGAATGTTTCTTTTTTGACAGGATTCTGCCACAGCCCTGTGCTTGTCTTACCTCCTGAGAGCTGGAATCGCCTTTCTTACCCCTGACCAAGCCCTGTCACATCCGTCATCTCTGGCTATTCTAGTTCTGGTCTGCCCTCAGCAGTTGTCTCGGGACATGCATGGTTCATTTGCCTGTTCCTTCCCCTCCCTCCTCCTTTCTTCTAGGCTAAACTCCTGCCCGGGGCCCCTCATTGTGTCAAGCTTTTTTTTTTTTTTCTTTAATAGCTTTGCTCTCTTGAACATGTTGTTTAGTGAAATTTGTTCAAAGAGAGAATCGCATTTTAGATTGAAAGAAAAAAAGTGGCCAGGCGTGGTGGCTCACACCTGTAATCCCAGCACTTTGGGAGGCCGACGTGGGTGCATTGCTTGAGCCCAGGAGTTCGAGATCAGCCTGGGCAACATGGCAAAACCCCATCTCTACCAAAACTACAAAAATTAGCTGGGCATGGCAGCATGCACCTATGGTCCCAGCTACTCAGGAGGCTGAGGAGGGAGGATCATCTGAGCCTGGGAGGTGGAGGCTGCGGTAAGCTATGATCATGCCATTGCACTTCAGCCTGGGTGACAGAGGACACCCTGTCTCAAAAAAAAAGAAGAAGAAGGAAAAAGTTATCCTACTCAGATCCGTTTTTATCATGAAAACATAGCCGACACACTTTCTATTCATAAAGGTGAGGCAGGGCTACCCAGTCTTTTCTCCTGTAGAGCGGTCAAAGGTTCCAGATTCCAGCAAAAAGAGCCAGGAAATAAGATCCTTTCAGATCTTCCCTGATTTCAACACTGAGAGAAAGCAATAAAAGTGAAGACATGTATTCCCTTCAGTGTTAGCTCTTCTCTTAGATATATAGTGCCCGTGGAATCTTTTCATTTTTTATTTTAAGCTTTTACTCAAGATAAAAAAGGAGAAAAAAGGGGACCAAATGGTATTTACATCTTTCAAAAAACCAACAAGAGAAAGAAATGATGTGTTCAAAATAAGAAGCTCTATTTCAGAGCTGGAAGTCTGTCCACTCCTGGGAAAACTGCATTCCAAATCTGAGCTGTTTCCATATCACATGCAAACTCCTGAATTTTATTTGTAAATGGCTGGATGACCAGTCAGAGATGTTCCTGACCAGACCAAGGCTTTCAACACCAACCTCACTTTTGCCCCGTACACATCACATACGTTCACGTGTGAAATGTTGCTGGACAGCTTCCCTCTGTTCACACCTATTCTTTTTCCTTTCTTTTGTCAGGAAGAATGCTTCATCCTTTTCTTTCCAGGCATAGATATCACCAAGGATATTACCTAAACCGTAACATTTAGCGTTACATTTCAGGCAGCAGAAGATGGAGGTAGCAGAAAGCTCGGATTCATTGTATTGCTTGATCTTTGGATCTAAAGAAAAGTTCTAATGGAAAACTGCAGTGTGCTGAGGGTGTCAAAGAGGTTAGGGTTCAGATGCCAGAGGCTGGTGTTAGTAGGACATTGGTAGCGCTGTGACCGCGCCCTCCCCCTGCCGCAGCAGCAGGAACTCGGTTCTTGACTGTTTCTGCCAGATTAATGGGCCTAGGGTTATTTACACAATACTACTTGTGAAATGCGCAGATGCCGGCACCAATCCTGAGCACCATGCCTAGTGAAACGGGGCACACAATCTCCATAGAATGGACCCTCCAGAAACATTTCAAAGTAGCTATAATACTCCATTTAGGACCCTGTGAGGTTATTTTTAGGGAGGACCAAAGTCTCATCAGGCCTGTGCTAGGGCAATTTCTTTCAACTTTACTTTCATATAAATCAAGTCACCTTTGTTTCAAAAAGAGCAAATCACAACCATCCTGCTTCTAGAAACTTCCACCTGTTTTCCTAGTAAGTGCACTGTTCAGTATGAATCTCAGACTTCTGCCTCACATCCAAAAAACAAACAAACAAAAAAAGCAAAAGCTAAGAACAATTTTGATTTTCCTTCTGTAAATGAAAATAAATAATGAGTCAATATTTTTTGCTTTGTTACTTTATCCAGATGTTTATTTCTTTTACGAACATTAAGGAAAAACCCTGAGTGGGGGCCCTGGGTGGATCAGAGCTTAAGGAATGGCATTATTTATGTTCCACATGAGCCTCAACTACTCCAAAAGAGGATGCAGCTCTGGCGGGTCCAGGTGAAATTGTTTCGACCCATAGACAACAAGGGAAGTCTGGATTTGTTTTTCTGTATAACAAATTACCAATATTAATCTTCTAAAATCTAGGTTTAATTTTCACTATATAAATAAAAACTTGCTTTCTATTTCATCTGTTTCCCAAATTCAAATAGAAGGAAATCCTCCAGCTTGATATCTTATTAGTCTTTCCTCTTAGAGAATTTTCTCCTCTAATTTTTTTCTCTCAGAATGAATAATAAAGTATATGGAGCTTCATTGAAATATGCCCTCATCTCCTCCTTTTTTTAACCATCCTAAATCCCTACTTCTTTTTTTTCATTTCATCGAAATCATTTTTTTCTATTATATCAAAAGCTATCAAAAGCAAATGATTTTGCCACGTTTACAGTGTGTGTTTCTCTGCTTTCAGAATGCAGCTAATTTCATGTAATATTTGCAAATATTGGCACTATTTTATGAGTTTTCTTGTAGTTTGAAAATCCCTCATCACCAAGTAATCCTTGTTTTCTGATCACTGATAGGATGGTCCTCACACTCTCTTCAATTCCTGTTTGTCCCCAGTGGAAATACACCTCGTTTTGTTTTGTTTTTAAACAGCTTTATTGCAATGTAATTTACATACCATACATTTCACCCATTTTAAGTATTTTGAGGAAACAGAAGCATTCCTTCTCATTCAACTGCATAAGTTTATTTATTATTTGAAACTGGAAAAGCTACAAAACATGATCAAATAGAAATCTTAAAACATTCTAGGAACCCCATTCTGTTTTAATGCATAATTTTCCTATTACAGCAGCGTGTTTGCACCTCTGGAGTTAAGGTCATGGCAGCGTTTGCATTATAAACCCTTTTTTCAAGGGTTTATAAATGCAGCTGCTATTGTTTGCCTAAGACTGAAGCTTGCCTCATGAGGTTTCAGTGCAATAGAGCAGCTTTTTGGGGTTGAGTTTTCTTTAACTAAATTAAAATTTTAAAACACCACATTGCCCTTTAAAAAAAAAATCATTGCAAGTGTCAAAAAGCCTAGGTAAGAATTTCTCCCCAAATAACTTTTTTATGTATCTGCAGTTTTTAATTGCCTTTAGTTTCCCACAACTCTCCACCATGCTCAGTTTGTGATTAGTTATTTGCCTCAAATATTTACAAACCTAAATCCAACTCGGTTTATAAACTAAAAAAACATGTTATGTACAGTTGCTGTCTTTCAGCATTATTAACAGAATTATTTTACAGTGTGTAATATAGCCCAAAGATGGTTTCAAAAGATAGATACCCTGTCACATCTTGTGAGAAGTTGTGTGTGTGTATGTAAATGGATATTCTCTGGAAGATTTAAAATATTTAGAAAGAAAACCATTTACATTTTTAGGATCATATTTTGCCCTTTTAAAATTAATAAAAGTGGGTGGTGGAGGGTGCAGAAACAACTATAAATTATTAAATTGGCTTTAAGTGTTAAAGAACAAAAAAAGATTAAACAAAATACAATATTAGAATGGCAGCTTAAATGAAGTATAATTGAGAATCCTGACTTTGTTTGCACACAATTGCCAGAAACTCCTAATTAGACCTTCACTGGATAATTTTAGGAGGTGTTTTCTTTTCAATCACAGAAGAGTATGTGGTTGCTTAACTATCACCTTATGCTTCAGAAGTTGAGATTCATCTAGTTTAATTTTATTTAATTTCAAAAAATATTTTATGTAATATTTTTCCAGCAAATTTATATTTTCTGTGGAAAAGATGAATAAAATCAAATAGAAAAGATAATTAATGAGTATTGTGTTCTAACATGTATGGTTTCATGAGAAACAGCTTTCTCCCCCAAATCATCTACGGTGCTCAAGAAAAAGCATTTTTTAATTCACATCTGTTTTAGGGGAAACTAAAAGCCCTCAGGAGTCAGTGACCCCCTTCTCCCCCACATCTATGTCTTGCCCATCCATGGTCCCAGTGCCTTGAGGAAAGGTTTGTTGAATGAATAAATGATTGTCCTGCCTATCTGAGAAGAACCCGGGAAGCTTGTGGACAGTCATCAAAAACTCAAAAAAAACCAAAACTGCTTTTCTAACCCTCTTTCTTCCTCCTGCTTTTCAAAAACAAAATAAGATCAGCAAACAAACAGAAAGGTTTAATCTGGATTTATGAGACCTATCACAGGGGTGACAGCTTGAGTAGATGTTTCAGCTGTTTCTGCTCGAGTTGAGGTTCCAGCAGCGGCTGACAAAGCCTCCATCAGATAGGTGCAAGAGAAAGCTTGTCTCAGAGTCTTCCTGTTGTCACAGTCTGCGGTGCTGTCCTAAGCCCTGAAATACAGTTGCTCGGCTTCCCAAGCCCCTGGCTTTTGACAATCCTTTGAATTTAGAATCTATGTATCTAAGCCAAAATTGTTGTCACCCAATAAACAGAATCCTAAACTAGTGTTGAGAAAATAAACATATTTGTTCCTTGCTAAGATATGTAACAATCCCTTTCTATCCCAGCCTGATCATTTTTATTGGGAGGTTCTATTTATCATCCTGTTTCTTTAACAAAGTATTGTTTAATTTAATCATACTCTAAACTCAGGAACATTCGAGGAATGGGAAAGATAATTTTGTAAATTCAGTGCTAAGAAGTTTATCCTTTAATGTAGTGTTTCAGTTAACAGACTGTTTGTTTTTCCTGTGGGTAAACAATAACAAAAAGGTGCCTTGGAGTGCTTTTATCCCCAGCAAAGCAAAGCATTTTCAGAGCAAGAAATGTATGAAGCAGAGGGGGAAAATGCACAGTGTTTCTGTATAGTGATAGCTTGGGAACAAACATGCCTCCCTATACCCGACATTCATATGTGTTTGAAGAAAAGGGGCACACAACACCCGGAAAGCAAATACGACGATGGAGGTGTGAAACCATCTCCTTTTGTGAGTGATTGCGTCAGATTTTCATTCTGGAGTGAAAATAAATCCATCAGGCCCGGCCGCTCTCCATTTCCCATTAATCCCTGAATCGCTATTTTTTTTTCCTCTAAAGTAAACGCTTCTGAAAGTGCATACTTTGGCTTTTGAAAAATGCAGAGTGCAGGGCTCCCTAAGAAAAATTAAAATCCTGCTTTCTGTTTTCTCTAATGCAGTGGGACGAAATATTTTCCGGTCTGGCTGAGATGAAGAGGAACGAGGGACATTGCCCGTTTGAAATCTCAACTCTACTACACAGAATCAGTAACAGCCAGGAGCCATATTGCCTGACTGTCCCCACCACCCACCCACACACACACCTGGTCTAAATATGTATTTACAAAATATAAATACATGTTTACACATTTCAGATTGACCAATTGGAGTAACAACTCTGGAATTTTCACAGCTTAGGCAATTTGAGAATAGCGTCTCTTCTTTCTATGCCATGTGCTAGAATGAAATTAGGATTCAACTTGATTGGGTGTGAATTTTTGGAGGTAGCTGTTCTTATCTGGCATGTCTACTGAGTTTTCTTAAATGAATATACATATGCCTTCAACCAATTACCCCTCCCTCTTTCCCTTCCTTCCTTCTTCCCTCCCTCCCTCCTTTCCTTCCTTCCATCCATCCATCAAGTTACCTATGATTTTCCTGCTAAGTCGTCCCCCAGTGGCTGAGGGTAAAATCCACAGTCTGAATCCTTTTTAAATTTTAATTTAAAAGTAAAAATGTGGGTGCTTCCAATTGTGTCCGCTGATACCCTTTGTTTAAATCAAAGCATTCTAAAGGAAAACTCCTTTCTATTGTTGACAACCCTTTCAATTTCTAGTCCGCTCTTCTTAGGGGCAGTAGTGAAGGGCTTTAAATTGATCCCTTTATTTTTTTGAAATGGAAGAAGTGTCAAATATTCGAATTTGTCTTGATCATTTATTTTCCACGAGCAGGGAGCAAACACTGTGTGAGTGATACGTGCACATTCTGTAGGTGGTTATGATGAATAAATTGGTTGTACGATGCAGAAATCAAATGATGGAGCGATGATGATGATGAGCAAATCAAATGTATTTGCATCGCCTTCTCACTTCTGAAATGGCGTTAAGTCAGGGATTTTACTAGAGTGAATCCACACGTCTGCATTTCTACCAGAATGAAAGCTGCAGCTTGTGCATATAGAGACTGGGAAAAGCAGAGGGTTTCCTGCCAATTTAGAGGAGGAAAACATCAGATTGTTACAAAGTTTATGAGTAATTTAAAGTCAGTCACTACTGCTGCAACGTGTAGAGTCTGAGCACCCACAAATAGTGAGGAGAAAATAGACGGAAGATAGAACCTAAAGACTAAAAAAGAGTAATTAGAAATGCTAATAACTCAGTGGTATGTATGTTCATTGGGCAATTTTCATGGCCAAACTCTCTATTTTGTTCGTTTTAAAGGTTGTTGTTTTTTTAAAAATACCTTTGAATACTTATTAAATCTGGATCTGGATGCTATTAAGCAAGAGCTCTGCTTATGGACCAAGGCTGACAAACATACAGTATCCTTTTGAAGATACAGCCTGAATCTATTGGCGGGTAATTGCCATGGATTTAGTCATTAGTTAATATCGCATCACATCAAATAGAGGAAAAGACACGAGAACGCATTTCTCCTGAAAAAAAATTGTTGTTTTCTGCTTTTGAATAAAAGCATTAATAAATATTGAGCTCCAGAGAAATTTTTTCAATTTCATCAAGATAAAAAACAATGTTGTTGTTATTGTTTTGTACTTTTCAATAATCTCTGAAACTGAGCCAATAAGTCATTTTACCTGGTCTGTATTTGTAATCTGTTCCTTCAAAGCAGTCAGCTGAATTATATTCCAACACACATGTTTTTAGTGCCTGCTGTGTACAAGTAATATTAAGCCAAGTGTGAGTTAGAATCTCTTATGTACACTGTCTTGCCATGGTGGGACGCTCTGAGCACTTATCTTTTGGATTTATGGTCAGAATATGGGACCAGCTTCAAGAAAGCACATGGGGAAATGGGAAGGAAGTGTAGGGTTTGTGGACAAAGAAGTGCTCTGGGGCTTAAAGCCAATTTCCACACATTCTGCCCATCTCTAATCCTCAGTCTAGGAGGGGATTGCAGTGTTATTTCTCAGGTCATCTTTATGAAATACACCCTTCCCCTATTCTCTTTTTTTTTTTTCTTTTGAGACAGAGTCTTGTTCTGTTCCCCAGGCTGAAGTGCAGTGGCATGATCACAGTCCACTGCAGCCTCAACCTCCTGGACTCAGGCAACCCACCTACCTCTCAGCTTCCTGAGTAGCTGGGACTACAGGCACAGACTTCCATGACTGGCTGAATTTTTTGTACTTTTTGAAGTGACAGGGTTTTGCCATGTTGCCTAGGCTGGTCTCGAACTCCTGGGCTCAAGGGATCCATCTGCCCACCTCAGCCTCCCAAAGTGTTGAGATTACAGGCATGA
Source organism: Homo sapiens (assembly GCF_000001405.40). Classification (NCBI taxonomy): domain Eukaryota; kingdom Metazoa; phylum Chordata; class Mammalia; order Primates; family Hominidae; genus Homo; species Homo sapiens. The sequence continues at coordinate 73,607,799 of NC_000016.10, read as the reverse complement.
GCCACCGCACAGGACCTTCTCCCATTCTTCTTGTGAGAGTGTTCAGCATATATTTTAATCTTTTGTGATGATTGCCAGTTAAGAGGACCCATGTCAGGATTTTTATGATGAAACTTGCCTGTGGGTAAGTAGTAGTATTCATAATAATACCTTGTGTTGATATAGAAATTTTAGATCCATCACAGTTTTTTTCACATTTGTTCCCTCGTTGGATCTTCAAAAACAATCATGTTGGATAATTAGGGATACCTAGTATTTTCCGCATTTTATAGAAGAAAAATGGGCATTTGGGTTGATTCTATGTCTTTGCTATTGTGAATAGTGCTGCAATGAACATACGCGTGCAGGTATCTTTATAATAGAATGATTTATATTCTTTTGGGTATATATACCCAGTGATGATAGACTGGATAAAGAAAATGTAGTACATATACAGCATGGAATACTATGCAGCCTCAAAAAGGAATGAGATCGGCTGGGCATGGTGGCTCACGCCTGTAATCCCAGCAGTTTGGGAGGCCAAGGTGGGTGGATCACGAGGTCAGGAGTTCGAGACCAGCCTGGCCAATATGGTGAAACCCCATCTCTACTAAAAATACAAAAATTAGCCAGGCATGGTGGTAGGTGCCTGTGATCCCGGCTACTCAGGAGGCTGAGGCAGGAGAATCAGTTGAACCTAGGAGATGGAGGTTGCAGTGAGCCAAGAGTGTGCCATTGCACTCCAGCCTGGGCAACGATCAAAATTCTATCTCAAAAAAAAGCAGAGAGAGATCATGTCCTTTTTATTTGTTTTTGTTGTTGTTGTTTGTTTGTTTGTTTTCTGAGATGGAGTCTTGCTCTGTTGCTCAGAGCTGGAGATTACAAGAATGAGCCACTGTGCCCAGCCGAGTTCTTATCCTTTGCAGGGACATGGATAGAATTGGAAGCCGTTATCCTCAGCAAACTAACCCAGGAACAGAAAACCAAACACTGCATGTTCTCACTTATAAGTGGGAACTGACCAATGAGAACACATGGACACATGTGGGGAAACAACACACACTGGGGCCTGTCAGGGGAGGGCGGGAAGTAGCGGGAGAGCATTAGGTAAAATAGCTAATGCATGCTGGGCGTAATACCTAGGTGGTGGGTTGATAGGTGCAGCTAACAGCCACCGTTTACCTATGTAACAAACCTGCACATCCTGCATATGTAGCCCAGAACTTAAAATGAAATAAAATAAAAACTCATTTACATTAAAGTGACACTGAGCTGGGGTTCCATACACTGAGGCCCTAGGACCAAGACAAGCATGGATTTTTTTTTTTTTTTTTGAGACAAAGTCTCACTCTTGTCCCCCAAGCTAGAGTGCAAAGGTACAAACTCAGCTCACTGCAACCTCCGCCTCTCGGGTTCAGGAGATTCTCCTGCCTCAGCCTCCTGAGTAGCTGGGATTACAGGTGCGCACCACCACGCCTGGCTAATTTTTGTATTTTTATATTTTAGGCTGGTCTCGGACTCCTGACCTCAGGTGACCTGCCCACCTCGGCCTCCTAAAGTGTTGGGATTACAGGCGTGAGCCACCACGCCAGCCTAGCATGGATTTTTTTTTTTTTTTTTTTTTTTTTTTTTTTTTTTTTAGATGGAGCCTAGCTCAATCCCCCAGGCTGGAGTGCAGTGGCACAATCTCGGCTCACTGCAAGCTCCACCTCCCGGGTTCACGCCGTTCTCCACCTCAGCCTCCCAAATAGCTGGGACTACAGGTGCCCGCCACCACGCCGGGGTAATTTTTTGTATTTTTAGTAGAGACGGGCTTTCACTGTGTTAGCCAGGATGGTCTCATCTCCTGACCTCGTGATCCGCCCGCCTCGGTCTCCCAAAATGCTGGGATTACAGGTGTGAGCCACTGTGCCCTGCCCCAGCATGGATTTTTTAAATGGCCCTGTGAAGAAAAAACGTTTTTTATATTTTTAAGTGGTTACATTTTAAATGGTTTGATAAGTACCCATATGATAGCTTTCACTTTACCTCTTGGCCTAGACCGAGAAAGCCCCAGGTATTTACTGTCTGTTCCTTGAAGAGAATGTCTGCTGTTCACGACATCATTCTTTCTCTCCAGCCCCCCAGTTCTATGCCCTAGACCAGCCTTCCCCCATAGCCTACCCCAGACTCTCCCCCTATGTTAGATTATTGACTTTGTAAGCAGATATCCGCTTGCTTTTTCCTTAGTGTTTGGCATACCAGGTACAGGACTCTGTAGGAATTTGGCTAATACTATTTGACCATTTAACTTACCCAGACAAACCCAAGTATGCCAGCTATGCCTGGAATCCTGACTTAATTTGGGGCTAAGGTTAGAAATGGGGATGTGGTGGAAATGTGAAAGATTAGCTGATTTAACGTTAGGATCTGATTTCCAGCGTAAAATGTGTTTCAGGCAAACCTAGGATCCCAGAGATAGTGTTTTCTCTTGCGCACTTTTATCCTAAAAGGGAAAATGCTTATCGTGTTTAATTTCTTACTCCTTCCACGATGAGGTTTTCAGCGAGCTTCTTTTAAGTTCCCTGCTGCCGTGAGTGTTTTGAAATAAAGACACCAGAGGAGACAGTGTTGCTAGACATGGTTCCATTTTAAGAGTGTCTTGAAAGTGTTCGAATGACCACGTCCGCCACCGGTAGATGTTTCTTAGGATGAAACTCTCAGGCCTAAATCATTCCTTTTTTAGTTACAGCAGAGCCCAAGCAACCTTTAAAGCAGAATGTGGTCTTGTTGGGCAATCAGAGCTGGGGTATAGCAGTTAGTCTTGGCTCAGCAGTCCACAAGAAGGGTGAATTCAGCTAGGCACATTTAGTAAATTAAGTAGAATTTTAAAAGAACAGAAAACACATAGGTGAAAAAAAATGGACTTTCTTCTGCCTCAGTCTACCCCAGTAGAGATTGAAAAAAAGGTCCAGACATCGTGACCAAAACTGGTATCTTATAGGAAGCCTGGAGCCAACCATTCTCCCTGCACTGTTTAGCATGGGGCACAGAACAACCAGCAACTCCTGATCATGGGAGATTTTTTTTTTTTTTTTTCACGGAGTCTCCCTCTGTCGCCCAGGTTGGAGTGCAGTGGTCCCATCTCTGCCCACTGCTACCTCCGCCTCCCGGGGTGAAGCCATTCTCTGCCTCAGCCTCCCAAGTAGCTGGGATTACAGGTATCTGCCACCATGCTCAGCTAATCTTTTTGTATTTTTAGTAGAGACTAGGTTTCACCATCTTGGCCAGGCTGGTATTGAACTCCTGACCTCATGATCTGCCCACCTCAACCTCCCAAAGTGCTGGGATTACAGGCGTGAGTCACTGTGCCTGGCCCATGGGACATTTTAACATGGTAACTTGCTAAGCTAAGGCGTATCTGATGAGTTGACCTATGTTTCCAGTGGATTAGATTTGAAATTGCCTGGGGAGGTGATTTTGGGCCATAGCGACTTCTCTTTCTCTTTTAAAAATAGTGTTTATTTGGTAATTACTGATTTATAAAATGTAACCCAATATAGAAAACTAGGGGGAAAAAATGGGGGAAAAAAAACTATTTAAAGCCATAATCCCTCTATCCAGAGCCACTAGAGGTACTATTCCAGCACATTTAATTTTCTGTTTATATAATATATCTATATCTATCTATATATATAAACAGTGTTGAGATTATACTGCATTTGGTTTTCTAGTCTACTCTTTATTTTAATTAATAATATAGAATGGCTGGGCTTGGTGGCTCATGCTTGTAATCAGCACTGTGGGAGGCTGAGGTGGCAAATCACCTGAGGTCAGGAGTTCGAGAGCAGCCTGGCCAACATGGAGAAACACTATCTCTACTGGAAATACAAAAATTAGCTGGGCATGGTGACACATGCCTGTAATCCTACCTACTTGGGAGGCTGAGGCAGGAGAATCACTTGAACCTGGGAGGCAGAGGTTGCAGTGAGCCGATATCATGCCACGCCACTGCACTCCAGCCTGGGTGAGAGAGCCAGACTCCATCTCAAAAAAAAAAAAAAAAAAAGCGTATTTTTTTCCTGAGTATTTTTAACAAGCATATTGATTGCAAAATATTCCATTTCATAATGATATAATAATTAATGTATTCTTTCTCCGAGTGTTGGCCATGTAACTGACTTTTGTGTGTTCATTTGTTATAATAAATAATGTTATTTTGAATTTTTGTAGGAGGGATTTCTGGAGGTGGGATTACTGGTTTCAAGGTTCTTAGAAAGTTTTCAGGTACTTAGAAAGTTTTTGTCAACTTACATTCTTATTAACTGTCTATGGGAGCACGTCTCACCAACTTTCAGTATTCTCGTATTTTTAATCTTTGCCCATCTTATTGTTTAAAGAATGCCTCAATGTCTTAATTACATTTAATTTTGTTATAGGCTTATTAGCCAGTTGTATTACATCTGAGAGTTATCAATTCCTGTCCTATGCCCATTTTTTACTGACATGTTTATCTCTTTTTCTTTTTTTCTTTTCTTTTCTTTCTTTTTTTTTTTTGAGATGGAGTCTCGCTCTGTTGCCCAGGCTGGAGTGCAGTGTCGCAATCTTGGCTCACTGCAAGCTCCACCTCCTGGGTTCACGCCATTCTCCTGCCTCAGCCTCCTGAGTAGCTGGGACTACAGACGCCCGCCACTGCGCCCGGCTAATTTTTTGTATTTTTTAGTAGAGACAGGTTTTACCGTGTTAGCCAGGATGGTCTCTATCTCCTGACCTCGTGATCCACCCGCCTCGGCCTCCCAAAGTGCTGGGATTACAAGCGTGAGTCACCGCGCCCGGCCTGTATCTTTTTCTTATTGACTTGCAGGATATCTTAAGGCTATCAGATGGTGATTTTTTTTTTTTTTGAGTCAGAGTCTCGCTGTTTCACCCAGGCTGGAGTGCAATGGAGCCATCTCGGTTCACTGCAAACCGGGTTCAAGCAATTCTCCTGCTTCAGCCTCCCGAATACCTTGGATTACAGGTGCCCGCTACCACGACCGGCTAATTTTTGTATTTTTTTAGTAGAGATGGGGTTTCACCATGTTGGCCAGGCCGGTCTTGAACTCCTGACCTCGTGATCTGCCCCCCTGAGCCTCCCAAAGTGCTGAGATTACAGGCTTGAGCCACCGCGCCTAGCCGAGATGATAATATTTTGAAGTTATTTTTCCATAAAGTGTGAAAGAAACTTAGTGGAAGTGGTCAGAATTAGGAATTCATAGAGGTTGAGGCTTTACATGGAAGATTTAAATACGTGCACACAGTTCTTCCTAAAAGTACTTTTTGGGGATGTGGCATATATGGACAATTAAGGCAGGATAAAGGCCTTGCTTGGTTTTCTCCCCTGCCCTTTGGAGGAATCGTCTCATGAGACCAAAGAAGTTCTCGTAATAGAAAGACGTTGCTTCCTTGCACCTACCTCACATTCCATGGTAAAATGGAAGCTGCTCGTTCTGTAGTATTCATACGGTCTCAGCACTGCGTGATATACATTTATCTCTAGGACTAAATTTTTCGTGGCCTCCCAAATTAAACAACTGAAACATCATTTTAGAATAAAATATTTTAGAAAAAACCCACCAGCCAGATTTTAAAATGTTTCACATGTTGTTATAGTTGCTTCAGAACATGTTTTTTCTGTTCTTCTTTTCTTTTCCTTTTTCTGTTTTGTTTTGAGACAAGGTCTCACTCTGTTGCTTAGGCTGGAGTGCAGTGGTAACATCACAGCTCACTGAAGCCTCAGCTTCTCAGGTTCAAGCAATCGTCCTGCTCCAGCCTCCTGAGTAGTTGGGACTACAGGCATATGCCACCGCACCTGGCCTCATTTTCTTTATTGGAAACAAAAAAGTCACAGCCCCCAAGCCCACTCCCCTTCCTCTCTCCTGAAGTTGGTGTGTTTTGTTCCTGACCATATTATACTTTTGCTACACTCACATGTTTTTTTCCAGCATTTCCTTTATTCTGTGTTCCTAAATGTTATTCTAAGCATCTATTTCAGTAACGTGCTTTCCGTTCACTTAACATTATTTTCTAGATGGCTTCACCTTTTAAAATATTAAAGTTCACATTGAAAAAAGCTCTAGAAGTCAGGGAATATCTGATGGGGTAAAGGTGGAGAAAGTGACAAAATTGAAGGAAGAACAGTAGTGGGCTACAGAATCAGAAATCAAAAGAACTGTCTGTTAAATGCCCATTCTGTTGGATTACTATGTAGGATGTACAAAATCATAAACATATTTTCTGCCCTCAATGAGTTTTAATTGAAGAAAAAGGAAAGTAAAAGTAACCACATGATGAGTTAAAATAGAGCGCCAAACAATTTTTTTTTTTTTTTTTGAGATGGAGTCTCAGTCTGTCGCCCAGGCTGGAGTGCAGCGGCGTGATCTCGGCTCACTGCAACCTCCACCTCCCAGGTTCAAGCGATTCTCCTGCCTCAGTGTCCTGAGTAGCTGAGATTACTGGCATGTGCCACCACACCCAGCTAATTTTTTTTTTTTTTTTTTTTTGTATTTTTAGTAGTAGAGACGGGGTTTCACCATATTGGCCAGGATGGTTTCAATCTCCTGGCCTTGTGATCCACCCGCTTCAGCCTCCCAAAGTGCTGGGATTACAGGCGTGAGCCACTGTGCCTGGCCCAAACAATTGTTAAATAACAATAACAGTACAAGAATGTTTACATGACCCAAGGCAGTATATGCTTCATTATCAGGAGATGAATTGGGTTCTCTCACACTTCAAAGCCAGACTGGAAATGTATTTGCTAATAAAACACTCAACATTTTTTTTTTTTTTGAGAAACAAAAAAGGCTATCACTCATGGTGCTGAGGTTTTCCTCAAATATTTACTGACCACCTGCTTTGGGCAGGGCGTTATGCTAGGTGTAAAGAATAGCTTGTGGATCTGGAGTTAGACTGGGTTCCAATCCCCATGTTCAGGGCAGTGGTGTTCCATGACAAACCAGATTTGGGTATGTGCCTACTCTTCTGGAAGGGATTGGGTGTGAGTGGTAGGCTAAGCCTATGTTGACAAAGACAAGCCTAATGGTGCAGATTTCAAAGATCCATGATGCCATTAGAAGAGAAAATGGCCAGGCATGGTGGCTCACGCCTGTAATCCTAGCACTTTGGGAGGCCGAGGCGGGCGGATCACGAGGTCAAGAGATCGAGACCATTCTGGCTAATATGGTGAAACCCTGTCTCTACTAAAAATACAAAAAAACATTGGCCGGGCGTGGTGGCGGGCGCCTGTAGTCCCAGCTACTTGGGAGGCTGAGGCAGGAGAATGGCTTGAACTCGGGAGGTGGAGCTAGCAGCGAGTGGAGATTGCGCCACTGCACTCCAGCCTGGGTGACAGAGCGAGACTCCATCTCAAAAAAAAAAAAAAAAAGTAGAGAGACCAAGGTCTATACACAGAGCTAAAAGATACAGCAGCCATGGAAATATGGGACAAGGAGCAACAGAATGGGGAAGAACAAGTCCAGTGCCTTCATATTTCTTGGTGATGTCCCAGGTACCATCTCTTGGGAAGTTTCTCATGATTTCTTCCCAGGGATGAAAGGGATGATGCTGCTTCTTTAGAAACAGTCCATTCTGGATCCTTCTCTCTGGCCTTTAGTCTGATCTTGTTAATACAACCTTATCCAGATTTGGAGGTTACTTACAGTTTGGGTGCAACTGCAAGGCATCCTACATTCTGATACAAAGAACATCTCAGAATTCCCTTACAAAATGTTGGCATGGTGCCATGTACAAATAAGATGCTCCGTATCCAAAGTCCAGCAACTCCAGCCCTCCCAAACTTACCCCAAAAGTGGGTGGGGAAAACGAGGAGACAAGAGCCATCACCATCATCAATAGCTTTAGGCTGACATCTGCAGCAAACTCCAAGCATAAAACAGAGTAAACCATCTATCTAATCAACAGTAACTGGCCTAAGAATCCACAGAGTAAGAATTCTGTTCTCCAAAGAGAGGCCTCATCTTTTTCTGCCCTGGAAGTGAGTCTCATTATACCGGTGGAAGTGTATTCACCAGTGGGCTGTTAAAGGTTTAGGTTGTTGTTTTTTTTTTTTTTAATGACATTTTAATCTGGAATTTATTATTCATTGTGTAAACCATTTATATAGTTCTCAATCAGCTGCCATCATTTTTGATGATCTCTCCTAATGGAGGGAAGCAGTGGTGGAGAAAATCCAAAGCAATTTGCAATCCAAATGCTGTTAGTGTTTGCTTGTGAAATGTAACATCTGGTTTTCAACTGGAGACAGGTCGAGCTTCATAGGCAGGCAAGCTGTGCAGTGGCATGGAGCCCTGTGCCCAGAAGGGCCCCACTTCTGCTGTAATGCTGTGCAGCCATTGCCTTGAAATCTGAATCATTGTTGAACAAGGGGCTCCACGTTTTCATTTTGCACCAGACCTTGCAAATTATGTAGCTGGTCCTGGTTTTAGATTGACTTTTCTTGGATAGATTGTAATAAGACTTTGCATCTCAGAGGACATCCACACTGATGGAAGAGACTTCCAAAAGGCCGGTTGAGTGGCTGACTCCAACTTATGGCTCTCCTCTACTGACACCCCCGTGGCTAATGGAGGGATAACAGACATGCAGTGAGATCCACTGAGTGCTTAAACCAGGAAGCTGGGTATTACCTGTATCATCAAACTTGAAAGATCACAGAGAACAAACTCATCCTCTGTAAGAACTATGATAGTATGAAGAAACCCTCTCTTTAAGATAGTATTCAAAGGCCGGGCGTGGTGGCTCACACCTGTAATCCCAGCACTTTGGGAGGCTGAGGCAGGTGGATCACGAGGTCAGGAGTTCAAGACCAGCCTGGCCACGATGGTGAAACCCCGTCTCTACTAAAAATACAAAAATTAGCCAGGCGTGGTGGCAGGCTCCTGTAATCCCAGCTACTCGGTAGGCTGAGGCAGAGAATTGCTTGAAGCCAGGAGGCGGAGTTTGCAGTGAGTGGAGATTGCACCACTGCACTCCAGCCTGGGCAACAAAGTAAGACTCTGTCTCAAAAAACAAACAAACAAAAAAGAGAGTATTTGAAGAAATGGGTGATCAAGAATCGTGTTCTAGGCCAGGCACAGTGGCTCATGCCTGTAATCCCAACACATTTGGTGTCTGAGATGGGAAGATTGCTTGAGCTCAGGAGTTTGAGACCAGCCTGGGCAACACAGAGAGACTCTGACTCTACAAAAAAATTTTAAAAATTGGTCGGGCGTGGCGATGCGTGCTTGTGGTCCTAGCTACTCAGGAGGGTGAGATGGAAGGATTGCTTGAGCCTGAGAGTTTGAGGCTGTAGTGAGTCAAGATCACGCCACTACGCTCCAGCCTGGGCAACAGAGTAAGATCCTGTCAAAAAAAAAAAAAAGATAAAAAGAATGGTATTCTAGTATCACAGTGTGAAATTTACAGCCTACTCTTGGCCTACAAAAGAAAATACATATGAACTGAGATTTATGGAGTAGAGGTGATATGGCTTGACCTAGCTAAACCAGAAGAATTTGTCCTGGAGAAGGCATTTGATGGAGAGAAAACAACAGAGAAAATAAAAGTAGATACAAGCTGGTAAGCTCTCTGAAATGCAGAAATTTGTTATACTGAGAAGTCTTATATGTCTCATAGAACCTGCCTTCCCCAACTGTCCTGTCCCTCCCTTCTGAACTGCACTGGAATCCAAGGCTCCTGGAGTTCCTTAGCAGCCTAACAGGAGCCCTTGGTCCCCTCCCTCATATTGAATCACATTTGAAGTACCCCCTCATGAAGAGATATTTGGGAGCCATTACTGACCATCCCAAATCCCTACAGTCATAGCAATAATGTCACTATGTGCTCTAGAGTCACGCAATGCCAGCTTCAACATTTATTCATTTTTTCATACAGCAGTTACTGATCTTCACACCCAAGGGCTATACTGAACTCCAGTGGGTGCCCAGTGTTAGCTTCCCAGGTTTGCTGTACTACATCAGCATGAACTATGTGATTTAAAGCAATAGAAATTCATTTTCTCACAGTTCTGCAGTCTAGAAGTCTGAAATCAAGGTGTTGGCAGAGCTGTGCTCCCTCTGAAAGCCTAAGGCTAGAGTCTGTTCCATGCTTGTCCCCTAGCTCTTGGTGGCTGCTGGCAGTCCTTGGCCATCCTTGGCTTGTGGATGCATCATGCCAGTCTCAGCCTCCATCTTCCCGTGAGGCTCTCCTCTCTGTGTGTTCTCATGGCCTTTGTCAAAAGATGCCAGTCATTGTATCTAGGGCCAACCCTTATCCCATATGTTCTCATCTTAACTAATTACGTCTTCAAAGTCCCTATTGTCAAATAAGGTCATATTCTGAGGGGCTGGGTGGACACGAATTTTAGTGGGACACTATTCAACCCAGTACACACAGATTTTCAAAAAGATACACTAACTGCCCTTGAGGAGCTTGCCCTCCTGAGTGAGAGAAGGCAAACCTAAATAGATAGTCTACAGAGTGATGAGGCCCATAAGAAATATACAGACCAAATGTTATGGAAGGTCAACAGAAGGGGAAGTAATTTCCAGAGGGTAAGATCAGGGAAGGCGTCATGGAAGAGTTGACGTGGTTGCTGGGTTCTGAATGAGAAGTTAAGTAGGACTGAGATGCACAGAGATAACGTACTGAGAGAGTTTGGAAAAGAACCTGAGCCAGGGCAGGGAGGTGCAAATCGGTGGTGCACACAACCTTGAAATATGAGTCATTCAGGTTGACTGGAGAACAGTACATATGGTGATGAACAGTATCCAGAAATGTCTGGTGGAACAGACTGTGGACACCATCAATGCCTAGCTAAAACCTCTGAACTTTTGTTTGGCATTTACTGAGGAGTCACTGATTTTCTTTTTAAGAGAGGTGCTTTAGGCTTTAAGTAGAATCAATATGGCAGAAGAGTGTAGCATGCCTTCATTCATTTCTTCATTTGTACAGCACATATTTATTGTCTGCTAGACACTAAGGACTATAGCAGATCTGAAATAGCATAGTGAGTTATAGTGACGTTCCTTACCCACTAGAAGCTTACTGTTCAGTAGAGAAGATAGAGTAATAGATCACGGAAGTTGAGTGTCATGATTGAACGTGCTATGATGGATGCTATGGGAACATAGAGGAGAAATGCTTATCCTAACCATGGAAAGCTTTTTGAAAAGAGTAATATTAAAGCTGAGATGGGAGCACAGGTGGTGAAGAGGGCACTAATGTTGCCCTGGGCAACATGTTTGGAGGTTCATAAGCTAGGGCCATCAGGGAAGGCTGAAAGAAATCCTCTTGCAGGAGGAAGAGTGGTGGGTGGGGATGACCAGCACAGTGAGGCTAGAGGTGCAGGAAGAGATCAGAAAGGAAGCTAGAGAGAGACAGGAGCAGGCTGAAACTCCACCCTGGAGGCAATGACAGAGCTATAGTTTAGCAAAACTCCCATGTGGAGTCTTATGCAAAAGAGATTAGAAAGTAATGGTCGAGGCCAGGTGCGTTGGCTCACGCCTGTAATCCCAGCAGTTTGGGAGGCCGAGGTGGGTGGATCACGAAGTCAGGAGATAGAGACTAACATGTGGCTAACACACTGAAACCCCATCTCTACTAAAAATACGAAAAATTAGCCGGGCGTGGTGGCATTTGCCTGTAGTCCCAGCTAACTCAGGAGGCCGAGGCAGGAGAATTGCTTGAACCCGGGAGGCGGAAGTTGCAGTGAGCCGAGATTGCACCACTGCACTCCAGCCTGGGTGACAGAGCCAGACTCTGTCTCAAAAAATAAAATAAAATAAAATAAAATAAAATAAAATAAAATAAAATAAAATAAAATAAAAAAGTAATGGTCGGGAGAGAGAAAACAGTGGTCTGGCATAGGGCAGTGGAAATAGAAGCTACCTGATTTGAAAGCCACTTCAGAGTTATAATCTACTGGGATTTGGGATAGATGGGATGCAGAGGTGAGGGAGAGGAAGGTGCCATAGATGGCCCTCAGGCATAGGTAACCAAATGCCTAGTTCGGTGAGTTAGAGACCAGTTCGGAGTAGTGAGTATTGAGGGGAAAGATGGTAAAGTCAGTTCAAGTGACTTTGTGGCTCTTGGGAGATATTTAAGAAGAGATACCCGTAAAGTGACACAAATTTGGGTATCAGTCAAGATAATCTTGGAAAATGTCAAAGCCATCAGTATATCTATGGTAATTGATACCATGAGATGTATCACACCCAGAGAGTGTGAATAGAGTCAAAATGGACAAAGGCCCAGCCCAGAACCAAGGAGCCTGAGCAATTATGGAATGAGCCCGTGAAGGGAAGCAAAGGATGTGGCCAAAGAAGTAAGGTAAAAACGAGAAAAAAAGGAGTCATGGAAGCCAAGGGAAGATACTGTTTCAGGAAGGGAATTGTCGATGCTTTTGATGCAGCTGAGAGGTCAAGGAAGTTAAGGACTGAAAATAGTCCATTGGATTTAGCAAGCAAGCAGTCCTTGGTACACTTTGCTAGAGGACATTTGAGGCCATCATCTGGCCCATGGGATGTGCTGACCCGGAAGAAGAGAGTGGAGGCAGAAATAAATATGATGATGGACAGTCGGGTAAGCAGTCTTGAGCTTGGGTAACAGGGATGATGGTGATGTGATTTACAGAAAGAGGGATACAGAGGGAGAAGTTATTTATGTGTGGGAAAGGAGAGATAATGAGCTCCATTACTCTCAGGGAAAGCATCCTGTGTAACATTTTCCTGCTTTTGCAAGCAACCCCATAACAAAACCCCTCATGTTACTCATCCTCAAGGGACCATGTTCCCTTAGAGACCTGTGCAGGGACTTCTCCAGGATATTGACAAGAAATGGAATTGTGGGGCCATACCTGAGTTATAAGAACACTGGCTTCCCACATGGTTAAAGATGAAATTGGACCCTGTACTCAGACCATACACAAATATTAACAACAAAAGGCGATAAGAAAAACATGAAAACCTTATCTTGGAAACAAAAGCACATTTCTAAGTATTTCATGGCTCAAAGAGAAACTATCATGGACATTAGAAAATATTTGGAACTACACGATAAAATATCGCATGCCAATGTTAGGCTTGTGGGCGGCCAGTGGTTCCAGCATCATTTATTGAAAAGGTACTCCTTTCTGCCCTGATTCTGCAATGTCACTCTGTTACCTATCTAGAGCTCTATATTCCCAACTCCACCTCTAGACTCTATTCTGTTTCATTGGCCAAGTTATCTTCTATCAATTAGTGTCACACTGTTCTGATTAATATGGCTTTATGAAAATTCTGGCAAGATAAGTCTTATCACCTCCCAGTCTTAATTCTATCTTAATTACTCTTGTAAATTTGCACTAATAAAATCTCTATTGCTTGCGATTTTCATTGAAATTATCTGCAAGCTACACATCCATTGGAAGGTAATTGATTTATTTTTATTTTTGTATTTTTATCTATTGAGCCTTCCCATTTATAAATATGGCATGGTTCTCTATGTAGATCTTTTAACTTATTCCAATAAATGTTTAGATTTATTTCTAGATGTATTTTATGCTATTTTACATGATATCTTTTTAAAATTTAATTTGATAACTCAATTTAATTATAAAAATATAATTGTTTATTGTCCATTGATTTAGTATATTGCCAAACTCTCCTATTAATTCTAATTTCAATTTAGATTTCCTTTATCATATTACTTTCACAATCATATCTTATATAAATAGTTTTGTTTCAGCCTCTCAATCATTTTTACCTTTCACACCGCTTCTTGCAGTGGCTGTGACCTCCAGTATAATGTTGAATAGGAGTAACAAGAGTGGGTACCCGTTCTTAATCCCCGTTTCACATAGGAAGCTTTCAGTATTTGACCATTAACAAGAGTTTGACATGGGCAAATACGTTGTGTCAGACAAAGGATATTTAACACTATTTCTAGTTTGCTAAAAGTTTTTATGTTGAATAAATAGATTTGAGTTTTATCAAGTTCTCTCGTTTTTGATTTATTGGGTAAACTGTTATCATTTTTCTTTTTAATGTGCTAATGTGGTGACTTACAGTACAGTCATCCCTCAGTGTCCGTAAAAGATTGGTTCCAGAATCCCTGCAGATACCAAAATCTGCAGATGCTCACAGTCTTTATATATGTCATAGGATTTGCATATAATTTCCTTCCTTCTTTTTTCCTTCACTTCCCTTCCTTCCTTCCTTCCTTCCCTCCCTCCCTCCCTCCCTCCTTCTTTTCTTCTCTTTTCTTTTCTTCTGAATACTATATTTCAATTCATGCTTGGTTGAATCCACAAATATAGAACCTGCAGAAATGGAGGGTCAGCTGTAATTAATTTTCTAATGATAAATAAACTCTTCATTTCTGGGATAAAACCTGTTTGGTTATGACATGTTATCATTTTTATTTGTTGCTAGATTTAGTTTGCTCATCCTTGAGTTAGAAATTTATACCTATTTTTTGATTGATGTTTTCCCTAATTTTTTTTTCTCATAATGTACTTGTCAGGGTTTGACATCCAGGTTTTGCTAGCCTCATGAAATCTGTTGGAGACTGTTCCCTTTTTTCTGTTCTTCAGAATAGTTTGAGTAATATTAAAAGTGTTTGTTCCCTGGTTATTTGGTGAAACTCATTGGTGAAGCCATTGAAGCCTTCAGTTTCCTTTGTGGGAGGATTTTTGATTACTGATTCAACTGGTTTTTAAATGTTCATGATGAATATTTATATTTTCTTTTTCTTTTTGGACCATTTTTGGTAAGTTGTATTTTTTTAGGAATTTGTCCATTTTATCCAAGTCTTCAAATTTATTCATATAAACTTATTTATGATATCGTCTTATTTTTTACATCTGCACATCTGTAAGTCATTTTCATTCTCATTACTAATACTGTTTTTTATCCTTTTCCATTGTTTTCTTGGTTTGTCTTACCAGTAGTTTCTTTGTTTTTATTAATCTTTTAAAAGTTAGAGATTCGAGTTTTGTTGAATTATTCCTCTGCGTTTTTTTCAATTTCCATTTGTTTCTGCTCTTTTATTGTTTCTTTCTATTTGTCTCTATTTAAAAAAACCTTTTTATTATGAAAAATTCCAAGCATATGTAACAGTAGCAAGAAGAGTAAAATGAACCCTAAGGCCCCCATCATTTACATTCAACAGTTACTGACATATGGTCAATCTGTTTCATTCACATTTCCTCCTACTCTCCCCTGCCTCAGGATTATTTTCAGGGTATAAGGCCAGCCAGCATGCCATTTGCTTCATAAATATTTTAGTATATATCTCTAAATAATTTGGAAAGTTGGTAGTTTTTATTTTTTATACTTTATTTTGGAACTTTATAAATATATATAAAAGTAAAAGAAATAGCATAATGAACCTTCATGTACCATCATCCAGTTTTAGCAACTGTCAATCATAATATCTTATTTCTTCCACATCCCACCCCCTTCTCTCTCCCATAGATTATTTAAAGAAAAAATCTGTACATGTTTTTATTTGCAACCATCTGAGTATCTCTGCAAAAGCGAAGAACTTCTTTTGTTTTGTTGTTTTGTTTTTTGTTTTCGTTTGTTTGTTTTGAGACAGTCTCACTCTGTCGCCCATGCTGGAGTACAGTGGTGTGATCTCAGCTCACTGCAACCTCCGCCTCCTGAGTTCAAGCAGTTCTCCTGTCTTGGCCTCTCCCAGTAGCTGGGATTACAGGCATGCACCACCACGCCCAGCTAATTTTTGTATTTTTAGTAGAGACAGGGTTTCACCATGTTGGCCAGGCTGGTCTTGAACTCCCGACCTCAGGTGATCTCCCCACCTCAGCCTCCTAAAGTGCTGGGATTACAGGCATGAGCCACCATACCTGGCCAAGAACTTCTTTACAAAATATAGCCACACCAACAGTTCATACCTAAAAATTATTAACAATAATTATTTAATATCATCAAATATCCACTAAGTGTTCATTTTCCCAATTGTCTCAATTTTTTTTTTTTACCATTTCCTTGAATCAAGATCCACATCCAT
This sequence comes from Homo sapiens, assembly GCF_000001405.40. Lineage (NCBI taxonomy): Eukaryota > Metazoa > Chordata > Mammalia > Primates > Hominidae > Homo > Homo sapiens. Next base: position 73,591,791 of record NC_000016.10, on the reverse strand, counting down.
TACATTCATTGATAGATCTCCTGAGGCTCTTTTGATCTGTAGATTCCCCATCCCTCCGTTTTCTTTTCTTTTCTTTTTTTTTTTTTTTTTTTTTTTTTTGAGACAGAGTCTCGCTCTGTCGCCCAGGCTGGAGTGCAGTGGCATGATCTCAGCTCACTGCAACCTCTGCCTGCCGGGTTCACACCATTCTCCTGCCTCAGCCTCCCGAGTAACTGGGACTACAGGTGCCCGCCACCATGCCCTGCTAATTTTTTTGTATTTTTAGTAGAGACAAGGTTTCACGAGTTAGCCACGATGATATCGATCTCCTGACTTCGTGATCTACCCGTCTTGGCCTCCCAAAGTGCTGGGATTACAGGCATGAGCCACCGCACCCGGCCCCCTCTGCTTTATTTTCTGGATTTTTGTTTGTTTGTTTGTTTGTTTGTTTTTTGTTTTTGAGGCAGAGTCTTGCTTTGTCACCCAGGCTGGAGTGCGGTGCTGCCATCTTGGCTCACAGCAACCTCTGCCTCCTGGATTCAAGCAATTCTCCTGCCTCAGCCTCCTGAGTAGCTGGGATTACAAGCGCCCACCACCATGCCCGGCAAATTTTTTTGCATTTTTAGTAGAAACAGGGTTTCACCATGTTGGTCAGGCTGATCTCGAACTCCTAACCTCGTGATCTGCCCACCTCAGCCTCCCAAAGTGCTGGGATTACGGGCATGAGGCACACACTTGGCTTATTTTCTAGTTTTTGAGGCATTTGTTCTGTAGATTTCTCCCAAGATTTGGATTTTGCGGTTTGCACCCTCTTGTCATTTAATGTGCTTTGTTCCTGTATTTTGTGTAAATTCATAGTTAGATCTACAGGCTTAGCTGGATACTGGTTTGATTTTTTTTTCCCAAAAATTACTTTATAGGGGATGAGATATCGTCCCCCATCAGGAGATGACACATGATTCTCATTTTCCTTGTTGTGACATTATAGCCATTGGTGATCATGACCTTGATCCATTAGCTCACTAGTGATTGTGAAATGGCAATATCCTATGATGTGCCTTCTATATGTTAATTGGAAAACTTCTCAAAACAAAACTAAACAAAATAATTTCTCCCCAGCAAATATCTCGTTACAGGTAAAATTTGTATGCTGACAAATACTTGATTATTTTCCTTCATTTACCAATTTTCAAAATAATGAGTTGGTTCTCTAGAATATTCTAATGATGGCTAGTGTCATCAGAAATGTTACTGTGAACTCTTGGATTTAAATATATTGATGTGTTTCAGTGTGCTCAAGTTATTGTTACTGTTGCTGCTCTTGACCCACTTGTAGCCAGTGGGAATCCCTTTAAATTGGTTCCTGTGTGCTTTTGATGTAGCCTTTGTCATCAATGGCACCATCCTTGTTTTCCAACATGTCCCATGCTCATCTTGTACAATTCCTGTCCCAGATGGGGAATCAATTATTTTTCCAATGAGCCCTGGTTCCTGTTGGTTGGAAAGAATAATTAGAGACACAATCTGGATGTTAGACTTGCTCATTGGTAGCAGGCCAGTTATGGTTTTTAGGAGTCTTTAACAGACAATGTTGGAAAATGTTTTCTTTATATCATGAGTTCACACAGATACTCCCAATTCAGACTCAGGGCTGCAGGTTTTTACTCACCTACGTCACCTCTACGTCTGCTGGTCCTTTTCCCATGCCCAAAATTCCCATGCCAATAGGATTGCTTCTTTTCTTTATCCTACAATATGTGTACAAAAGTCTCAGCATAACAACACTAACACTACCACCACCAATACAATTACTGAAAACAGTGAATTTTTTAGAGTACATTCCATTTAGATGTACTGTCAACTTGTTTTTTAAAAACACTTTGAATAGTTCTTCTCTGAGAGATAATGTTTCCAACTAGTTACACAGTTAGCGTCCCTTGTTTCATTTTACTTTCAGTGTTCAGGCATTGCATTTCTAGTTTATTGCTGTTTTATACTTTTACCAGGTTCCAAAGTCAAATGCACAAGACAGGGTATATTCTTTTTTTTTTTTTTTTTTTTTTTTTTTTTTTTTTTTTTGAGACGGAGTCTCGCTCTGTCACCCAGGCTGGATGGAGTGCAGTGGTGCGATCTTGGCTCACTGCAAGCTCCATGTCCCGGATTCATGCCATTCTCCTGCCTCAGCCTCCTGAGTAGCTGGGACTACAGGCACCCACCACCATGCCCAGCTAATTTTTGTGTTTTTAGTAGAGACGGGGTTTCACTGTGTTAGCCAGGATGGTCTCGATCTCCTGACCTTGTGATCCACCCACCACAGCCTCCCAAAGTGCTGGGATTACAGGCGTGAGCCACCGTGCCCAGCCTTTTTTTTTTTTTTGAAAGAGCGTCTTGCTCTGCTGCCCAGTTTAGAGTATAGTAGTGTGATCATAGCACACTGCAATCTTAACCTCTCGGGCTCAAGTGATCATCCTACTTCAGCCTCCCAAGCAGCTGGGAATACAGGTGCATGCCACCACACCTGGCTTTTTTTTTTTTTTTTTTTTTTTTTTTTTTGAGACAGAATCTTGCTCTGTCGCCCAGGCTGGAGTGCAGTGGCACAATCTCAGCTCACTGCAACCTTCCCCTCCGAGGGTCAAGCGATTCTCCTGCCTCAGCCTCCTGAGTAGCTGGGATTACAGGCGTGCATCACCACACCCAGGTAATTTTTTGTATTTTTAGTAGAGATGGAGTTTCACCATGTTAGCCAGGATGGTCTCGATTTGCTGACTTCATGATCTGCCAGCCTCAGCCTCCCAAAGTGCTGGGATTACAGGCCTGAGCCACCATGCCTGGCCAAGGTCATTTTTTAAAATCAATTTTATTTGAACCAGACTCTGGGCTCTCTTGTGTTCTATATGTTTCTCCTCTGTCTCTGTCTCTCTGTCTCTGTCTAGACCTCTCCATGTTCTCTCTCAATCTTTCTCTCTCCCCAACCCCAGAAGTTCATTTGTTAAAGAGAAACTATTTGTTATAGAGAATTTTCTACAGTCTGAATTTTGATGATTGCATGTCCTTGGGGGTGTTGACTATATTCCTCTCTCTTGTTTTCTTGTTTTTTTTTTTTTTGTTTTGTTTTTTGTTTTTGAGACCGAGTCTCACTCTGCTGCCCAGGCTAGAGTGCAGTGGCTCAATCTCAGCTCACTGCAAGCTCGGCCTCCCAGGTTCACACTATTCTCCTGCCTCAGCCTCCAGAGTAGCTGGGACTACAGGCGCCCACCACCACACCCGGCTAATATTTTTTTTATATTTTTAGTGGAGATGGGGTTTCACCGTGTTAGCCAGGATGGTCTCGATCTCCTGGCCTTGTGATCCACCTGTCTCGGCCTCCCAAAGTGCTGGGACTACAGGCGTGAGCCACCGCGACCGGCCTCCTCTCTCTTGTTTTCTTATACAGTCATAGTTAGATCTAAAACTCCAAGCTTTTTGGACATACTATATTCTTTTTTTCTGTTTTCCTCAGATAGATGTGTATTCCTTTGTAAACATTTAAAGTGGTATCATTTCTTCTACGTACATTCTTTATCTGCATTCTTTAACTTTTAAAATATAGTTCAGCATTTTCATTGTCAGTTTTAATATAGTTGCTAATTTGTTGTGATTCTTTTCTTTGATCTATGGATTTTCTTCTTTAGGAATGTTTCCTAAAGTCCTAATTCATAGCGGTTTCCCTAGTTACCTTACGTTGTTGATTTTTAGTTTAACTGCATGTATTCAGAGAACATTGTCATTGCAGTCCTTTGAAATTTGCTGATATTTGCTTTACCGTTTGTGGCCCACTGTGTGCCCCATTTTTGTAAATGTTCCATAAGTACTTGAAAATAATATATATTCTGTTCTGTGGTTGGTATGCTGTACTATGTTTATTTAAGTTGTATTATATGAAATTGCTGTTTGTACAGGTCAAAATGAAAATTCTGCATTTTTTTGAAAAGGATGTTTTGTTTATTTAAAATGTATGCAATTAGCATTGATAGTTTTTCTTGGAATGGACTATTACATGATATATTTCATTTTAATAAAATTTGACATTTTTAAACTATAAATTACTCAAACTCTCCAATTACTATTTCTCTATTGGGTATGTTTTCTTTATTGGAAAGTGCTCCAAATCCTGAGAAAAGTGGCAACACATTGGATACAAGTCTGGTGAGAATGTTAGACACATGTCGTAGCCCAATTCTGCTGCTTTTGCTATGGGAATTTATGATGAGTGTGGTGGAGTGTTGGCATGCAAACATTTGGGAATGTGTCTGGTAACAGCCAACGCGGGTTGCTTTTAGTTCAATTTCTGTTGCTTAAATGCAGTCAACTAAAAGCATTTTGGCAAAAGTTATGGTTTTGGTCATGTTTGGTGCAGCTTCATCAACATCTAACCATTGTCCAGGTCATTTGCAATTGTTGTACAGCCAATTTTTGTCACTAGTTATGGTTCCCTCTGAAAAGTAATATGTATACCTCTAAACATCTCAGTTTTTTAAAAAGTCTCTTATCTGCTGGTATATTTACTTGCCTAAATTTTTCACCTTCCCTATTGCCGATGTTAAGGCATTGTCATAAATCTCAAATTGTAATTTGTGAAATAGCTTCTATCATGGTTCTGAACTGATGTTTCGAAACAGAGTTGGGCCTCTCCCAGGCCTTTGAGAGCCAGTTCTTCGAATATAATTTTTGAAGAACCAGGCAAAAATTTCACTCTTTCTTTCACAGAGCCGTCTCCAAAATTGATGCTCCAGCCTGTTTCAGTGGTCTTGTGTGTGTTTACATTCATATTTTTTAAAAGTATTCAGCATTCTTTGGAAGACATCAGTATTTACATAGTGGAAAAAATAATAGCAAAAACAGCCCAATTAACAAAGAAAATTAAGGAATAGAATTCTATTAAAAATGCTAAACAGACTATAATAGAATATATATTAGATATGAATTTCACTAACCTCAGACAATTTTTAAGTCATCTAATACTAACTATTTCATGTGGTAAAACAATATGTCCATTAGGTCAATTTTAGTTTTGTGTTTTTCAGATCCTCCATATATTTGTTGATCTTCTGTCTGCCTCATCTGCCAATAACATAAATGAGTTAAAACCTTCATCAAAGACAGTTGATTTGCTTGTTTCTCCTGGTAATCCTATCAATTTTTATTTTATATATATGAGGCTGTGTCATGAAGTACATTTTATTTTTTTCAAAAATCTTTCTGAGGAACTGATACTTATAGTACATTTTTAAATTAAAGTCTATTTTATCCAATAATAATAGTATAGCTGTAGTAGGTTGTTTTTTCCTCCCAGAGTGTTTCATTTATGGTTTTTTTTTTTTACCTCCAACTTTTCTGTATGTTTTTTTGTTTGTTTGTTTGTTTGTTTGTTTGTTTGTTTGTTTTGAGATAGAGTCTTGCTGTGTCACCCAGGCTGGAGTGCAGTGGTGCGATCTCAGCTTTCTGTAACCTCTGCCTCCTGGTTTCAAGTGATTTTCATGCCTGAGCCTCCTGAGTAGCTGGGATTACAGGCATGTGCCACCACACCCAGCTGATTTTTTTATTTTTAACAGAGACGGGGTTTCACCATGTTGGCCAGGCTCATCTTGAACTCCTGACCTCAGGTGATCCTCCTGTCTTAGCCTCCCAAAGTGCTGGGATTATAGGTTTGAGCCACCATGCCTGGCTTTTGTGTATGTTTTAATATGTCTATTAAAAACAATATATAGTTGTAGTCCCTGTCTATTTTCTTAGTTTAGAATTTTCTTATTTTGTGTTATTATCTTATTTTGTATTTTATATTTGTGTTTCCATATACATTTTATTTCCTCCTTACCTTCTTTTGGATTAGTTGGTTATCCCACGTTTATTTTTTTCTACTACTACTTTGGAAGTTAAATGCCTTTTTTTCTTTCTTTTTGTTAATTACGTATAAGTTAATCAAATTCCAAAATTAATCAGTACATTTTCCTACTCCTGAAACATCCAAGACCTTGAAACATTTTAACTGCACTTACTACCTACCAACTGCTCCTGCCATGATTTGTTTCTACTCATTTAATCCCACAAGTCATTACATATCAAGTCAATGTTTCTTTAGTTTCACACACATAGTTTTCACTCCCTGTGCCTTTCCTTCCTTATCACATCTTTTTGTTGTTTGTTTTTGCTGTTTTTTGTTTTGTTTTTGTTTTAAGTTCTGGGATACATGTGCTGGATGTGCAGGTTTGTTACATAGGTAAACATGTGTCATGGTGGTTTGCTGCACCTATCAACCCATCACCAAGGTATTAAGCCCCACATGCATTAGCTATTTGTCTTTTATGCTCTCCCTGCCCCCACCTCCCGACAAGCCCCAGTGTGTGTTTTGTTTGTTTTTTGAGATGGTGTCTCGCTCTGTTGGCAGGCCAGAGGGCAGTGGCACCATCTCAGCTCACTGCAACCTCCGCCTCCAGGGTTCAAGTGATTATCCTGCCTCAGCCTCCCCAGTAGCTGGGATTATAGGCACCCGCCACCACACCCAGATAATTTTTGTATTTTTAGTTGAGATGGGGTTTCACCATGTTGGCCAGGATAGTCTCGATCTCTTGACCTCGTGATCCGCCCACCTCGGCCTCCCAAAGTGCTGTGATTACAAGTGTGAGCCACCGCACCTGACCTGTTTGTTTTACCAAGAGTGTAAAAGTGATCCTGTCTCTCCACAATCTCACCAGCAGCTGTTGTTTCTTGACTTTTTAATAATTGCCATTCTGACTGGTGTGAGAAGGTATTTCATTTTTTGATTTGCATTTCTTTAATGATTAGTGATGTTGAGCTTTTTTCATGTTTGTTGGCCACATGTATGTCGTCTTTTGAGAAGTGTCTATTCATGTCCTTTGCCAACTTTTTAATGGGTTTCTTTTCTAGTAAATTTGCTTAAGTTCATTGTAGATTCTGGATATTAGCCCTTTGTCAGATGGATAGATTGCAAAAATTTTCTCCCATTCTGTAGGTTGTCTGTTCTCTCTCATGGTTGTTTGTTTGCTGTACAGAAGCTCTCTAGTTTAATTAGATCCCATTTGTCAATTTTTGCTTTTGTTGCAATTGCTTTTGGCGATTTCATCATAAAATCTTTGCCCATGCCTATGACCTGACCTTATCCCGTCTTCATCTTTGACTTTACAAAAATTTTCATAATGTCCAAAGTATATCCTTTAGACTTTCCTTTAGTAATGCCCTGATGTTGGCAAGCTGTTTTGGGTTTTCACCTTTGTTCTTAAAATATTTTTTCCCCACTATCTGTTGAAGTGTACACTTCTAGTTACTTTCTCTTAACATATTGCTGATTTTATTCTGTGGGCTTCTCACTTCCATTGTTGATGATCAGCAGTCAGCTGTCTATCTGTTTCTCCTCTAAAGATACATTATATACTTTTAAGGTCTTTTCTTTGTCTTTGCTGTTCTGAAATTTCATTATGAGAGGTTTAGATATGGATTTACTGTTATTTGTTCTACTTAGGATTTACTAGGCTCTATTAATCTGACTTCCATTACTTGTCTATTATTTTAAACATATCCTCTGCCTCATTCTCTTTCTTTCTCATCGTTTGGGACTCCAATTAGATGTATGTTAGAACTTCTTCCTCTAAATCTTACTTAACCACTTTTTCACATTTTCTGTATTTTTGTCTTTCTGTACTATGCTCTGCATGAGTTATTCAGATAGATCTTCCAATTCACTAATTCTGTCTTCACCTATTTCCAATCTGCTCTTTAGCCTGTTTTTTGAGATTTTAGAATTCAATGTCTAAGCATATTTTTAAAAATTTGTAAATGTACTATTTATTTTTTATTTGCCCTTTCATGTTTCATAGTGAGTAATTTTTTCCTATTCTTTTTATTATTTCTTATATAGTGTTAATCATTTTGTATACGTTCATATTACAGTCTCTATCAGAATCTGATCAGAATCTGTCCAATTTTACTAGAAGTTCTAGAGGGTCTTAATACTCTGTTTATTGGGTTTTGCCGATTCTCTTTCAAGATAGTTTTTTATGTTATATTTTGTCAATTGTGAGTTTATTTACAGTGGGACATTTGTTACATGAATTGAATTAAGCATGATAGAATTGAACATGTCTATCCAGAAAGATTTTGTGGTGCATTAATTTCTGGGATTTGCCTTGCCTATACAAGTAGAACTTATTTTCTACCCAAATCCCAGGTAGTGATAAATTTCATTGTTATCTCCCTGAGGAGAATGGCAAAATTTCTTTGATGATCCCAAATTATGTGGGCGTTATTTTAACTCCACAGCACACAGGACACACAATCTTATTTTCTATCTCTACCTAGTCATTAAAACTGGTATCTCTGGGGTCCTAAATTTGAAATGCATGCCCTATTCTTACTACACTATCCACAGTGTCAGCTCATGCAGTTAACTCTCTGGTTTTCAACCTGTTTTTTCCTTCTTAGTACCACAGGTTTCTTCTTTTTTAAGATTAGTTGTGGATTTTAAAAACTTTTATTTAGATTTTCTAGGTTTGTTTCAAATGGGAGCATATTCATCTGGAATAGATATTATAGGCTCATTTCTTGGGGAAGAGGGATGTACAGGAATGGGAGCAGATGAGAAGGAAAGGAACCTGATTGGCCCAGATATTGTCAGTGCAGGTTGAGTTTTCTGCAAGTATTTTCCAAGGCCATGTCAGCGTCTCCATAGCTGGGAAAGCTGTGGTTTGTAGACACTTCCCACAACCCTGCAGTTTTAATTTTCTTACATCCTAAGACTAGTGCAAAGAAAATGAATCTTATAGCCTTTTATGTTTAGATTAGTCAAATGCTACAGTTTACTTAAAACAAGGCAGTACAACAATGACCAGAGCTTCACAAGGTTGTTACTACTTGGAACAGACTCCCAAATCTGAGCATGTAGATTTTATATGGCTTCTTAAGCACTCTTGCTGAGTATCATCTTATATAACTCCAATGCAAGAGTTGGGTTCAGATGGGAAGTCTAGATAAAAAATAGTTAATGGCCAGGCATGGTGGCTCATGCCTGTAATCCCAGCACTTTGAGAGGCCAAGGTGAGTGGATCACCTGAGGTCAGGAGTTGGAGACTAGCCTGGCCAACATGTGAAACCCTGTCTCTTCTGAAAAAATACAAAAAATTTGCTGGGTGTGGTGCTGGGCACCTGTAATCCCAGCTACTCAGGAGGCTGAGGCAGAAGAATCGCTTGAACCCAGGAGGTGGAGCTTGTGGTGAGCCAAGATCATGCCATTGCACTCCAGCCTGGGTGACAAGAGTGAAACTCCATCTCAAAAATAAAAATAAATAGTTATCATTAGATTTAGGCTTAATTTTTTTTTTCTGTCTTCCTATATCCTAACTGTGAAGAACGTTAGAAGTATGTAGCAATGAGATGTTATTTGTCCATTTGGGGTTTTATGGAAGTGAATACATCACAACTTTAGGTTTATAAAGTTTAGACAACCCCATGGAAGACAAATGAAAGCTAGTGTGAAGAACATATTCATAAGGGTTCCCACTTCGCCATGGTAGACTTCTCCAGAACTCCTTTAGGGAAAATACTCTTGCCTGTCGTGTTTTGTGCCACAATTTTTCTCACTCTGACTTCTCCAGTAAGCTGAGACTCCATTTACTTTTTGTATTCCAGAGTTTCTAGCCATTGTTTAGGTCTGTATCATCTCTTATAGTATAATTATGCTACCATGCTTTTGAAAAACAGTAATGTAGTTATTTCAATGGAAACTTGAAAGGAAGGGGAAGCATGTATACCTACCCAGTTCACGATTTTGAATAGAAAATATGTTCTAAGGCTGGGTGCGGTGGCTCATGCCTGTAATCCCAGCACTTTGGGAGGCCAAGGCAGGTGGATCATGAGGTCAGGAGATCGAGACCATCCTGGCTAACACAGTGAAACCCTGTCTCTACTAAAAATACAAAAAAATTAGCCAGGTGTGTGTGGTGGCACATGCCTATAGTCCAGCTACTTGGGAGGCTGAGACAGGAAAATCGGTTGAACCCGGGAGGTGGAGGTTGCAGTGAACTGAGATCGTGCCACTGCACTCCAGCCTGGGCAACAGAGTGAGATTCCATCTCAAAAAAAAAAAAAAAAAAAAAAAAAAAAAGAGACATTCGAAGTTTTATGCTTGACCAGTGATATGGATGTTAATGCAAATGTTAGCCATTTACAATTCTTGTAATAGAATTAATAACTATTTAAATATAACACTTCAAAAAATCACTGCGGTACTTAAACCCTTCAGCTTGATTCTTAGGACCTATCTGAAAGTAACAAGCATCCATTTGTGTAAAACAATTTTTATTCCTGCAAATGACAAATCTGGTTTCAAATGTGAATAAAGGAGTCAGAAGAAAACCACTTATACAAACAGTATATGAAAGTAGAAACAAGTAAGTTTTGTTTACAACTGCTATAGTTGAAATTTTAATGTAGATAGGACTTTGGAAGGAATTAATATATTTCATATGAAATCATATATATAAACAAAGGTGAACCATTCTTTCATTAATGCCACTAGTTTATTGTCTATGTTGGTGGGTTTCTGCCTATATTATAATACAAAATTTTCCTCTCTTGAAAATACTGGGAGAAGGCCAGTAGTTTGACCGTTGCTTAATTGGGAAAGTTAAAAAAAATTGAGAAAATAAAGAACATTTTTCTAGAAAAGGCAAGACGAGCATTTCCTAGATCTGTCCACTGAACAGGCCTAAAATAATGGCAACCCCAAAGTAATGAACACACCTTGTGTCCAGACTGTGATCTCTAAATACCATTCCCCACTGAAAGGAACTAAGGCTTCTGAAAAGGCTGACTGGGTTCAGCCTGTGGCAAGAAATATATAAGGTCACAGCAAGATATCTTGTTGTGCCAGGAAACAAAGAAACTATAAAGTCTAATGGGTCATGTCAAAAGAACACAAAAACACATGAATGGGTTCCTATAGGCAATAAATGGGACACTGTGAGCATCAGAAAGAATAAGGAGTGGAAATACATTAAGCCCAGTGACCTTCAAATAAAAGATGGCAGGGGAGTGCTTGACAGAGAGAGACAGAGAGAGAAAGCAAACCCAAAGCAACCACCACCAATGCATCACTAATTGAATACCATTAGAATTAACTCCTTACCCTGAAAGATAGGCAACTAAAAGAAACCAAAAAAAAAGCGTTTATCCTGTCTTTCTTATATGAGTGGTATTTCTAAGTAACTAGATAGTCCCAGTTAGCAAAGGAAATTTCTCTGTTTTTTTTTTTTTGTTTGTTTGTTTGTTTTTGTTTTTGTTTTTTTGAGACGGAGTCTCGCTCTGTTGCCAGGCTGGAGTGCAGTGGCACGATCTTGGCTCACTGCAACCTCTGCCTTCTGGGTACAAGAGATTCTCCTGCCTCAGCCTCCCGAGCAGTTGGGACTACAGGCGTGCGCCGCCGCACCCAGCTAATTTTTGTATTTTTAGTAGAGATGGGGTTTCACCATGTTGGCCAGGATGGTCTCAACCTCTTGACCTTGTGATCTGCCCGCCTTGGCCTCCCAGAGTGCTGGGATTACAGGCATGAGCCACTGCACCTGGCCAGTAAATTTCTCTTACAAAGAAAAATTCCAGCTAACACATAGAGGGGAAATTATAAAATTATATGATCACTATTTTAAGACACCTAATAGAATAATTATTTCTTCATAATACTAAAGACAGGATGCTTTCATTTAATATTTATAACAGGTAAATTTTTTATATACTGTCCAAGGATAATTTTTATACATTTATATATTTAAAATATATATGTGTATTATAATACATTATATATTATAATACATTATATTCTACATTATAATATATCACATTATACATTATACTTTATAATACATTATATTAATACATTATATGTGTGTGTATGTATATATATATATATATATAATCTGTATAATATATATTTGTGAACCCAAAAGTATTTGAGAATTTTTTTACATAAAAAGGAGAATATTTTTATAATTAAAATTTATACACTTTGGGAGGCTGGGGCGGGTGGATCACGAGGTCAGGAGATCGAGACCATCCTGGCTAACGTGGTGAAACCCCGTCTCTACTAAAAATACAAAAAAATTAGCCAGGCATGGTGGCGGGTGCCTGTAGTCCCAGCTACTCGGGAGGCTGAGGCAGGAGAATGGCGTGAACCCGGCAGGCGGAGCTTGCAGTGAGCCAAGATCACGCCACTGCACTCCAGCCTGGGTGACGGAGTGAGACTCTGTCTCAAAAAAAAAAAAAGATTATAATAATTAGTAATTTATATATTATACACATTTTATAATAATGTGTATGATACGTATTTGTGAACCTGAAAGTATTTGAGACAGGTCTCAATCAATTTAGAAAGTTAATTTTGCCAAGGTTAAGGATGCACCCATGACACAGCCTCAGGAGGTCCTGATGACATGTGCCCAGGGTGGTCAGAGTACCGTCTGGGTTTATACATCTTAAAGAGACATAGGCATCAATCAGTACATGTTAAGATGCACATTGGTTAGGTCTGGAAAGGCAGGATAGCTGGAAGTGAGGGCTTCCAAGTCATAGGTGGACTCAGAGATTTTCTGATTGGCAATTGGCTGAAAGAGTTATCAATAGAAAGTGATGTCTGGGTTACGAGAAGAGGTTGTGGAGACTAAGGTTTTATCACGCAGATGAAGCTTCCAGGTGCGGGCTTCAGAGAGAATAGATTGTAAATGTTTCTTATCAGACATAAAGAGTCTGTTCCATCAGTAATTCCAAATGGGAGGAGAGTGTAACGAGGCATGTCCGGCTCTCCCTTCTCATCACAGCCTGAACTCGTTTTCCAGCTTAAATTTGGAATGCCCCTGGCGGAGAGGAGAGGTGCATTCAGATGACTGGGGGCCTTAGAATTTTGTTTTTTGGTTTACATAGACATAAAATATAAAGCAAAGAGTGAAGCAAAATCTAGAGAGTTATTGAATCTGATTGATGGGGTTATAGATGTTGCTGTCTATTTTCACTACTTTTAAATATGTTTGAAAAGTTTCATAAAAAAAATAAAAATAAATGCATTTGCCTCAGTCAAAACGAGTAGAGTGGGAATCTGGAGGCCTGGATTCTAGTTTAACTCCTTATAAGTGGGAGTATTTAAAAAAAAACACATCACTTCCTTGGGTGTCTGTTTCCTTGTCTGTGAAATAGTTTGTATTACATGTTAGTGTTTTTGTTGAATATAAGCTTGGAAGAACCTGCATATTATATTCTCCTCTTTCAGAATCATAAAGCCTCTTAGCATTTTAAAGCCTCTGAGCAAACTAGGAACCAAACAACTGAATTTCTTTGCTCAAAGTTTCCCAAACATATTTAATGAAAATATCCTTCCCTTTGTTTTTTTTTTTTTCATTTAACATCTACGAAACTTGAGCAAAAGCCCTAGACCATATACGATCTCTAAAGACATCTCTAATGCTAAAATTTTATGTATCTATGATTCCATAAGTCTTTTAAATGTGTATAGAAAATCCAAATAACCAGTTAATACAGTGGGAAAAAAATCAATCTAATCAGTTGTCTGACAGAAGTACCTGTTTAACTCAGTCCAAATGTTTCATCAAGTAACCCCAGGTAGACCGGCTTGAGTGTTTAAAAAAATAATCTTGGCAGCATCCTATGAATCTGAGCTGTGTTATATTTGCGAAATGCTGGGTTTGAGCAGAGCCACACATCCATTTGGTTTGTCGTAGTGATCAATGCTGATTGTTCAACAACCAGTTTGGCCGGAGTGATTGACGTCAGTCAGCAAGCTCAACATTAGAAAAGTTTTAGAGTCTGCATGTTGCTGAGAATCAGTGAAATGACCACTGTAGCCTAATTTGGAATGGGTTTGATATTTGACCTGGAACGTGTTTGTAACTATGACGTTTCTTCCATACAAATGATTTTGCTACTCTTCACTCAGTTATTAAATTCGTAGGGTAAAAACTATAAAACTATGGCGGAACATAAGGAGAAAACAAGCTGACTACCATTTAAATCATGAATTTCTTCCAAAAAATTTAGATTTTTCCTTCTTTTATTGAAGATAAGTTCAGAATTTTAAAAACAAAAGTATACCTTCAGTCCCCTGATCTTGAGGAAAGAGAAAGCTGTTGTCCACAGTCTCCTAGTGTTTGCTCTTTTTAGAATTTTTTGGGAGGTTGGGAAGTGGGGTCTGAGGGACAGGCAGGTGAGCGGAAGTGATTAATTAAAACATAAGAAACAGCCTGCTCAGTTCTGTGTCTATTCTATAGCTATACAATTTATGAGCTTTTAAATGTAACTTTATATATTTTGAGATAATTGTAGACTTGTATGCAGTTGTAAGAAATACTACAGAGAGATATGATATACTCTTTAGTCAGTGTATTTTGTAAAACTATGCAGTACAATATTAGAACCAGGACCGTGTGCCATTTTAAAGGGTTTACAGGAGACACCAAAAGTAAAGAAGAAGGAAGTGCCTGAGATACAGTTTCTACCTGAACTTCCTTTCAATTGACTACCTGTCTCCCATATTTTAAGGGAAAAAATATAAAGTATTATTTTTTTATCATTAAGAAGACATCTTGATGCTTTCTCTGTCTGCATTTGTGTAAGTAAATAATACATGTTTTTGCTGGTAGAGACCTGTTCACATACTCAGCAATCACACCTAGAAATAAGCAGAGCCAGTAAAATTTTGTGACTGCTCCTACACCCTCCTCCCCTACAAAATACACTGAGTTCCAAAGTGTCTCAAGGTGCAAACCAAAGCAAATTTATTAGAATCTAGATCTAACTAAAAGATCCCATGGATTGAATCTGCTGTCTTATGAGGTTTTAGACATGTCATTTATTTTGCACTGGGGCCTACTTGAGCGTGGAGGGTGGGAGGAGAGAGAGGAGCAGAGAAAAAACTAACTATTGGATACTAGGCTTAGTACCTGGGTGACGAAATAATCTTTACAACAAACCCTCCTGACATGAGTTTACCTATATAACAAACCTGCACATGTAACCCTAAACCTAAAATAGAAGGTTTTTTGTTTTTGTTTTTGTTTTTGTTTTTTTAATGTTCTTTAGTTTGAATGTTCTAGGGAGGATTACACAGAACAGCTCTCTGCTTTGGGACATACATGTTAAAACAGAACTGTCAGCAGGGTGTTGGCAGGTCCCCATCCGTTTACCTTTAAAAGACTTTTACTTCCGTGCGTGTCTATGATGACGGAAGAATCATTTCTCGTTTTTCCTCCCTTTGTAATAATTATCTGTCCACATACTTGTGCCAGGTGAAACGTGCTGCAGCCATAGGTGCATTATCTATTCTTGACCATCACTCAGATCCTTTGGTGATGCATACGTGTGAGTGTGCCCGGGGTAAATATTTGACCACTGTTCCAGCTACCATTGCACAGCCCTCGAGTGACCTCGCATTAATTAGCTGAGAATTTCAGGGCTTTGAATCTGATTGAATCAAAATATTGTTTTTACAAGTTGATGAAGGCTCTTGATTGATGTGGGCCCTGCTGATTCTTTAAAGGATTAAATCGTATGTACAGATTACGGAGTCCTGGCTGTCACTGCTTAAATGGGGATTGTTTTTTAACAAAGGTTAAAAAAAAATAGTGCCATGAAGTGTTTTCTTCCCAGTGGGTGCCATGCTCATTTTAGTGAGTGTGTATAAGTATTAAAGATAATTAGAAACACTGAGGGAAATGGTCAAGAAAAATATCAAGAGGCAGAAGAGAAAGACAGAAAAATGGATGAAGGAGAAAGACGGGGCTTGGCTTCCATTCATCCTGAAAATCCATTTTGTGTGTACATCTCCCATGGTAAAGCCTGCCATATTTCTCCCTGGGTACAAGAGAGAAACACAATCATCGCGGTGTGAACTGGTCAGGGCTTAGAGGAATTGAATGGCACAAAGCATCTCCAGTGAGATAGACTCACATGGCCCCAGGTCACACAGCTCTCTGCCTGCTGAACCTAACAGCCCCGCGGCATGAGTGAGATGTGACAAGACCCAGAGTCAAGCCCTCGTCCAGAGAAAGGGCAAGACAAGCAAAGCTCAGGAGGGAAACTGACACAAATAGAGATGGAAGAAGAAGGAGCACAGATTTTCTCCCCCTGAAAATCCTTCCGTGTGAATGAGAAATATTCACATGCCCAAATAAGACAAGTCTTAATATGTTGCCCTGGATATTTCTCTCACTCCAGACCCCTTCTATCGGTCCCATGTTGATGTTTTTTCCACCTGCAAATTTACCAAACTTTAATCTAATTTCATCCTGCACCTGTTAACTTGAAAAATGACCTGTTCTCGTGGACCCTGTGTTGTGTAATGAATCAAAACCAATCAACATACAGAGGAAACAAACAAAGGACAAAACATCATGTGCCCGGAACAGGGAGATTGTGAAAGGTCCTAGCCAGCAACTCCTTACACAGCTTCTGAGAATGAACCTTTGGTTTTTAAATACTTTTGGGAACCTGTCGCTTTCCATAGGTGTCTTCTGGGACAAATTAGTTGGAATCCTGGATGACTTTTGAAGTTCTATTCTCACATATTCCAGGAGCAGGATTCTGAAAATTTAATGCATAATATGTTATGGGGTGGGTAGGAGCCCTCAGTAGATAACTGTGATGTAGAACATAGGAAGAAGGCAGCTGTAAGAAGTCAAACTGTGCGCCACTGGCTTAGTTTTTAAAAACTAATCAAACACACAAAACGGCATGAGGACCATTTAAAAGAGCATATGGATAAGTGCAAAGTGGTAGCTTGAAAGTTAAACACTTAAAGATGGAACAAAGGAGAGTGCTGAGTAGAACGTCGTCGGTGGGGAAGACTTCCAGGGGGCTGTGGGTCATTAGAGGTACCTTGAGGTACATGGTGGATGTGAAGGCAGTGAAGCAGAGGGAACTGTCCTGCATGACAAAGAAATCATGGCAGTTGGTGGTGGTTTGATTTAGTTGAAGCAGGAGAATGACGTGGATGAAGGAGCAGAAAGATAGTTCAAGGAGGTGGCTCTTGACCGAGGACCTTGACTCTCAGACTAAGATGCAGAAAACAGAGGTGATGAAGACCTGCCGTAGAAATCCATGCAGAGGGATGACAGGAGGAAAAACCCCTGTGTTAGGAATCCCTTCACCCATTGTCACTGCCGCTGTAGAAACCACACAAGTCAAACCTTCACTGGGCACGTTTTCAATCTGGAGGGTTATCAGGTCATCTGGGGAATTCTTTAAATGTACAAGTACCTGGTCTCTACTCCCAAAGAATTTGATTTAGAAGATCTGAAGTACAATCCAGAGATGGGCAAATAAAAATCCCCTAGGCTAAGGCTTCCAAACTAAGGTATATGAAAATGATCTGAGAATCTTGTTGAAAAGTAGGCTCTGATTCAGTGGATGCTGGGGGGGGCCCAAGAAATGATACAAAATTTCACCCGGGTCCGTTACAATGGAGGCATAGTCACATATCTGGATGAAATTTTGCATCATTTCTTTAAGCAATGAGAAATAAAGAGGTGATTTCTTTAGAGGGCTTCAAGCACATCCACAAAATAATGAGACCATTTCTTTTTTGCATCAACATATGAAATCAGTCTCATTGTACTTTAGCCTCACATTTAGGGGAAAGGGATAAGAAAACAGAAGTCTTAAAGTTTCCCTGGAATTTATGAATAATGGATTACCCTTCTACATTATTCTTCCTGTTTTAAGGACAAAGCTGGCATTATTTCAAAAGAAAGGAAAAAAGGAAGACAGAAAAGAAGGGAGGAGAGGGAAGGGAGGAAGAAAGAGAGGATACAGGTAAGCAGGCTGGAGAGTCACGGTAGGTATGGGTGGACCAGCAAAGAATATAGCTGTGGTGAGAAAATGGAGATATAAAGCTATACGTAAATTTTATGTAAATATGCACACACACATATACGCATTTATACTGTGTAATAGGTCATTACATTGTGTACGGTTTTCTATTCATATACACAGGCATAACAGAAACAGAAACAACCACACTGGTGGAAAATAAACCGTTTGATTCTAACACAGTTGTTAAAAATATCATAGTTATATACAGCATCTGTATTAACATAGGTTAATATAATTTAATAAATTAAATCATCATCATAAAGTTAACCTTACTTGATACCTGCCAGTGGCAGCAGCACTGTATGAACCACGACTGTAACGCACTTGACCAAAACATTTTGAGTCCAATGCAACTACAGCTAAGATCACTGATCACTTTCATTCCCATCTTCTATTCTAAGCATATGCTAGTTCCGTCCTCTTTTTTTTTGCAGGCAAAACTCCTGCTCTTTTCCTGTGAAGGGCTGGGGGTTTTCTGTGCTGTGGTTTCTGTTGGTGCAGAACCTGCATACTCTAACCCAGAACAGCGCAGGAGAAATGACATTTGACCATCACCAAGAAGTTCAGGTCCTCCTCAGGTTAACTTGCCATCCCTTCACATTGGGGAGGGTGGTGAGGTTCACACTGGGGAGGGTGGTGAGGGTCTTCTGTGTCAGAGCACGAGTGAAAGCATGGGAGTGAGGCATGGACTTCTGGGGGCGCCTGCGGCAGGTTAAATATCATTGCAGAATAGCAGTGCATAAAATGCAATAAAACGCACCCTGTCCCCTCATTCACTATAACTCTCTTATTATCTTGGGCTCAGGTGTGTTGTATGAATATACAATAATGGAGCTAACAAGATGGTTTGGGGTCACGGAGGGATAAACCATGGCATAATCCAGCTTCGAAAGCTGTTCCGATAATGAAAATTGTAGAGCGGTCTTGTGGCTAGTTTTGTAATAAAGATATACAAAGATGAATATAGGTTTCCAGGAATTAATCTGAGAGCATTTGATCCAATTTATACTGGAGTGGCCGCATTGAAGGCAGCTCAGTAGACAGGATTCCAATTTAGGTTGATAGAGTGCTTTGGGATCCCAGGGAGGAAGGGTTCCCTGTAATTGGGAGATGATTTTATTTTTGAAATGCCCATCTCTTGGCTTTGTCAAAGGCCACACATCTGTCTGCCTTGCCTGTGAATACAAGCCAGGCACAAGGCATCGAATCCCGTGGTGCGAGCTTCTGGTTTGGTATTCACCATGACAGACAGGCTTCCAGTTTTATTCTTTCAGAGGGGACCCCAGGACACACTGCATTTTATTGTTGTGATTGTTCTGTGGACCAAGCAACATTAGACCTACGGAGAGGGGAGGCTCAAGACAGCTTTATGTTGCCTTCTCCTTCCTGCCTTTCTGTTTCTGACCTGCTAAAAAGTGCTCAGGTTGAAGGCTCCTAAGAGTTTTCGCTCTGAAGCCAGGAGCTTGGGTCTGAGAAGTGTGTGGAAAGCTGTTCTTACTTTGTCCTTCAAGGTGTGTCATTCTTTGGCAGATGGCCAGGCCGGGGACAGAACTGAAGACAGCTGAATGCAGGCCGTGACTCTTCAAGAACTGGAATTCCTAGCACACTCTTAAAAAAACAGCCCCAAACCACCCGAAGAATGTTGACTATGCCTACCTTATTGTAATGTTATCAGTTTGATTCTCTGAGCTGCCAATTCAGAAAAAGTTTTTTTTTTTTTTTTTTAAGAATATTTAGATTCAAAATCCATTTGATGCTTTCGGTTGACTTTTCTTTTTTAAGTGGCATTAGGGAATTATTCTCCTCAAATCCTGCCTGGGTAGCTGTTAAGAGAGGCTTGTGTTAAAACTCCTGTTCTGCTTAAGATGAATCAGAAAGCATTTTGACTTCTGGCATTTTCCCTTAGAACTTCTGGGCTGCTTATTTGTAACTGTATTTAGTCCTTTTCACTGATTTAATTTTTACTATATGGGTGATCTTATATATTTTATCATATTAATATATGAATTATGTATTTACAGTTCAGCCAAAAAAAGTACTATGGTTATTGGAATGCCCTTCTACACTCAATTTGAGACACCCCTTTCACGACAACCAAAAAGAAGTTTGTGCAACACATTTTGATTTGTGTCATGAATTTCGACTTAGTGTTTTCACACCAGTATTTAAGAAGTAGGCTATGTAACTATTTGTTGCAATGTGTGGGAAGGAAATGTAATTATTGTAATTATTATTGAAGGTTTTTTAAAAAAAATTAATTCTATTTTAATACTGACCTAAATTATGTGTGTTGGTCTGTATACCATACACCAAAGGTGGTGTAAAACATGAACTGTCTTTAATAACAAAAAAGCAGTTTGCATTCAGCCGAAAATAGCCCACAGCTAACATGAAGGATATAGTTCTACAGCCAAAGGACCCAGAGAGAGTTTAATCATTTAGCCTGAAGATTACAACTTAAGGCATTTTTAGAGGATTTAAAAATACACATATATCTCCATACTCTGGAATTTGCTTATTACTTATATAAATCACCTTTTTGTTTAGCACAAAAGAACTAAGCTTTTTCGTTCATTTTTACTTTAATACTATCTGAGCTTAGATTATCTTTGATGGGAGGTAGGAGCGGTATATCTAGATGCTGCGAATGAGGAAAAAAATGCATTTTCAATTGTCAGTAATGTTTAATTTCTATCAACAATTTCTTAATTGTTCCCCTGAAAAGCAAAGCTTTAATGTGTCAGCCTAAATTATAATACAAAAGAAATAAAAAATTATGCTGTTACCATTTCCCATTTTTAGAAATTACTGATTAGATTAGAGAAAATTATTCTTTATAATTTAACTATAGAAAAGCTATATGTCTAGTCATATCACTCCATCGAAACAAAATTAAGGAGGAATGATGTCTTAACACAGTGTTTGCAGATTTTTTTTTTTTTTTGAGAAGAAAAGGTTGCAGCATCTAATTTTAGTTATGATTTGTCTTTATTAAAAGCTCTTGTCAGGGAATTAAACTTTTTAGTTCTGGGCATTGCCTTAAAAATACTAAGCCTATCATGATGTTAGTCTTATAATAAAAATTAGACTGATTTTAATTTAAAGAGATTTATAAGTGACTCTCTCAAGAATTTGTTGTTTTATTCACCAAGTCAGTACACCAATAGAAACATACCAATGATGTTTAGCTTGCAAGTTAATGAAAACCAATCCCCTATTGAAATAAACTAGATTTTTTTCTTTTAATATAGAAAGATCAAGCTCATGCCCAAGAAACTTTTCAAAGAGAAAACTCAACTAAATTTCTTTCTCATGTTTTTAAGATCAAATGCCTTCCATATCATGAAAGTCGCCATTTTGGAAAACCTGCCTGCTTAGGATTTATTAATGCCATTCATTTGATGAGATGGAATTTTTACAAGTGTGATATAAAGGTCTAAACTAGAAAAAACTAGGAAGGAATCAGAAAAGCATTTTAGTCTTAATTATTCACAAATAGACATCTTAAGAAACATGTTTATTGTGCCATGAGAAAACCATCCCCATGTTGTAAAAGAATGCTAAATCAATGTGTATTTAACTTCAGATGAAAGTTGCAAAGCAGAAACAAGCACCCATTAGGGACACATTATATGGGGTTGCATTTGTGTCGGGAATCCTAAGGATTTTTCTGAATATGTTAACTTTTTTTGGGTAACTCAGTGATGAAAGCTTACGGCAGAGCAAGTGTATTTCTTAACACAAATTTGTAAGGATGGCTTTGATATCTTTATCTTTAATGTTTCAAAGAAGCTTTGTTAAAGTCCAGTTCCTGTAAAATGTATACCCGGGAAGTGTCAGATCACAGGAAAAGAAGACTTTTAATATTCAAGGAATAACTGTTTTTTAAGGAAAGCTTGGGAAACTGCCTCGGCAGCCTATTTTTAGGACTTCACGCCCTCTGCCTTCTCATGGAGGGGGTGATTAAGGGAAACGGGTGGTTGCCCTTTACAGTAAATGATCAGTTTGTTCTTTTACTTTCCAAATATGCAGATTAAGATAATAAAGAAGCGACAGTGGGTTCCTTGTGGGATTAACTGTTCTTGAGCTCCATCCTGGCATCTGTGTGCTCTTCCGGCCCTGCCCAGGAGTACGCATGTTTGTGCATCCAGGTTTCACTGGCAGACCTAATTTCAGAATACATAATGCATGATTTTGAAACCAATTTGTTATTGTAATAAAATATTTTTTAGGAATGCATGGAAGTACTCAAGAGGAGACTGTTAAATTATACATGCATTGTGGCCGAGTGGATTCATTTAGCTCAGTCTGCAGGTGAATCTCCCTGTGACCTTGGCACTTGCTGGCTAGTATAGAATAACAATCAAAGCTTGGATTGGAAATCTGACCATTTCCAAATATTAACAACTTCTTTCAAAGGAAATGCTGATTTCAGCATTTATGTTAATGGGAACATCGGTATCTCTTTCGGAGTTTTTAGGGCAGGGGAGAGAAATTAAAAAAAAAAAAAAGCAGCCATGATCTTAATAGGATTAAAAGCCAGGCTTTTTATTTTCAAAATGCTCATTTGTTTTCTGCATTCTGTTTTCGTATCAGGGCTGTTATTCACTACTCTAGGATCCACAGCCCACGGAAGACTCACAGAATTGCATTGGTAACGACAGGAAGGTGACATAAAAGGTTTCTGTCTGAAAGGAATTCTATATTCCTTCCCATCCCATTTTCTCCTTTCTTATAAGTCAGCTTGGGAAAGAGCATTCTGAGATAGAGGGTGGAGAGGACAGACATGCTAAGGTCCCTGGCTTGACTTCTCTCTATTCCCCTTCCACATTAGGGCACACACTTGAATCATTAGAGAGGCATTAATTGAAACAGCCTGTGACCCATGCGAATCAGATGAACTGCCTGGGCTGGAGAAGTTTAGCTGTGAAGTTGAGTCGCCGGAGGCACATGACATTCTGTAATCTTCTTATCTCGGAGGCTTTCCACCGGCAGCTCACCCACGGCTGTCTGTCGGAGCCGGACAGCGGGGCATGGAGAGTGGCCCAGAATGGAGACGATAATTTACCATGTAATCTGTTTTGAGATTCCTTTGATAGATTTCACCACCAAAGAAATTTGCAAGAGGATGAGACCCCGGAAGCTCTGAAGCCAGCTCGATCCTGTGGCTAGAGGGGGGCCAGCTCCATGCTGCAGCCTCGCACAATGGCAATGACGGTGGTGAATGGGACTCACCTGGACTTACCCGGTGGGAAGAGGGCTTTTCTCCCTTTTCTCTTTCCTTCCCCTTTCTTGTCCAACTGTGGGAGGAAGAGAGGACGTCGAAAATCAAGTTCCACACGGGTTGATTTCATCAGTCAACGGGTTGATTTTTGGGTGTAGCACTGCAAAAAGGCAGGTAATTTGGGAGCTCTGGTCTGTTTGGCAAATCACCCATCCCATTGTGGGGGAATGCATGTTCCTGTTTTGGCATAGCAGGTGTGCTAAGACAAGGCAGGTTTCCCCTAGCTGCCTTATTTAGGGGCTGTTACAAATGGAAAGATGACGGAAATGCCCACAAAGACATTAACAAAAATATTCCAACTCTTAAAACTGTTTTCTGAAAACCAGGGAAAAGAATATCAGAGGAAAAAGACCCACGCTTTGGGTTTTCTCACTTGTGTTTTTAATAGTTGCTTAATGACCTATAATGTCACTTTCCTAAGAAAACAAACGTAAAGGAATTTAGTAACTTAAAAACAAAGGGAGACGGGGGAGAAGGACGTTTTCTTCCAGCCTCTGAAAGAAACCAAACTGACTACTTTCTGCGGTGCTTTGAATGGTGTTTGTGACATTCACTTTTCCTTCCTGACCCTTTGTTGAAGAACGTAATTTGAGGACTCTTTCTTTTTCCTGCCAGAAGAGTTGGTTGGTTGGGGTGGTACTTTGTTTTCTGTTTGAAGGAACAGCAGATAAAAGGAGAGGCATCATCTACATTTTGCTTAGTACATTGGTTTACGTTCAATGTCCTTTTGAGAAAAAAAAATCTTTCAATTAGCATTTTTCACTGAAACAAAGAGTTTGTTCTGTTCAAGGCTCGTTATTGAAAAATTCGAAGGTATACAATATTGTTGCCTGTTGACATGAAGATGATCTGTGAGTCATGTCTTAATTAAAAGGGCTCTTAAGCTACAAGGGACGCAGGCAAATCCAGACTCGGAATGAGAACAAAATAAATGGATGAAGTCAGTCAACATCCCTTCCAACTCAAAAGGATATTCTCTGTCTTCACATGGAGGTTGAGTATGGACTGTGGGATCTAAGGAAAGAGAAGACGCTGGACATTGGTTCCATGGAATGACCTTGGCAAACGAGAATGTTGTGTGTAGAGAAAAATGCAGTTGAAGAGGGCTGGTGTTATCCTGGTAGAGAAAGCACTGGCAGGATGTCCCAACTAAGGGAGATGAGGAGCTCTTCTGGGGATGACAGTGACCATTGTTCTCCATCTTCTATAAGTTCAGAGGAAGAGAACTTGGAGGATTAGTTCAAAGGAAGAAAAGTTGTGAATGCTTGAAATTGAACAGTGTTTCCCCAGAATTCATGTCTACCTAGAATCTTAGCATGTGATCTTATTTGGATATACGGCCTTTGCAGATGTAATCAGTAAGGAGCTGCAGATGTAATCAGTAAGGAGCTCCAGATGAAATCATCCTGGATTTAGGAGATTAGTGTCCAATGACTAGTGTTCTTATTAAAAAACAAACAAACAAAAAACAAGAGGGACCCATCGGTAATCCCAGCACTTTGGGAGGCTGAGGTGGGAGGATCGTCTGAGCCCAGAAGTTTGACAACAGCCTGAACAACAAAGGGATACCCCCCTATCTCTACAAAAAATTTTCAAAGTTAGCTCAGTGTTGGCTGGGTGCAGTGGCTCGTGCCTGTAATCCCAACACTTTGGGAGGCCAAGGCAGGCGGATCACCTGAGGTTGGGAGTTCGAGAACAGCCTGACCAACATGGAGAAACCCCGTGTCTACTAAAAATACAAAAATTAGCTGGGTGTGGTGGCATGTGCCTGTAATCCCAGCTACTCTGGAGGCTGAGGCAGGAGAACTGCTTGAACCTGGGAGGCAGAGGTTGCAGTGAGCCGAGATCGCGCCACCCATTGCGCTCCAGCCTGGACAACAAGAGTGAAACTCTGTCTCCAAAAAAAAAAAAAAAAAAAAAAGTTAGCTTGGTGTGATGGTCTGCACCTATAGTCCCAGCTACTCAGGAAGCTGAGGTGGGAGGATTGCTTGAGCCCAGGAGTTTGAGGCCACAGGAATATGTGTGACACACAGAGACACTGGGGAAAACCACATAAAAGCAGAAAGATTGGGATGATGAGTCTACAAAGCCAAGGAGTGCAAAGGACACCGGAGCCACCAGAAGCTAGGAGTGTGGCATGGAATGAATTCTCCCTCGGAGCCTCCAGAAGGAATCAGCCCGGTTGATACCTTGATTTCAGACTTCTGCCTTCCAGAACTATCAGACAATACACTCAGTAAGCCACTGAGTTTGTGGGAATTTGGTATGGCAGCTCTGGGAAACTCATACAGCCAGAAATGTACCACCCATTGTGGGTATTTTAGGTCTATGAGGAGATCATCTCAACAGGAGAAGCCATCTGATTTTCCCTTGCCATCTGCAGAGGCCTCTCAGTCTGGCTTATATGACACATGGCTATGAAGGCACTGGTGGGACCAGGGCCTTCCTGCCCGCATGTGGAGACAGACCTTCAGCCCTATCAGGAGAGAGATGAGGCTGCACCAGGAGAGGGTGCTCTGGGAGCCTCAGGCTAGTGTTTCTACAGCATTGCCACAGCTCTGCATGAGCAGGAAGCTTAGACCAGGGGTCTTCTACCCAGGTGGATCTAAATCCAAGTATCGTCAGAACTCATCTTTTCTCCTTGGGATCCCCCCCATCCCGGCCCAAATTTTTATGTGTTACTTTTTAAATCCTAGAATTTGGCCAAGGATTCTTGAGAACACAGAGAGAGTCACCAAGACCCCACTGGTCCCCTGACTAGCAACACGAGTGAGGCACAGGATGTAAGTTGCATCGGTGCATTCAGAACTCCCTAGCTTGGCAGATGTTGATGGAAGCCCTATTGAGAATTCTTACTTCACATAAAAAAGGGACTAACCTGTGTAGGAGAGTAAAAAAAGGCACTAAACCTAGACTTAGAAGGGAGATCCAGATTGGGCTGAGTTATCTTGGACAAGTCACACAACCTAAGGGGACCTTATTTTTCTCATTTATATATTTAGAACACGAGACTAGCTGAGTCTGAGGAATAAACAGGACAATGTGTGTGAAAACATTTGTAAACTATTAAGTGCCCCGAAAACCTTGAGTATTCGAGGTAACCTTTCGGGAAAAGGACGCACAGTTAATTTTTTACCCCTTAGCACCACCTTGTGTCCAAGTTACTACTCTTGAGTTTTAGAAGTTCTACGTTACAGAATGGACCAGAGGCCATTGAAGAATTCATCGGGGTTTTCTTCCTGATGCCATCAATGTGAAACTAAAGAGTAAAATTGATAAGTTTTGTAGAACCTCACTACTTCCTTAGAATTATCATCAGATGCAAATATTTGAGGGTAATGTCTTTTTTTTTTTTTGAGATGGGGTCTGGCTCTGTTGCTCAGGCCAGAGTGAAATGGCACTATCTCGGCTCACTGCAGCTTCCACCTCCTGAGTTTAAGCGATTCTCCTGTCTCAGCCTCCCGAATAGCTGGGACTACAGGTATGTGCCACCACATCCAGCTACGTGTTTGTATTTTTAGTAGAGATGGGGTTTCACCATGTTGGCCATGCTCTTCGCAATCTCTTGACCTCAGGTGATCTGCCCGCCTTGGCCTCCCAAAATGGTAGGATTACAGGCATGAGCCACCGTGCCTGGCCTCATACTGTTTCTTACTACTCAGAAAGCATGACGACTTAGAGGCATCCCCAAACCCATCTATTCCAGTTTGCTTTTTTCCTAAGAGAACAAAGAGACACCTCAAAGTTAAATACATTGCATAGCTACCAGCATTTAAGAACATGACGTGGAGATGACAGCATTTTGGAAAATTTACCATCTAATTTTTATAACCTGAGCAGACTTGAACACTAGGTGTAGAGACCTCAGTGGTACAATTTTGAAGTATAGGGAGTAGGAGTGGGTCAGGCTGGAAAACAGAGCCGGTGGAAGTTCTAATGCTCAGGGTGGCCAGAGGGCCTGATTATAGAATACAGGGGGATGTTGGGTCTGAGCTATGCCCTTGTTTGTACAGAGTTTGCTCTGGCTGGGGTAGGGATGCAGGAAGATGGGTGGAAGAGAGGCAGTCAAGGAGCCAGAGTCTTGAGATAATGGTGGCAATAACTGGAATCCCATGTAGTGATGCTGGAACTTACATCTTAGGATGCTTGATATAATTTGAGCGTAGAGAAAGCAAGGCCCATCTTGAAGGGATAGAACCGAGGGATAATGGAGATGAAGCAGGGGCTAGCATTTTGGATGAGAACTGGGATGTAAACCCCAGCGTGGGGTCAAAGCATGGAATCGGCGGAAGCTGTGGCTCAGCAAGCCTGCAGGCACCAAACCCTTGGCCCAGGGCACCTGGGGTTATGCAGAGAGCGAGGATGATGGTGACCATGATACGTGGCCGTCTATTTCCCACAAACTCAGGATAGGGAGAGGCTGAACCAAACCCAGAGGTCAAATGTTTTCTACACATCTAGATGGAGACTTGTGACAGGTAGGAAGCAAACACTCCCTCACCCTCGCTAGTCCTTGCTCTGACCTAGCGACAAAACCATAGTTAGGCTTGGCCTATGGTCTATCCCTAGTGTGTGTCCTGCTTTGGATTTCAATTGAAGCCATTTTTGAATTAACTCATTCACTTGCTTCTTTTTTATGAAGAAATTTTAAAGAAATGCTTTGAGTCCCTTGAGAAGTTGATCTAGCAGTCTTCATCCAAGATGCTATTATTGCATCATTTTTCTTTGGGTGTTTTGCCTTCCCACCTAGATTACAAACTCCTCAAGGATATTGTCTATACTTTAAAATTTTTTTTCTCTTGATAAAAAGAATCCTAGGACTCCAAAACAAAATGTTCTAAGAACGCAAGGCTAGGAGCATAACCTGTTCCAGGTGGTAATCAGTTTCCTTCTGCATTTTGACAGGTAGAAGGGCAGGGATGGGGGACTGCAGGATGTGGAGGGTGGGAGGATAGGAAGTGATGTTGTACTTAGATTATTGCTGTTTCACGCAACACAGAGCCAGGCAGGAACCAATCACATCCCTAATACTGTAGATTATTACATGTAATATTAATGAGTGTAAAAATTGGACCTTTAAGACTGCACTTTCAGGGAGGCTGAGGCGGGCGGATCACGAGGTCAGGAGATCAAGACTATCCTGGCTAACACGGTGAAACCCCGTCTCTGCTAAAAATACATAAAAATTAGCCGGGCATGGTGGCGCGTGCCTGTAGTCCCAGCTACTTTGGAGGCTGAGGCAGGAGAATGGCGTGGAGGCAGGAGAATGGTGTGAACCCAGGAGGCAGAGCTTGCAGTGAGCCGAGATCACACCAATGCGCTCCAGCCCGGGTGGCAGAGTGAGACTCCCTCTCAAAAAAAAAAACAAAAACAAAACAAAAACAAAACACACACACACACACACACACACACACACACACACACACACACACACACACAACAAAACAAAAAAAACAAAAAAAGACTGCACTTTCAGAGGCTGCCCACCTCCTTTAGCACCTCCTCCCTTGACAAAGTCTTGGTCTTTGTTTTCGTCTGTAAAGACCCTGGGTACTGCTGGTTAACTGAAATTTTCCAGAGCAATATTTTGAATCACTGGCTTTAGAACTGCCACTGAATGGTTTACACGTATTTCAAGCAAAGGTTTCCCTTATGGGAGGCAAGGATTTTCTGCTTATCTTCCTGTAATGGCGCAGTAGCCTTGCTAGGGGGTGGATTCTGAAGTATCACTTAACAGCAATCCATTTCCTTAAGATTCTTGATAGCATGGTTTGTATTTCACCACTAATAAATAGGACCAGTTTCATAGAAAGGCTTTTAAAAACATGGGGACATTTGATTTGCCTGTACTCTTTTTTATTTCCAAATAATTTTGTCTGTTCTTTTTTTTTTTGACCCTCTCAATGTCATTTTAAAGCCATCTTTCAAAAGGGAGAAATCATCTCTGCCTTCTCTGGTGAGACAAGTGAATGAAGAGAGGCTTTTCACAGCCACTTTTTTTTTTTTTTTTTTTTGAGACGGAGTCTGGCTCTGTCGCCCAGGCTGGAGTTCAGTGGCGCCATCTCGGGTCACTGCAAGCTCCGCCTCCCAGGTTCACGCCATTCTCCCGCCTCAGCCTCCGGAGTAGCTGGGATTACAGGCGCACGCTACCACGCCCAGCTAATTTTTATGTATTTTTAGTAGAGACAGGGTTTCACCGTGTTAGCCAGGATGGTCTCGATCTCCTGACCTCGTGATCCGCCCGCCTTGGCCTCCCAAAGTGCTGGGATTACAGGTGTGAGCCACCGCGCCCGGCCTCTCATAGCCACTTCTTAAGATGGACACACCACTGTGGCCCTTTGCAATTCAGAACTTCAGGGCACAACCTTCAGTCTAGAACATTTTAGTGACGACTTTGACAGAGAAATTCCTAGGGTAGGTGCTATCTTGGCAGAACCTAGGGAATATTCAGATCCAAAATGCATTGCCCAAATCCCAAATATTTTGCTGCAGCAGATACATTGACTAGACTGTCTTTGAAGGAGGATGTTAATGACTATATCCCACTTGGATGCTAAAACATGTATTCGCTTGTCTCAAAAGAGTTACTCTGTAGATTTTTAGAGCTCTTTTATTTTAAACAAAATCTATTTCAGCACTTTCTTCCCAAGTTAGGAACCTAGGTGCATTCAGGTTTTTCATTTTTCAAAGTTGAAATGCAAAACTGCTCCAGAGTGGAGAGGAGGCCCCCACAGCTTAGCCCAGTCATCCTGATGCCCACAGAGACAGATCAAATACACTATGAGGGCCCGGAACAATTAAAATGGACTTTTGATTAGTATTATTGTCATAGAACTCGGCAGTTTTGTTTCCTTTTGAGGAATAAGCCTATTTTAGGTAGCTGGATTTTTGTTGTAATCAGAAGGGAAAAGAGAAAGAAATCACTGGGAGAGAGTTAGTTGTCTTCAGTAAAGTATAAGAATAATAAACCCTAGTTATTTTGAACTTGAAAAATTCCAAATTTATGATAAGTTGACTTGTTAAGAGAAAGTTTAGGTGTCTGTTACCTTTCCACTAATTTTCTAAATTTGGACTGTGGCAAAATATGGTGGAGCATTTTAAAGCAAAAGTAATTAAACTGTTTTTAAGGGTTTGAGCTAATTAAATTTGATATGTAAGTATTTAACTCTTGTTATCTGCATATCTTTTCTAAGGCCTTCTACTTAGAAATGGTTCTTTCATTTTTGGAGATTTAGATAATTGTATATGCAGTAAAAGTGGTAAAACAATATTTTTTTAAAAAATTCATAAATGCAGATATTTCATGCAGAATGACCTTAATGCATAGTTCCCATCTGCACACGGATGGAAACTTAAAACGTTACCTGCCTAATGTCCACTGTCAGTGGAAAATTCTAGAATTTCAGTCTCCTGTCTCTGAAAATCATACTGGTTCAAATCTGGTGCAGCACTGTCAGATTTAGCAAATAAAAATGCAGAACACCCAGTTAGGTTTGTATTTCAGATAATCAACAAATAATTTCTTTTCAGTAGAAGCTTGTCCCAAATACAGAACATCTTTTTACTGAATATTTTAACATATTATTTCTTTATATAATACTTCCTGTATGTTATGTGGTGGCCCTAATTAGGGATCAATTTAGATTATGTTTGTTCCCTTTCACTAATCTCATACTTTTTTGCCTATTTGGCTAAATCTTCCAAGGTCTCTGTCTTTTAAATAAGGAACAGAATACCACCTCCTAGTCTCACAGAGTGTTTTAACTCGGCCTGTCTTTGACCTGAGGTGCTATTAAGTAGCAGCGACTCACACAAGTGAGATTTCGGAGGCTCTGAACCAGAACACAGCTGTATCCCCTTCCCATCTCCTGATTATGGAGATCTTATCTTTAAATCACAGATAGTACTCGTGTAGTCCACGTGCTATTTATTGATCAGGTAGTTCACAGCCTGCTGCTGAATCCCCAGTCTGGGCCACTCCCTTCGCACCTGGGAATTCCCCAGGGATTTTATCCTCCAGACCTGGATTTACACCCAAACCCGCCTAGCAATTAAGATGATAGTAATGATGATTCAGGCTTTATGAAGTACCAACTTGATGGGGTAATATAAGAGAAGAGCGACAGGGCCCTAAGTGTAGAAAACGATCATCAAATCCGTGTGAATCTTGACATCAAAAGAGCATTTAAAAGTCAGCCCTGACAGTGTCTTTAGGATAAAATGGCGTCGACTTCTGAAGGGAGCCGGTAGCCAGTCCGAACACAAATGGGCCTGAGAATGGGTCCTTTTTTGCTTCCTCCACTACCTGTATGTCAGCGGCGGAAGGAGGAAGATCTGGATTTTTAGTGTGATATTTACTTAGCAATGAGCATCTCTTGCACATTGCGGTCTCTGAAATAGTCCTTGAAAAGATTCCTGTAACTGGGAAATCTTCAGCATCTTATGACTTTAACATTTGGTGCAAAAACCAGTCAATGGAAAACAATGAAAGCAAAACAGAGAAGGAACTTGACAGACAAGCTCCCGATCATCAGGCACTGGGGTTTTTTTTCCCCCCTCAGGTCTTTAGTGGATGAAATGTCAAGTGAAACAAGCCCTTTTAATTCTTCTATTAAATCCAGCTTTTAATAACAAGCATCCTGGAAGAAGAACAGATAATATTTGTCTTATAAAATGTAACAGCCGGTTCCCTTCCTGAACACAAACCTGCTCACAGGACTTTGTCCTAGGCTCAGGCCTGACACGTTTGCAGATGCTCCAGCTAGTTAATTAATCAGGTCCAGATGCTGCTGCTTAATGATTTTCCCACTGTCCCTACCTCCCTTACCAGGGAGGGGACGGTGGCAGAGAGAGAGAGACAGGGTAGAGCCAGAGTCCGCCAAAGACCTCTTTATTCCAAGAAGTTCTGCCGTGTCGTCTTCTATGTTTGACTCAAATATAGAACATTTGCACTGGCCAGCAAGGAAGCGTGTGTGAAAGGGCAGATACCCATCAGAGACAGTGGCTTATATCAGATGCAGCAACCGGACCCGAGAGAGGGATGTGCACCTTCATTTCCATTGTTCGCTCTTCTGACAACTCATTAGGTGGCCCAGTATCTTCTAAGCTGAACTTGGAAGGGATGAACAGGCCTGAGAGAAGATCTGAAAGAGGGTGCTTTCATCAAAGCCCAGTGTTGCACAGCTAATGCCATCACCTAAACGCAGTGTCTTTCAGTGAGCTGCCAATGGAACCCTTGACTTGTACTTGGAAATTGCTGGGAGACGGGGTGTGGTGGCTCATGATCGTAATCCCAAAACTTTGGGAGGCCGAGGCAGGAAGATCACTTGAAGCCAGGAGTTTGAGACCAGCCTGGGAAACATAGTGAGGCCCTGCCTCTACAAAAATAAAAAAAATCAGCTGGGCATGGTGGTATGTGTCTGTAGTCTTAGCTACTTGGGAGGCTGAGGTGGGAGGATAGCTTGAGCCCCGGAGTTCAAAGCTGCAGTGAGCCGTGATAGCACCACTGCACTCCAGCTAGGTGACAGAGTGAGGCTCTGTCTCTACACACACACACACACACACAAAAAGAGGAGTGCTTAAGGAGCAGAGAAGGGAGAGGAGGAGGTGGCTCATGCCTGTAATCCTAGCACTTTGGGAGGCTGAGGCGGGCAGATCACTTGAGGTCAGGAGTTCAAAACCAGCCTGGCCACCATGGTGAAACCCTGTCTCTACTAAAAATAAAAAAAAGTGAGCTGGGCATGGTGGCAGGTGCCTGTAATCCCAGCTACTCAGGAGGCTGAGGCAGGAGAATCACCTGAACCCAGGTGGCAGAGGTTGTAGTGAGCCGACATGGTGCCACTGAACTCTAGCCTGCACAACAGAGTGAGACTGTCTCAAAAAAAAAAAAAAAAAAAAAAAGAGTCATTTTCTTCTGTGTATGTGCGTGTGGGGGGAGGGGCTTTAGGTGAATGCAGAGCCCATCCTTGGAGGTTTAGGTTTCGCCCTTCACCGTGGTCCCTCCAGCCGTCATTGCCGTGCTGATACTGCTTAATAACAGCACTGCAGCTTTCTGTGTTTAATCGACTTGTCCCCCATCTGCTTTGGCTATGAGAAATAAGAGGCCCTGACAGTTACTCCAGGCGTGGTGGTAGAAACAGACCTCAAGCTTCAGTACCATTTGATAAGGCAAAGCATTGCCCTCCCACCACATGGTGCTGGTATTTGGAGGTGCTTTCCTTTAGAAAGTACCAGGTGCCTTTCCTCTCTGAGCGCATGAACTGTTTACGAGTCAAAGTTGTCCTCATTTATAGGGGATCTGTTTTCTTTCTTTCTCTCTTGAAAAAACCTGTTATTCAGTGGGCTGTAAAATGGAAAATAAAGATCAGAGGTAGTGGAAATAATATAATGTACGTGGGCACACACATTAGAAATCTCCCATAAAATGCAGGCATTTAGAAATTTGCACTCTATTATTTCACTGTGGCCTGTTGGGAAGCCATTCTCCCTACTGGTGCTTTCAGTCTTGTCCTGGGACATCTTCATAAACTGCTGTTCTCTCTTCCTTTAACTCTGCTAGATTTCCGAAGGAGGGAAGGCCCATTCGGGACCCCTGTAGATGATGGAATTTGGTTTTCTGAGGTATAATTGCTTTGATGCAGACTGAGATGTCGTGCTTCCACAGAGAGGCTCCAGAATGGTGTGCTTTTGGGGGTTTTGGTTGAGCAGGTAGATTTCATTTTTTAGCCCATCCAAGTGTCACAGGTGTGTGAACCAGAGCAACTCCATCTTGAATAGGGGCTGGATAAAATGAGGCTGAGACCTACTGGACTGCATTCCCAGACAGTGAAGACATTCTAAGTCACAGGATGAGATAGGAGGTCGGCACAAAATACAGGTCTTAAAGACCTTGCTGATAAAACAGTTCGCAGTAAAGAAGCCGGCCAAAACCCACTAAAACAAGATGACGACAAGAGTGACCTCTGGTCGTCCTCACTGCTACACTCCCAACAGCACCATGACAGTTTACAAATGCCATGACAATGTCAGGAAGTTACCCTATATGGTCTAAAAAGGGGAGGCATGAATAATCCACCCCTTGTTTAGCATATCTTCAAGAAATAACCATAAAAATGGGCAACCAGCAGCCCTCAGGCTGCTCTGTCTACGGAGCAGCCATTCTTTCATTCCTTTACTTTCTTAATAAATTTGCTTTCACTTTACGAACTCGCCCTGAATTCTTTCTTGTGTGAGATCCAAGAATCCTCTCTTGAGGTCTGGGTCCGGACTAGTTTCCTGTAACACAAGGGTCTAATAGTACAGTACTAACAGATTGTTTATTTTCCCAAAGCGCTACTCTCCTTGGCCTTTCAATCTTGCTTCTTTGATTGTACCAGGCAACCTTTGTTGGCCTCCCATGACAGAAGACCAGGCAAAAGGCCCGGCCACACCATGGGCCTCATTCATCCTGCCTGTCCTGGGGTCCTCAGCTGTCTCAGCTCACTGAGGCCTTTTTTTTTTTTTTTTTTTTTTTTTTGAGACGGAGTCTTGCTCTGTCCCCCAGGGTGGAGTGCAGTGGCCTGATCTCGGCTCACTGCAAGCTCCGCCTCCCAGGTTGATGCCATTCTCCTGCCTCAGCCTCCTGAGTAGCTGGGACTACAGGCGCCCACCACCATGCCCAGCTAATTTTTTGTATTTTTAGTAGAGATGGGGTTTCACCATGTGAGCCAGGATGGTCTCGATCCCTTGACCTCGTGATCTGCCTGTCTCGGCCTCCCAAAGTGCTGGGATTACAGGCATGAGCCACCGCGCCCGGCCTCACTGAGGCCTTCTTAAAGCCAATCTTATTTTAAACCACATCCTCTAGTGGAGGATGTTGAGTAAAGAAGACCAGGATGGGTAAGCCCCCCACTCCACTCTAGACATCACCTCAGCTTGAGCTAGGTCACCCCCTAGGACTCCTTCCTTTGGTCCCCCTGTAACATCTATCCTTTTTATCCTCTTTCCTAACCCTCCCCATGCTTCCCTGCCACCCTGAAAACCCCAGTAGATTTTTCTTCAGAGGACAATAAGCTTCCATCTTTGGTGCCGTCCAGAGCTCTGAGGGAAAGTTGAGGTCAATGTGGCAGGCTGTACCGCTTTCTTTTGAAGCAAACAGATGGTGAAGGTTAAATGACAGCTCTCTGACTGCCTCTTTTGAAGTAATTGGAGATAATTTGTATTTTGAATCAGAACTTGACCATTGTCAGAAGGGAAGAAGGTTAATATGGAAACGATTTTACATTAGCCCCTGTTTCTTCCGCCACCCCCCTCCCCACTCCTTTCGTTCTCTCCTTCGGATCCTTGTTGCTTTAATCCTTGCTCCAGGCAATTGGTAAGATTGTCTCTGGGCTCGGTGTGCCTCATTTTAGGCAGTGGCTGTTATGAAAGCCAACAACAGCTTATTAAGGCCAGTGATAATCTCTTCCACTGATGCATTGTTGCTTTCCAGAGGTCCAATTAAGGCCGCACATCGGAAACAAGATCTTGTAAACCTTACCTAGAACGGTTTGCAAACAAATGCTCCGGCTGCTTCCTCATCTCTGCTTAGAAACACAAACTGACTTCACATCACAGAAAACACTGTGTCTGCATTTAAGAAAGGGACATGCTTGTCTTTCACTGCCTGCCACCCTCCCTCTCTAGACACTTAAACAAAATGTAATTTAATTTCAAAGCCTGGCTTTGGGCCCCCTCCCATATGAAGCATGGTATTGTTTACCTCGTAACTGCATCCTTTTCTTTTCTTTTTTTTTTTTTGAGATGGAGTTTTGCTCTTGTTGCCTAGGCTGGAGTACAGTGGCGCTATTTCAGATCACTGCAACCTCCGCCTCCTGAGTTCCAGTGATTCTCCTGCCTCAGCCTGCTCAGTAGCTGGGATTACAGGTGCCCGCCACCACGCCCGGCTAATTTTTTATATTTTTAGTAGAGATGGGGTTTCACCATATTGGCCAGGCTGGTTTTGAACTCCTGGCCTCAAGCAATCCACCCATCTTGGCCTACCAAAGTGCTGGGATTACAGGCGTGAGCCCCGGCACCCGGCCAACTGCATCCTTTCAAAGAGTTTACAGTACTTCCTGAAATCCCACTGGGGAGGGAAGCGGAGGGGCAGAGAGCCTCTTAAAAATACAAACATGGCGGCCGGGCGCGGTGGCTCACGCCTGTAATCCCAGCACTTTGGGAGGCCGAGGCAGGCGGATCACGAGGTCAAGATATCGGGACCATCCTGGCTGACACTGTGAAACCCCGTCTCTGCTAAAAATACAAAAAATTAGCCGGGTGTGGTGGCGGGTGCCTGTAGTCCCAGCTATTCGGCAGGCTGAGGCAGGAGAATCGCTTGAACCCGGGAGGCACAGGTTGCAGTGAGCTGAGATCGCGCCACTGCACTGCAGCCTGGTTGACAGAGCGAGACTCCTCCTCAAAAAAAATAAAATACGAACTGCCTTCAATGTTCTAGAAGAGTCTTAAGAGAGTGGCATGTGGATTCCCCCACCTCCCGCTCCCTTCATAAATTCTCCCAAAGCTAGCAGATTCTTAAAGATAAAAGGGAATAGGGAAAGAAATTGGATATGACTGTAAGTCTTCACTTAGGGGGCATTGGGTGGGAAAGATGCTGCCTTCTGGAGTTGGCCGTGATAGTCGTCTAGCTAACTCATACCCGTACCAGCAGGGTATTTCCAGGTACAGAGACACTGAGGAAGGTCAGGTCTATTTATAATATCCCGGCCTAGTAGACATTGGGCCTAATGGAATCAGGTGGCGAGAATAAGGGAAGCTGTACCTTCCTAGGTGAGCAGAGTCCCTGGGAGGCTGGCAACTGCAGGGACACCGAGTAGCAGAAGCTGTCACCTTCTATCCCACGCCTCCTGAGTGTGTCAGCCACCGCAGGAAAATATGACCACCAACGGGCTGAAGATGAAACTCAGTCCTTCCCATTCCGAGGTCTGTGAAAGCCAGAAATTAGCCACAGTTTGCCATAAAAGGAATCTTAATAACTAATATTTAAAAATGAAAGTTTTATTCTATGCCACCCTGAAAAGTCTGAATCTGTAGAAAGCAAAGAGAAGGCGGGAAAGTGAAGACTGAGGTCTGTCTACAGCGCGTTTAAGTGCTATTTGCAACTGAAGTGCTGAAGGCAAGATGGTATTTTATTCATATACGTCTGGTTTATTATGAAGCACTTTTTTTTCACTAACTTGGAGAATGCAAAGAAGATATTGTCATGTTATTCCTGGCTTTTTCTTAACCATCCAGAGTAAAGAAATGGCTGCAAACCTTTAGAAGCAATTCAAGTACCTCAGTGGCTTTCATCAGATGTTCTCTGTACAAGGAAAAGAAAAAAAAATCGTTCTATCTTTTTATTTTTACTTTGCTTTAATCTTATTTGATGATGTCTCAACAGGCTGGGACATGCTTTCTTGGATGGCAATTTCACCGCACCATATGTGTCTCTCACAAGATAGCAGAGTGAGATGAATCTTGGCAGGAAGAGAACTAAACACATTGACGAAGAAAAGAAAAAATTTATTTACTTAACTCCCTGTTGCCTGCATACATTTCCCCCCTTGTACTGTGACTCCTGGTGCAGCAGTTCAGACTAGTTTGTTATAAACAACCGTGTGAAATGCAGCCGCCATTTATCACTTTTTCTGATCATCTGCCCTACTTTTTCTGAAAACTCACATTAAGCATTTCAGTGATCAGATGATGAAATACAATGAACAGAAAGAGAAAATCCATTTCTTCCTTAGACCCCCTAGGTGGGAGAAACCCTAGGCCTGGCACCTAGAAGCAGGAAAAGACCCTTCTTCCCCACCCTACACTTGGAGGCAGACCTGGAGTCTATGGTGCTATCTAGCCAGGTGGGATCCCCATCGTGTCCTCAAGTCGGCTTTGAATTTTGGGTTGCCATTAAGACATCATTAACAGATTAACATGACCAGTCTATGCTGTCCTTAAATATAAAGAGGTTGTGACCAGTGACATTGGAGGTGACCAGTGGTTTGGACTATATTGGAAAATGGCTCTGAGATACCAATGTTTCATCATATTCACCACAGGGACCAAGGATTATTTCAAAGGACAGACCAGAGCCCTGGTCTGGACTCTGCTCACCTTTTAGATGGAGAAGGGAGATCGTTTTCTGTCACACATTGGTGTCGTGGGGGCTAGAGTCCCTGATGACAGTGTTGAAACTGTGGAATCTGTATATTTTTATCTCATGTGATGCTTTCAGAGAATATCCTAGTGACCTTCTTGTGACCTCTAGAGAGCTAGAGCTCAGAGAATGAAGTTCAATGAGCCATTTCAAAATGTGTTGAGATTAAGGTGAAATCCAAAACTAAACAAAAAATATAAGGGATCTCTTTCATCAGACACTATTTTGAAAAAAAAAAAAAGGAGTTACACGACTTCTTTTCCAGGTAGCAATTTAAAACATTGGGAAACATTGGTTTATTGGAGTAAAATGTCCATGTTTGATTTTTCTCATGGAGCCAATGAGCAAATGGCATACATAGTGCTTGTCTCCCCTTGGATCCAATTCACAGGCGATGTGATTAGGACAGTTAGCAGAGCCCGGCAGAATGTGACAAAAGGTGCTTGAAGGATAAAGTTTCCTTGGAATACTCAGACTGTGGATGTGAATGAAAATCCCGAGAAGGAAACTTAGGTCACAAGAAGAGTTAAATTCAGAATTAGCTGCCTTCAGAGGTGTTACTGGTTGCGTGTTAACTGGTATGTTATTTTCCAAGAATTTTACAGGCAGACGTATCAGTCTAGAGCAGGAAAATCTAAGGTTTTTTTAATACATAAAAAGCAATATAAATGCAGCATGACAAACAGGTACCTAATGTTCTTTTGCTACTGAACAAAATGCCTTTCTTCCCTCATTTACACTCATGTCCTCTGAGAACAGAGTTCAGAGAAAATTCAGTCTTCTAGTCCTCAGAAAAATATCTAAGATTTTGTGGTTGTATAGAACCCATCCCAAGTCTACTGATTTTTTATTTGGAATGCTAGTGGTGGTGAGAAAATGAGAGTGTAAATGTGGAAGTGCAGTTTCTAACTGTTTTAAAATCAAGGTGATTTTATTAATTTCATGGATTCTATGTCTTACACCTTTTGAGCTTCTGCCCATTTGGATCAGGATAGAATGATCATTTTTGAATGAAATGGCACGATGTTAGTCAATATGGATTTTATGGCTAATTTTTCCAATTACTAATGGTATACTTTTTAGGTGCCAAAAACATGTACAGGGCATAATAGGTATGTATTTCTCTCCATTAGGCTCTTGCTTGACTTTGCAAATTGAAAGGAAGAGGTGGGAAAAATTACCGAAAGCAGGGTGGAGAGAGAAGTTTACTGGCAATGATGTAATTTCCCTCTGGTATCTCGTCCCACTAAAAACTCAAGATTGCCCCATTTTAAATACCAGATCAATGCAATTTATTTCTTGAGTTAGGGCTGTAGTTAGAAGTCTATTTGGATGAGATGAGTAAAAGATACATGACTGTGTGCTTTCTCTCTCTTTCTCTCTCTCTCTGTCTCTCTCTCTCTCACACACACACACTCACTCATTCACTCACAGACACATCTATGCTAGAATTATCTCTATCCTTTCAACATAAAACATCAAGATGGAGTTAGTAAATGTTGATGATACTTGTTTATATGTATGCATTATACACACAATATTAATAGCACATGGAAAGAAAACAAGTTACTCTAACACCTCTTCCAAAACCATACCAAAATATAAACTCCCTGAAATCATTTGAAGTCTCTGAATCTATAAGTCTTACTTTCAAGCTTCAGGGACAGGATGTAATCAAGTGGGCTGTGGGTACATGTTCTAATTTATCCAGTTTCTCTGGAATGAAGCTATGTACATTGATATGAAAATGAGATGTAATCTTTATGGCTTGATAAACTGACTCCTTTTAAGAGAAACACTTCTGAATTTTAGCCAGCTCTAGAGGTTCCAGACTGCATTAGGAAACAAAGAATATGAACTCTGGAAAAGTCTCTCAGGTTTGGATAATGCAAAGTAGTCAATGAGAACCTGAGAGTGACTACACCTCCCTCACCCTTGGTTAAACATAACCCACAGCTGCTTCCTTATTTATCAGAAGGACAGTTAATAGTTTGGTAACTAGATTATCTTTTTAATTAGATATTTACTTTTAAGACAAAACAGATGCATAATTTGGTCATATTAGTTAGCTCATTTGTACTTTTTTTTTCTTCATGCTACTTGTGTACTTAGTAACTGGTATTGTTTGAAGAAGGGAGGGTTGTTTCTGTTGAACTGAGTTTTTGAGTGTGGGGGCCACTTGAAAACCCCCTCGCATTTTCCCTTCTCATGCAATATCAGTTAATTCTCAAGAGGAATTCAGACAAGGTGTTAAAACTAGGATAAAAGCGTTTTAATACCAGAAAATCTGCTCTGTCAAACCAGAGGCCGTTTTGCTGGTGGGAAAGCAGCAAAAGTAAACAGTAGCAATCTCTCGTGTAACAGAAGATTTAGGTATAATTTGTTTAAATAGTAGCAATAATGATTATTAATTCACCCTTTGAATGTTAACAAAGACTTGGTTTTTGTTAGTTTGTACTTTAGATTCATTTCCAAGCTCAAGTTTGTTTTAGGCTAATGCTCCCATCAATGGGAAATGCAATTAGCTTTAGATTCCTATTCCCCTCTCTCCCCAAAATATATTTGATGTTTGGTAATACAAAATAAAATAATTCCCTTTCAGAAGACTGCCCTGGAAACCTTATGATCACAACAGAGTGAATTTTTGTTGAATTCTTCTCTACTTCCCTGGGAAACAATAAGGAATTCTTTTTGTTCTTTGCCACAGAAGGTATAACAAATGGATTTCAAAATACCTGCACTATATAAGCGGTGCTTAGAAGAAAGAGAAAAATCAAAGCAAGAAATAAAAATTACAAAATGGTAGAGCCAGACCACTTCATCCACAATTTGTATCTGACCTCATTGTTGAAAAACTTTGCGAAGGATCACGGTGGCTTGTTTTTCTCCCTTTGACGCTGGAACATTAAAACTAGTTTTAGTTCTGTTTTATCCTGTGTGGTGTAAAAGGGCCAGAGTCCCTAGAGGACCTGGCCACAGGGACGGCGGGCGTTCTCCAAAGGCCAGCCTCACACTGGGCCTACTGTAAACATAGGCAGACTCAAGTGCAGGGTCCAGCTTGTCCCGTCAAGTTTATCGTCCACTCCATCAAAGGGTCTAATGGTCAGCAGAGGGGGCTAAATGTGTCCCCCGTGACCTGACATTAACGGAGTGGACTGGTTTAAGTGTTACTGAGGGTGTCTCAGAATGATTTGGACGCCAATACCCGTTTGCCTCAATGAGCCGTCATCTGGGTCATGACTCAATACAGCTTTGCCCTGACACGGCCCAGCCCCGAAGTACTCCTGGGGGACCTGGCCTCACCTCGGAGACCAGCAGACAGCAGGGCTGATCAATGCCCTCTGACAACAAGTGAAACAATCACCTTTTCCCTCACCCCTCCACCCTTCGCACCTCCCACCCCTCGCCCGTCTGAACAGCTTGAAAATGATAAAGATAAATTGTTTTATCTAAACATAGAGTCTGACACTGAGAAAAGACAGGAGTGAGGAGACCCACCCAGTTTGTCTAGAGCCTTAGATTCCAGCTTTTTGCTTCTCATGTAATTTTGATGGGAAAAAAAAAAAATCAGTCTCTATATCAAATGTAGCGCTCGTCCGATCCAGAAAAAGAAAGAAAGAAGAAGAAAAAGAAGAAAAAAAAGCCAGGAGTTGTGGTGAATATTTTCTGCTCAGATTTAAGCTGGCCTATAAACATTAGCTTTGGAGGTGTTAAGGAGACCCGGGGCATTTTCTGTGTTTGGACTGGGATTTTGACAAAACCATATGCATAGGAAATACATTTAAATTATAAGGTTCTTTAAGAAGCAGAGTGTTTTTCAAAAGGAAACCAACAACATAATACTGATGTGAGAAATCTTTAGAAAAGGCTTGAAATAGTTTTAAAGAGAAGATTCCCTGCAGAGTTCTAAAATAACCATTTAAACCATTTTTACATTCCTATTTATTTGGATTTGGAACTAAACTAAAGAAGATAGAAAAACGTAAATATTGTCTTCCTATCATGACTGCCGTTTTCTTCCTGACATTAAAGAAAAAAAGAACCTGTATTAACACCCAACAAGAATTGTGATGTGGATAAAAATATATATGAAAAATATTTTAAATATATTTGAAATACCTGAAAATAAGTGGACTAAAATGTTTAAGAATTATGTTCCACTTACTAATAATGCTGTTTTTCATATTGATTTCCATGCAATATTTCTTCAGAAAATAATTTTAAAATCATTTTCCTTTAGGCAGAAAAGGAAAAAAAACATTTCTATTAGATTGAGACGATCCTCACCTAAGAGGTGAATATTTTCAAAACTGTGTATCTGAATATTTTTAAAAGCGTATCAAAAGAAAATTTAATCTCAAAGCATCACCTTGTGAACAATTCCTAAATGTCCCTTTTGTAATTTCTGAGAAGTAACTAAAATTGCATATACATTTTTTTAAAAGAAAAACAAAAACAAATGCCTGTTTTCATATTTTAGCTGCTGAGAGCCGTCTCCACTCATATTTTTTCATTTGCTGAAGTGAACTGGGAAAGTAAATCAATGGGAAAAGTCAAATAGTTTCATATTTTTTATAGAGAATCGTAATTTACTAACTGTGCTTTTTATCATTTGATGTCTAATTTGTTTACATAGCAATTCAAAGGCACATTTTATTTACATAATTATTTATACAAGTTATCTTTCCTTCTTGGCTTTATTAATTTTTTTTATATTTTGTTTACACCTTCTAGTGGAGTGAATACGTTGTATATACCATGTTTCTGTGTGTTATTTCAAAAATAGTTTATGCCATTGTTTAAAGATGATTTTTAAAAAAATGTACATATTTATGTGGGTTATTTCTAACAAAAGAGTGAAGTACATTTTATTCTTTGTATACGAGCATTAATAACAGATGAATGTCTTCCTTTCTGGAAGCACAAATATTTATTATATAATTGCACTTTTTTTTAAAAAAAAAAAAGGCTAAACACCCAAAGTGTCAAAAGTCAAGCTTAACAAATTTAAAAGCAATGAAATGAAAACCCAGTTAAGCACAAAAGGTCTTTTTTGAATTTAGTGAAAAGCTGTTGCAAGAACTAAAGAAGACGAGATCTGTGCCTCCAGTGTTCGGTTTATTAGGTCCAATGCTCGTCTTCAAAGGAATATCACAGCCGTGTGGCATTTAAGGATTTAGAGGAATTCTGAGAATTTGAGTGCTTTTTGCCAAAATGGATTCCGTGTGCACTTTAGCCATGAAAACTGATTTAGGATCTTTTCCTCTGGCTATATTTGTCCATTTAGATAACTACAAAATTATCAGTCTGCAAAGGCAGAAAAATCAAGGAGGGATGGAGCTAAACAGAAATCATACATATTTGCAGAAGAAAAACCAGACTCGTGTGTTTATAGCAAGGACTGTGTAAGTGTGGTTACAGAGCAACCAAAATGGGGTTCTGCAAGTTTTCAGATGCTAAAGCAGCATTTGGGTAAATCTTTATTTGCTTCAAGCATATAAAGATGTTAGTAAATGTGTTTAAAGTAACATTGAGCATTGCGTCTGTGTTCACAAGTTCCAAAGTAATCAGGAAAACCATATTTTCCCTGCACTTTTGAAATAGCAGTAGCTACAAGAATATGGTTTGGAAGGATCCTGAATGTTTGAGGAAGGCGCACAGCTGGGAGGGAGCCAGGATGTGTCACTGGGGCAGACTGGGTTTGTGTCCATCAGGGACATGTCCCTCTCTTGAGTCAGGTTTAAATAAGGCATTTTAGACCTAGTGTTCAGATAGAAAGAGCACAGAGTCGACCTTGTATTATGAAAATCAAGCCCTACTCACCATCAAGATTTTTGCCAGTGAAAGCTGTCTCTCCCCTCTTGACAAACCCCCCCATCCATGGTTGAAACCTAGTTCTAGGATTAGCAAGGAAAGTGGCAAGGATCTTTAGAGACCTCATTTGGGGACGAGGGCTTCCTGTCCCTGGAACTAAAGGAAAAGTCAAAGAAAAGGAATGTTTCAGGAGAGAGGCTGAGATAAAGAAATTCTGAACTTTGAACAAAAGGAATG
The DNA here is from genome assembly GCF_000001405.40 of Homo sapiens. Lineage (NCBI taxonomy): Eukaryota > Metazoa > Chordata > Mammalia > Primates > Hominidae > Homo > Homo sapiens. The sequence goes on along the minus strand of NC_000016.10, from coordinate 73,547,383 downwards.
AAGTAGGATTTAATTTAAACCAGGGTATTACTTTCTTTTTATTAGCTTTGATAGTACAGGTTTTTTTCTTTCTTTCTTTCTTCCTTTCCTTCGCTCCCTTTATATTTAATTTAAAGCCAATTTGGTAACATGGGGTTTGCTCTGTAAATATAAAAATAGAATAGTACCATAGCCGATGTGCAGGAGGGGAGGAAATGGGGCATGTACCCTAGCTAGGAACATCATTGCATTTTTACACAAAGAATAAATCTCTCCATCCTACATTGTCATTAGGATGGAGAGATTTCTTTTTCTTTTCTTTTTGTTTTTCTATCATTTCAATGTAAGAAAAGGACCCCTCTCAAGATGAGGTGCCTGCTTTTGCAACGTTGGATATGTTATTATTACAAAATGTGGTTATATTCTCTGCCTCTTACATTAACAATGGGGACAGGGGTAGGGGTGGGTCGGAGGGGCCTGAAATGACAGAATGAGGGACACACAATAGGATGGCCGTGACTCTGAACAAATAAATAAAACATGTGAATCACAGTCTCTGCTCTGCCTCCCTCCCCCCTCACCCCCCAACTGTGATTAAATTTGCTGTGGTCATTTCCCAAATGTCTGCCTGATTAAAAAAGGAGAAGAAGAAGCCGAAAAAGAAGCAACAGCAGCAGCAGCAGCAGCAGCAGCAGCAGCAGCAGCAGCAGCAGCAGCAGCAGCAGCAGCAGCAACAGCAGCACCCAAAGCTTTTTCTCACACCATGGCTTAAAGCGAGGACCCTTCCTGGGGCTGGCAATCTCCACTCCTGCCAATCAAACCTACGAGCACAGACACGCATGCCGCTTTCATTAGCAAAAATGCTCCCCATCTGATTGCTGTCCTCTTCCTACCCGCCCCCGCCCCCCGCCAAAAAGAAAACAAAACAAAACAACTACCGACCCTGTAATACCAACTCTGTCCTCTTAATAAACAGCTACCCAAACTACCTCCAGCATCACACTGAAACCCTAGCTGCCCGGGGCTCAGTAATGGGATTTCTCATACCCGGTCCTACAGCCTCCAACGCAGCTTCCCAGAAACCTATTGGATGCACAGGGGGAGAAAAAGAATACATTTTAATAAATCGAGGGGAAAAATGATTTGGGTTCTGTAGCCCTGTTCTTTAGTAATAGAAAAAGGTGAGGTTGTAGTGGGGGAAAGGGAGGGGGAATTTAATATTGCAAGAGATAATAGCAACTATGTTAATATCCGGAATTTTCAATGTACCATAAGTACATTTTGTTTTTCCTTTTAGCACGATTTATAATTAAAGATTTTAATCTGGCTTCACATTGAGTTAATAAGCCCTTTGATTGATTAGGATTCATAAAATTGCCATTTCCCGCTGATGCTTTGTGTTTCTGGGGATGTTCTTTTGAAAAGCTGGGTTAAGGTGAATAGGAAGCCGTCATTGTTTAGGCTGAGCTGTGCCAATTCTGGGAACTCGGAACTGCTTTATTCAGAGTTTGTCCCCTGCAATATCTTGTTGTTCAGCCAAATTAATGCAGATAGGATCTGCTGGGCTGCAGTTTAGTCATTTTTTAGGGGAAAACTTTTTTTTTTTTTTTTAATTTCAGCAGGTGTTCCACCCAATTTCTGCCTCTGTTTCCTGACCTGTTCTTTGGCAGCACAAAATAAATAAGTAAATAAATAACAACCAGGAGGAAACAGCATCAAATTGATAAATAGAATGTTATAAACTGTTTCAAAGATAAAGGCAAGAAGAAGAGCACAAACTAAAGACAAGTGAATGCAGCAAACCTGGGGAAACTGGGCTCCGATTTTTCTTTTTAAAAATTCAACTTCAGAGGCTGTGCGGCCAATAAATTATCCTTTTGCATGAATGGCCTATAGTGCAATATGTGGGAAGCATCCTCCTTCAGCTAAGGGGATGTCTTAGAAATGTAAACACAAATGAAAAAATAGGAGAGAGACGCCGAAGCCAGGAGGCGGCCCAGCGCTGTGCTAATGCTGTTTATCAAGTTAAATAATATACCCTGCCACCCCCTCCCTCTAAAACCAAACCAAAATTAAAGGCAAAATCAAGAAACGACGATAAATTCTGAGAAGAAAAGGAAAGAGAGAAAGAAAATGGGAGAAAGAGCCCGTGATTTGAAATGTCCTGCCAACAGGATAGGTTTATGGTACCCTGGATGTCATTATGGGGGTCTGAGATTGCCTCCCACGCTTATTTTTAGCAGAGGTGGGGGTCGGGGGGAAGTGACTCTCTTTAGCTTCCGAGGGGCCTCACTGTGGAGACTGAACCAGAGCAAATTCCCTTTGTGTTTCGTGCTCTGAAGGGACCTGCTATTGTTGTATGAGGGGCCTCGTGTAAGATCCAGTGGAGCTGGGGCTGTGGGCAAAACCTTTCCAGATAACACTCCACTTGTTTTGGAATGGATACTGACTCTCCTTCCGTCATCGTCCTCCCCCATTGACTTGGCACGACTAGCACTTTAGTATCTTTTTATTCTCATTTGGATCCTCTCCAAAGGCAAATGTTTTTAGGGCTAATGAGGAAAACAAGAAGTCATGTCCACGGCCGGGGAACCCAGAAGAAGTGTCCCCCAGGTGGACTGGGAGGTGACTCCCAGCCTCGCTTCTCTCCCACACCTTTACCTGGCATTCTTCTGCAACCCGAAAACCCCGTCTCACTCCCTGGATTGCCGAAACCCTCCTTCCCACAAGCATCTTTGGTCTCTTTATGGCCAGATCCCCATCCCCTTGGCTGGATCGTCAACATCCCCTTGCACAGTGATAGGTCCCCGTTCCCCAAGCTCTCTTTCCCTCGAGGTTTCTGGGGTTTGCCCCAGAATAGCAAACACCAGCACAAAGCAGACAGCGGCCAAACCCGTGGAGGGAAACGAGTTTGGGTTTACAGCCAGCCAGCAATGCCCCTACCCTTCCCAAAGAGTTCCTGCTTGGCTGTCGCTGACCTCCTGAATTCCGGACCCGGCAGGCCTGATTGGTGGGCTTTTAAACGTGACTAATGAAGAAAATTTACCCTAAGCGGGGAGGGCCCCCCTCCTTACATCCAAAGAGACTGTGCTCTGATGCATTCTATTTTTAAAAAGAAGAGAAGGAAAAGAGAAGCCCCGACACATGCATTTGTGGCGATGCGGAAATAAATGTAAAACAAACTCTCCCCTCCACCCCACCTTTTTTTTTCCTCTCCCTAACCCAGGTCCTAGGCAATGACAGCAGAGAACGAATAATTCCCGGTGCAGTGTCTTACAGTTAAAGGTACCTTTGAATGAATGTCAGCTCCTTTCTACATTACTGCAGTCGATCGATGCTTCATTAGGGCCGAATTGTCTTTGCCCATGCAACCTTGAAAACAGTCCTTTTAATTACCTGTGAGGAAGTCGGGGACCCTCCTTTTTCGCTCTATCTCCCTCTCTCTCTTCCCTTCTCTCTCTTGTACCTTTCTCCCTCTGCCTCTCTCCCTCTGTCTCTCTCTCTCTCTCTCTCTCTCTCCCTCTCTCGCTCTCTCTCTCCCTCTCTCTCTGTCCTCCCTCCCCCACCCCCTTCTCCAGCAGAAGGCTCTGGGAAGTGGGGGTGGGCAGATGGGGGTCACTCGCATTTATTCACAGTCTGAGTACATCATTCCTTGATAGAGAAGCTGGGAGGAGAAGAGAAGGTGGGGGCGGGGGACTTGGGCAGAGGAAAAAAATGGAAAAGAAAGAAATATCGGACCCTGAGGTGAGAGGGCAGGGTTCAAGCCCAGACTACAGATCTATTGAAGATGTTTCAGCCAGGCAGGCCTCCACTTGACTTTCTCATCAGCCAGCTTTATGGATTCCCAGCTGCTCCCTTTACACCACGGCTCTTACATCTCCCCGCTGCTAATTACCAGGGGTTTCTAAATAACACAGAGCCAGGCCCTGCCGGTGCCTCCAAAGGATTCCGGACAGGCTTCCTCCAGGTCACAAGGAAAGGGGGGACCAGGCCGAGATGCACAGCTCCAATTAATCCCTCCCATTGAAACTGAAGGCGTTCCATATAATTGTAGGCCTGGCAAGTTGAGTACTGGAAGAAAGTGCATAAATAATCGTATTTGTTATGCACTATTAAAAATTCAGAAAGATTTTAAATTCAAGTGATAATCTGGTCATCCTGAGGGATAGACTTGTATTTAATAGCCAGGTATTTTTTACCTATTCAGTTATGATGAGAAATATTCTAATGAAGTCATAAACCTCAGCAGAGGAATGTTAATCACCTGTGTGCGCTCTGTTAGAGCCGTGTTGAAAAACATACCTGCCCGAGCCGAGCCTCCTCCTCACGTGGTGATTCAGGATCGCCTGTGCAACCCTTCTCCTTCCCGTGGTCCCCAGGCACCTGGAAATATACGGTTAAAAACTACAAAGCTCATCTGATCTTCTCTTCAGTGGCCATATTTCTATCCAAGCAAGGAGCCAGGGGTTAGGAATACATTTCCCCCAAAATTTACACAACAGAGTGAAGTTCCATTGCTCTAACCCCTTCCCAACACACACACACACACGCTCTGAAGGTTTAGGGTTCCCAAATAAAATACAACATGCCAATTAAATTTGAATTTCAGATACATGATATTTTTTTTTAGTATGAGTATGCCTCAACTATTGCATGAGACATATTTATACCTAAAAAAATTGTGCATTGTTTATCTAAAATTCACATTTAACTGGGCATCTTTTTGTTTTAACTAGCTAAGTCTGGCAACCCCATGCAGATTCCTTTTAAATCCAGATATTTCCTGCTATATCAAATGAAGATAATGATATCAAGTCACTTACAAAAACGCCTTATCATGAACAGATTTATTCAGTATTTTAGAGTCTAGTTTGTGACACTGAAAAATGAGAGGTTACCCTGTAGACCAATACTCCTGTTAAGAGTCATCTCATTCCACCTGGACGTATAAACTCCACCAATTCAAGTGGTCACAATGGACAGGTGTCTGTCCATTTAGCTCAGTTGTATAAAAATAAGGACGTTGGGAAAAAAAAAATTCTGCATGTTTAGAAATGCTCAGGTCGCACTGACATCACCATACTGTCATTCAAACATCTCAGCCCAGTCCCACCCTGTGCAGCCCCCGCCCCAGGCCCACCCAAATGTTCTGGTTCCACTGTGAGCAGTCAGCCTTCCCACAGGCTCCATTAAGGCCACTTGAAAGTGTGTGGGAGAAAAACGCTTTCTGCATTCGTGCAAGGGATTTGACATCACTAAGGGAGCTGTGTTGTCACCACATTAAGCTAAAAGAACCACCAAACAGGGCCGGGCGCGGTTGCTCGAGCCTGTAATCCAAGCATTTTGGGAGGCCGAGGTGGGCAGATCACGAGGTCAAGAGATCGAGACCATCCTGGCCAACATGGTGAAACCCCGTCTCTACTAAAAATACAAAAATTAGCCAGGCACGGTGGCAGGTGCCTATAGTCCTAGCTACTCAGGAGGCTGAGGCAGAAGAATTGCTTTAACCCAGGAGGCAGAGGTTGCGGTGAACCTAGATGTGCCACTGCACTCCAGCCTGGGTGACAGAGTGAGACTCCATCTCAGGGAAAAAAAAAAAAAAAAAAAAAAAAAAAAAAGAGAACCACCAAACAGGAGGGCAGGAGGACAGGGCTGGGAGGGAAGACAGAAGGAGGAATGGCGACTGCACTCCCGTATTTGCCTCGCGAGCCGCCTCTCTCTCATCCAAGCGTCCCATGTAAGGAAAAGGGGTGATGGCAGGACCAGGCATCCGTCTCTGCATGCAGGGACCAAGCACTTGCTCTTGGCATTTTTGGAGCCTCTAGGTCATCTGCCAAATAAATAGAATTGGATTCCTAGTTTTGTGTGTTTGATAGTATGGCTTTTTCTGTTTTATTTTTATTTTTATTTTTATTTTTTTGAGACCAGTCTTGCTGTGTCCCCCAGGCTGGAGTGTAGTGCTGTGATCACAGCTCACTGTAGCCTCGACCTCCTGAGCTCAAGCGATCCTGCCACCTTAGCCTCTTGAGTAGCTGGGACCACAGGTGTGCACCCACAGGCCTGGCTAAGTTTTTAAATTTGTCGTAGAGATGAGGTCTCGCTATGTTGCTCAGGCTGGTCTCAAATTCCTGGCCTTAAGTGATCCTCCCGCCTTGGCCTCCCAAAGTGCTGGGATGATAGCATGTGTTTAATACTTCGTGGGGTCTGTGGAGAGGAGAGTGGGAAGGACACATCAAATCTCACATGAATTTGCTGGGCCCAAAATAAATATTCATAAAGGTGGAGACATGCTCCAGGCTGCAGATGGACGGGTGGAGAATGAGGCTCTGGGTCAGGCTGGCCTGGTGCTTTGGGGTAACTCCTGCTGGGTAGGCAGGGCCAGGGCTGCTGTTTCTGGAAACAGCTGGGGAAACTGGGTCTCTGAGATGACCCCTACCATCTATTCTAAAAGAGCATCTCATTTTCCTGGGTCCAAAATCCCTACATTTAGGAAGCATAGCCCAAGCAGTACGTGCCTGCATCTCTCTGTGGGCCTAGGCTCAGCCCAGCCCTCACTGATGTCCTCAGAGGCCTCTGACAGTGAGCAGGTTGATGGCTTTGCGTGAGAGTGACTCTGGAATTGGCAAATATGGTGTTCACAGTCTTGGTTGCCATTGAGGAGTATGTTCACCGAGCACAGTATCTCATCTAGAAAACAGTGAAGGTGGTGGACAATGAGATGATTTTCAGACTGGTATTATTTAAAGAGCAAGTGGTTAAAAAATACTTGAAAAAGTCAAAGGAAACTGTGTATGCAACTTCTTAGGAGCCAGGGAATGGAATTTTCAGCATAGGAGAAAATAACTCTTGATCCTCTTCCTGCTTTTACTTCTACTCAAATGATTGATCTTTTTTCTCTGTTAAGGCTGGACAATGGAGGCATAGACTAGATTCTCTTAGGAGATTTTGATGCGACTAAAAGTTAGGAGCTGGGATCTTTGGGGACCTGAAGAAAAAAGGGGTTATTTCCTTTGCAGTTTCTTACTGTGAGAGAAAATATATCTTCCTTGAAAATAGATGATTAAAGTGACTTTAACTATTTGGAAAACAAAAAAAGAGTTTCACGTGAAAGCAGGAGTGTTCTGTTTCATTTCTACTCATCTAGGACTTCGCCTAGCCCATATGGTTGTGGAAGCAGTTATTCCTAAGGCCTGCTAAAGACGTTTTCCTCTTGGACCCATATCACATGAAAACCAGCAGGCACGTCAGGCCAAAGAAACATGCATTTTGTTTCAACATGATGTGTCTTCATGAAACATTATGACAATGAGCTCCAACATTCTCCTTCTAATACTAATCACCAAAATATATAGCTTATGGCAGCGTAAGTACTGCTGATTAACAGCGATCATATTTGGAAGACAGACCTCTGCTTTCATAGCACACATGTCCTTAGCAGAGTCTAAATTCCTACCGATATTCATATGTGTGAGTGTGGGGAGAAAAACAGTTTGTCTGTATATACTGGGCGTCGAAAAGCAATTTCTTGCTGCAGTGAGTTTCATGTATTCAGTAACCTTCCATTTATTTGGGTATTATTTGCCGAAAACATTTGGAGGGCTTTGGCATAGGAGTGTAAGAAAACCCAGACCAGGTGTTGATACAGAGCTTCCCTCTTCACACACCGATGGCCCGGACCTACACGGGCAGGCGGTGGAAGAGCCGTCTCTCTTTACTGAACAGCATCAAATAAGGTCAGTAATGCTGCTTGTGCGCCCTTCTTCTTTTATTGTCCATGTTATCGAGGAAACCTATAAAAGTTCCCTCTTTTGATATCTTGACCCACGGTGTTGCTGGCATGCTGCTTTGTGGTTTACAGATTTAAAGAAACAGAGAGGGAAAAGGAGTGAGAGAGAGAGTTTGCCTGAGGTAATAAACAGCGGTATAAGGCCAGAGGCCTTATAAAAAAAAAAAAAAAAAAAAAAAAAAAAAGAAGAAGAGGAAGGGAAAAAAATTTAAAAAAAGAGAAGAAGCAGCCATAGCAACAAGGAAGTTTAGAAATGTTCAGGGGGTTGGGGGCTTGCAGGAGAGGCGGGTGGGCGCGTAAAATCAGTTTCACCTGATAACAATGTGGAATCGAATTCTGGACATTCCCAAACTCATGGCTTGAATGCAGGGATAGGTGTACTATGCACGTGTCCACCAGGCCACACAGTCACAGAAGAAATACTTGGAAGCCCATAGATACCCTTGTTCAATTCTCCTAGTTTTCAAAGGCAAAAAAAAAAGAAAGAAAGAAAAAAAGAAAGCTGTTTGATAACATAGGCTATTAGTTTCTGTTTTTAGTGGGAATTTAAAATTCAATGCTGTCATTTCCCCCTACATACAATCTTCCCTCTCTGGATCATACCTGCTTAGGGGACACATCGCACGTACCTCCTGCCTCATGTGTTACAGGTATTGTTTCTGCCAATAAGGTATCTCAGAGACTTTGGATTTGACTAATGCTTTTAGGTTAGTCCACTGAGGTAGTCACTGTACAGTCTGTATCGTTTGCACTGACCTATCCAAGACATGTTTATTGAAAAGATGGCAGAAAATGGTGCTGCATTGTTATTGTCGTTTGCCCGATGACTAAGGAGCGCAGATCTATCTGTTCACTTTTTCTGACGGCTTCCATATGAGGTGTCAAGCTTGCGAAGGTGGGATTTCTAAACTCTCATGTCTCCGCTGTATTAACCAATGGGCATGTGGCAGACGTGAGGAATTAGGGGCTGCGCAAGAAACGAGGCCATTTGCATGGGAGATGGGGACATTTGTGTGTTACTTTCCCAGATCTTTTGTCCAAATGTCTCCTCTCATCCTTGCTTTGGTAGGAGATAAGATTATTTCCTTGGCAAGGAAAGAAAACTTACATGACTTTTTCAGGGAGATGTCATTTTAGAAATAAATATTGAAGCTTTTTTTTCTAAAATGCAATTAATGATGTACTTCACGCAATTAATGATGATACCTTCAGAGCTGAAATTGAGGTTGATTACTCAAGTAGAGGGTGACTTTTTTTTATTTTTCATGAACTTTTAATTATATTTTATTTCAATAGCCTTTGGTGAAATTTTTTTCCAAACTCTGTGTAGCAGAGGAAACAGAAGAGGGCCTAAGATGAAAAACTGGTGACATGAAGTCTTTTCCATTTTTTTATTTTAGGCTGACTAGTGTTAAAAAACACACACACAATGATATAACAGTCATTGACGTGATATGTACATGTGCTGCCGTGATGAGGTGCTGCGTGATGACTTGCTGCTCATATTCATTGCTCAGAATGTTCTTATATGATCACTTGGACATTCCATCTGTTTATTTGCACAGTTTACTCAGAAAAAAAGAAATCAGAATGCAAAAATGACCAGTCAGCATGACTCTAGAAAACATTTAAAGCAGTGAGCCCCATATATGAAGAATGAAGGCAAGGGTAAGAGTTACTTTTAGTAATGGCCTTTTCAAGATTGTATCGATAAGTCGAATTCCAAGATACTACTTTGTGGCTTGATAGTCCATAGGATTTCAAAAAAGCCACGACCCTAAATGGTCAGCTTTTGTCCCTTCACCACATGTCATATCTTCCTGGTTAGGTATAAAAGCATTCTGACTTGTGGCACCAGCATCTTTTCATGGGACTCCTGAAGAATGAACTGCTTCAGGTGTGGAGAGGGACTTGGACTACTGACTCATCTTTGGATCCTCAGGCTTCGCCTTCCCATTAAGCACAATTGTAGCCTCTATATTTGCTGATCTTACAGGCTACTTGTTTAAGTCATTAAGAAGTGATCTGTAATCCCAGCACTTTGGGAGGCCGAGGCGGGTGAATCACGAGGTCAGAAGATCAAGACCATCCTGGCCAACATGGCGAAACCCCATCTCTACTAGAAATACAAACAATTAGCCGGGCGTGGCAGCACGTGCCTGTAGTCCCAGCTACTTGGGAGGCTGAGACAGGCGAATCACTTGAACCCAGGAGGCAGAGGGTGCAATGAGTCAAGATCGCGCCACTGCACTCCAGCCTGGGCAACAGAGTGAGACTAAAAAAAAAAAAAAAAAAAAAAAAAAAGAAGAAGAAAGAAGTGACTTTAGATTTAGAGCCGGAATCAGAACACAAGAAAACATTCCTGAGCTTTCTCCTCTTAGGGCTGAAAGTGGTATTGGTGATGCTGAACTCTGAGCCATCAGCTGCTGAAGTTTTAAAGATAAGCATCAGCCCAAAGCATCATGTCTACTTAGGGCTTGGATACTCTGTGTTGAGAGAATAAATTCAATTGGTCATAACTGAGACAGGTCTCTTATTCGCCCAGCATGTGATGAAATAGATAACTTATTGCTGGTATCTCTTGGATGCTCAGCTCAGATAAACCCTAAGGCAAATTAACATGAAGTTGAAAGGTAGGATTGGCCGCTGCTCACTGTGTGAGTTTCTTTCTTTCTTTTTTTTTAATAAAGAATGTCATTGAATTAACCTATGCAAATACATCTTCCCAAATAATAAAACACAGATCCCTTAGTTAAATGTGTGCCTACCATGTATTGCTCTCATTTTAATAACAGCAGATTAGTTCCTCCTGTCCCGGAGCCTGGAAACATAGTCCTCTGACAAATCCGGACTCTCGTGGGCTACGCAGGAGTGAGACGGAGAAAACCTCATGTGCCAGGAACAGCTGTAGAGAATCAAGCCTAACTGATGTGATGTTTTCCTGGGTGTGTCCTGGGTATCATTTTAGGTGGCACACACAGCAACATTGCTTAAAAATAGCTTATTTAATCGAAAGTGTATGAAAATATGATTAACATATTAAATCCATGATTTTATAGATACTTTGACTTAGGTTACAATTAAATGAGGTTATACTTTATGCAGATGGAAGGAATTGCATTTCTTTTCTGCAGTGCATTGACTTTGGTGGCACACTGTTGCAGCAAGAATAATGAAAGTGATGTGTCTAAAGTTAGCGAATGATGACTTTTTGGGTAACACTGGCCAATGTAAACTGAGGCTGTAGCTCCCAAAATTTTCACTACCAAGAACCTGTTTTATTATTTTTTCCTGGTGTGAACTTCATATTTTGAATGTTTTTTAAAATTATATTTTTTCTGATATAAACTTTATATTTTGAAAATGTTTTAGACTTACATAAATGCACTTATTATGTAGTAATTCACTTTTCTATTTAAAGATAGCTATACCTGTAGAGAAGCATCAAGTAATCGGTGTGCCTGACTGCACTGGTGTAACTCCAGCCAACCCCAATCAACTAAGCATAATATATGCTGAGAACACTTGTTTGCAAGTATCTAAAACCATCTCCAGCTTACACAGTGATAGAAAATTTGTATTAAAGATGGGGGGCTTGGCCGAGAGCGGTGGCTCACACCTGTAATCCCAGCACTTTGGGAGGCTGAGGCGGGCGGATCCTGAGGTCAGGAGATAGAGACCATCCTGGCTAACATGGTGAAACCCCGTCTCTACTAAAAGTAAAAAAAATTAGCCGGGCATAGTGGGGAGCGCCTGTAGTCCCAGCTGCTCAGGAGGCTGAGACAGGAGAATCGCTTGAGCCCAGGAGGTGGAGGTTGCAGTGAGCCGAGATCACACCATTGCACTCCAGCCTGGCTAACAGAGGGAGACTCCTTCTAAGAAAAAAAAAAAAAAAAGATAGGGGGCACATAGAACCCAAGGGCCAACCCTCTGAAATAGCTGGAGTCAGGAATTGAAAGGTGATGGGCACCACAGGCAGAATTTTTTCTTGGTCTCTTATTGCTGCTTCTCTTTGCAGATCATTATTCTCTCAGTAGACTCTTTTCCTACTACCCTGTCCTCATGGGAGATGGAGAGTGTCTGTCCACAGTTCCCAACTTCATACTCCAGCAATGTGGAAAACTGGTTCTTGAAGGTTTAACTCCCTGTCTCTAGGGGAGACCCTGATTGACCCCATTTGGGTCAGATAGCCACTCAGATCTCACCAGTGGTGCACTGAACTCTCCTCATACCAGCTCCCAAGAGTGGATTGTTAAATTCCTAAGAATTTTGATGAGAAGGTTGTTAAACACAACATTTATTAAAAATGAAATTAAACTTACGATTAAATAACAATTACTCAAAACTGATTGCTTCCTAATTATTTTAATACATTTTACTCTTATTTGTGCTTTTGAAGTTATATATGCCTATTGCATTTCTGGTGAAATTAGGCTATTATGGGGTGCTACTTATTGTACAACTTTTGAGCTCTCCATTCAGGGACATAGTGTCGGAAAGTTGAAATCAACCACAGTGGGAGAATTTACACCAGGGAAATCGGCTAACACTACAAATCAAAGTTTTTTGCTTTTTTTTTTCCTCAAGAGTTGGTTGTCAGGCATTTACCATCACATCGCTTAATCAAATCCCCTCTAGGTGGCTATGGGGCCTGCTTCCTCTCCCCGTGAAAAGGGCACTAACAGCATCCCACTCCATGCATGGGTCATGAGAGTGAGATGATTGGGGAGTCACTGTGAGATGGATTATACCCACCAAAATCTAAAGGTTTCCTTATGTACAAAGAAAATATCCTGGTGATTATTCATTTGTCTTTACATCTGATGTTATAAAATGCCACAAGAAAGACTCAGACACACAATTTGGCAACTGTGACGATTACGATGATGGCGGTAGTGATGGTGTGGCAGCTAACATTTATTGTGCATTATTTTGAGAGCTTTATGTATATGAAGCTCATTTGATCCTCAGAACACCTATCATTCAAACCAAATGCAATTTAATTCAGCAAGTATTTATCAAGTACCTAATATCTGCCAGCTACTGTTCTAAAAGTGTGAGATCTATCAGTGAGCAAAATAGAGATCCCTTTGTGGTTACATTCCTTCTGGGGCAGACAAACGATAAACACCATAAAGTTACACATTATAGCATGTAGTAGAAGGTGATGCATGAGATGGAATAAAGCCGAGAGAGACAGAAGGGTAAGAGAAACTGAAAGGTCTGGAGTTGGTGGCAGGTTGCAATTTTAAATGGGATGGTTAGGGTAGAACTCATTGAGAGGATATTTAAGCAAAGAGTTGAAGGAGGCGAAAGCATTGCCTTTGTGGATATTTAAGGAGAAGAGCATTCCAGGGAGAGAGAACTGCAAGTACAAAGGCCCTAAAGTGGAAGTATACTTTGTGTGTTAAAGAAACATTGAAGAATTCACCATGGCTGGAGCTGAATGGGCAAGGGGAAGAGAAGTAGGAGGTCATAGAGGTAAGGGAGGTGGGTGTTAGATCACCTTGCAGGCCCTTGTAAGAACATGGGCTTTTACCTTGAATGAAAGGAGGAGCCATCTGACGACCTTGAGCAGAGGAGTAACATGATCTCACCTGGGTTTCAGATGAGATCAGAAGGATTTCTCTGGCTTTTGGGTTGAGAATAGGCAGCACGAAAGCAAGGGCAGATCAAGGGCTATTGCCATGATCTAGGTGAGAAATGCTGTTAGCACTGACTAGGGTGGCAGCAATGGGGAGATAAGAAGTGGTTGGGGTTGGATTCTGTGTACATTTAGGAGGAAGCACCAAGAAGATTTCCTGATGGGTTAGAAGAAGGCTGTAAAAGAGAGGGAGTTCAAGATGACCTCCCAGTACTTTTTTCTTGAGCAAATGGAGGGATGAAGTTGCCATTAACTGAAATGCCTAAGGCTGAGGGATGAGCAGATTTAGAGGAGAAAAACAGTTGGACTTAATTGATTTTCAGAGGTCTATTAAAAATTCAAGTGAAGATGCTGATTAGCCCATTGGATATTCAAGTTTGGATTTTGGAAGGGACGTCTGAGCTAGGCATACAAATCTGGGACTCCTTGGGACATAGATGGTATTTAAAGCCATGAAACTGGATCTGGTTACCAAGAGAATGAGGATAATGACCCGTAGGAGAGAGAATTAGTGATGATGCAAGAGAGGAAGGGAGAATAGATGGAGAGAGAGCCTTCTGTTGGCACGAATAGGATCTAGTATGAAGTAAAGTGTTTCACTTCAGATAAGAGGATGAGTGGTTTATGCATGGTAACTAGAAGGCAGAATATGAAAATGCAGAAGCTGGTTGATGGGTACAAGTGATAGTCAGGAGTCCTTGGAAGTTCACTTCTGAATCCTTCATTTTTCTTGGTGAAGTAGGAAGCCAAGCCCTCCGCAAAAAGTGAGGATGGGGAAGAGGCATTGATGGTTTGAGATGAAACGAGAAAATGTCATAGTCACTTTGGAGTGTGAGACAGCACATGGATAGATAAGCACACTGATGGCCTGGCAGCGTAACAGCGCATTTGAGATCCTTGATCATGAGGTGGTGCATTAGTCCATTTTCACGCTGTTATGATGAAATACCGAAGACTGGGTAATTTATAAAGAACAGAGGTTTAATTGACTGACAGTTCCACATGGCTGGGGTGACCTCATGAAACTTAAAATCATGGCAGAAGGCCCCCCCTTTACAGGGTGGCAGGAGAGAGAATGAGTGCTGAGCAAAGGGGGAAGACCCTTATAAAACCATCAGATCTGGTGAGAACTCACTCACTATTATGGGAACAGCATGAGGGAAACTGCCTCCATGATTCAATTATCTCCACCTGGTCTCACCCTTGACATGTGAAGATTATAACAATTCAAGGTGAGATTTGGGTGGGGACACAGAGCTAAACCATATCAGGTGAGTACAATTATTATTCCCATTACAATAAGGAAATGTAGGCACAAAGAGATTAGGTTAGTTGACTAAGGCTACACTCCTAGTAAGTGGGGAGTGAGGATTCAGATTCAGGCAGCTTAGTTCCAGCCCTCCTCTTATGTACCAGAGATATGCTTTCAGAGTTAACTAATGAATGACTGATTTCTGCTTCTGGTGATGACTACTATATTACTCCATTTTCACGCTGCTGGTAAAGACATACCTGAGGCTGGGTAATTTATAAAGAAAAAGAGGTTTAATGGACTCAGTTCCACATAGCTGGGGAGGCCTCACAATCGTGGTGGAAGACAAAGAAAGAGCAAAGGAAGGTCTTACATGGCCACAGGCAAAGAGAGAATGAGAGCCAAACGAAAAGGGTCTCCCCATATAAAACCATCAGGTCTCATGAGACTTATTCACTACAATGAGAACAGTATGGGAGAACCACCCCCATGATTCAATTATCTCCCCCTGGGGTCCCTCCCATAACACGTGGGAGCTACAATTCAAGACAAGATTTGGGTGGGGACGCAGACAAACCGTATCAACTACTAAGATAACAATATTCTGTCTTTGTTTTTTTTTTTAATCTTTTTTAGAGACAGGGTCTCACTCTGTTGCCCAGGCTGGAATGCAGTGGTACAATCATAGCTCACTGTAACCTCCAACTCATGGGCTCAGGCCATTTTCCCACTTCAGCCTTCCAAGTAGCTGGGATTACAGGTGCATGCCACATATCCAGTCAATTTTTAAATTTTTTATAGAAGCAGGGTCTCACTATGTTGCCCAGGCTGGTCTCAAACTCCTGGTCTTAAGCAATCTTCCTGCCTCAGCCTCCAAACATGCTGGGATTACAGGTATGAACCACTGTGCACAGCCTAAAAATAACAATATTCTATCAGTAGGACATAGCAAATCTGCAGTTCACATCCATCAAAGGAAATATTCTTTTTTTTTTTTTTTTTTTTTTTGAGACAGGGTTTTGGTCTGTCACCCAGGCTGGAGTGCAGTGGCATGATCATAGCTTACTGTAACCTCTAGCTCATGGGCTCAAGCCATCCTCCTGCCTCAGCCTCCTGAGTAGCTGGGACAATAGGCGTGTGCTGCCATACCCAGCTAACTTTTGAAATTTTTATAGACATGGGGTTTCACTACATTGCCCAGGCTGGTCTTGAACTCCTGAGCTCAGGCAGTCCCCCCACCTCATCCTCCTAAAGTGCTGTAATTACAGGAGTGAGCCATTACACCTGGCCAGGAAATATTCTTAATTAAAAAAACAAGACAATTCCTGCATAAAAATTGTCGCATAAGAAAGGCAGAGAAGTAAGTTCTGGATTAGTGTTTTTTGAAGGGGAAGTTATTATTGAAAGGTTTTCAAAAGCATATAAATAGCAAAAGACGTTGACCTGAAAGGTTAGAAGAGAATCATCTGGACATACTGAGCACTGGGGATATATTTAGCGGCACTGAGGGCAAAGAAGGGTGGCCAAGGCTGTGGCTGTGCCAAGACTGAGCCCAAAACCAATTAGACTGGCAACAAAGATTTATATTAGGAAAGGCAAGACATCTTGAATCTCTAAAAAGCCATGCAACTGGTAAGTTTCCCAACAAATAGTGACAGCTTGGAAGAAAAAAGCTATTTGGCATGTTTGACCAAAAATACTGTATACCCCTGTTTCATCTCTCCCGTTAGGAGCATAAAAACAACTTTTAGGTTTTCAGCATGTTGGCATGTTTCTCCAGTGCAGAACTGTCCCAGCTGGCAACTGGATGTTTAGCCTTAACCAAGGGGCAGAATTCAATTCACGTCCACACCTGGTTGTCAAGTATTTTCTGGGCAGACACTGGGGTTATGAAGACAAATAAAATGCAGGCATGACCTCATAAAGATTGTAATATAAAGATAATATAGATAAGCACACAAACAATCATGTTGCAGTGTGAAAAGTGCATGGACAGCAAAATGTATAAAAGACAGCACCTCAGAAGGTGTAATGAGCTTTTCTTAATCAATGAAAGCCTGCAGAAAATTGAGGAATGTTGATAGGGTTAAAATCATAGTGTAGAATCTTGCTCCTTAAAAGGAGTCCCAAAAGGGGTCCACAGACCCCTTTGGCATCATTTTGGGAGCTTCATAAGTATATTACAGTGTCTGAACTCTAATTTGGAAACCTGAAATGCCTATTGTAACTTTTGTAACTATTGTAACTTTTGGAATGAGAGAAGTAGTTTATCAGACGTGGAAAACATCTCTGGAAGTACTGGTCACACCTGAGCTGCTTAGAGGAGGTAATTAACTTCCGTTTGGCTGTGTTCCCATATTGTTTGGCTGTGTCCCCACCCAAATCTCATCTTGAGCTGTAGCTTCTGTAATTCCCAATTTTTGTGGGACAGACCCAGTGGGAGATAAGTAGGGGGGCAATTTCCCCCATACTGTTCTCATGGTAGTGAATAAGTCTCACGAGATCTGATTATTTTATAAGGGGAAACCCTTTCACTTGGTTCTCATTCTCTCTCTTGCCTGCCACCATGTAAGACGTGACTTTTGCCTTCCACCATGCTTGTGAGGCCTCCCCAGCCACGTGGAACTGTGAGACCATTAAACCTCTTTTTGTCTGTAATTTACCCAGTCTCAGCTATGTCTCTATCAGCAGCGTGAAAACAGGCTAATATGTTAACCAAGGACACAAGCGATACATTTCAACTATCAAATACAATGGAGTGGTTCCACCCCAACACACACACACACCCAAAATACTTCCTCATAGAGCTGAATTTTGCACATGTGGGGAATTACTTTCTAAGAAATTTCTGCTGCCTGGTTGCTACGCGTCATCACACAGCCTATGATCCCCTAATGAAGCCACGGAGAAACAGGTGCATCAGTTGGGATGCTTGCAAATGACACAATTATTTCGAGCACTCTGAATCAGGAATTTGGAGGGTGAACGTCATTTTCCACCGAATTACTATCTAGGTGAAGGTGTAAATTTACAGTGCCATTGACTTCCTCAGAGGTATGACTCTTTCTGGAATTATTCTTTAGATTCTGACGGATATTTTCCCATTTGTCCCCTGGACAAGGGGCACTGGCCAGAGAGTAGTTTCATCAAGCCTACTAGCTGACCTCAGCAGGCTCCCAGGAGGCAGGAGCCAAGCAGGTCTTTGCTGTCTCTGAGTGTCACTGCTGCCGGGGACCTGCCAGTAACCTCCCTGCCTGGGTGGGTGCCATGCTAAGTTTCTCTCTTTGGGAGGCTGTTTGAACACATCACATGAGTGAAACCCGCTGAATTGGCTTCTCTAGAACGGACACAATATTTTTTATTAATCCTGTTCCTTGGCACCAAACCCTTTGATTTCTTGTCCTTTCTTATAGAGGCATTTTAAGAGCATATCTGAAATTAATAGCAAATCCTTTGACCAGGGCAGCTTTTCCCTCAGCAGCCACTCGGTCCACTGGGCAAAATTATCACAAACATACAAGGGGTCTAACTGGCGGAATGAAATACAGGACTGACCAACGTCCAGATAATTTAGGCCCTCAATGTATTTCACTCTATTTTCAAAGTAGAGGAAAAACTGCCCACCTCTAGCCTCATCACGAGTATTGTTTTCCTAGAATGTATTTATGCTGTGTGACCTCTTTCTTGGCAAACTCATATTTTATTCTTTGTTGTCCTCAAGGAAACCCCTAGCTTATTAATTGTTAAACATGTTATGGAACTGGGGATTCGTTACAGGCTGTTCTCAATTCAGAAGGTTGGACAGCCAGATGCCTGTCCTGCATCCAGGAGGTTGATGTTCTGTAATGTATCATTATACTGTAGCTGGTGTCATGAAGCTGCAGTCCTGTGTGTGATTCCCATGGTGCCAGTTACCTTGGTTCTCTGGCTACAGACCATAACTCCATCCTGATACTGTGCTTCAAATGTTTGGTGTTGGTCAAAACAAGACTGAACAAGAGGCTATGGCCAACACATCGTCACTACTTCAGGAATAAGAGTTCATAGCACATTTCCTTAGCATTAATGTATATTTCCAGGCTTTCTTCAAGCCTTCCCCAGACAGCTGAATTCTCCCCCTTCCGACTCCCTCCTGCACTTTTCTACTCTAATGATTGCTTATCCCATGCTACTTTAGATTTCAGTAATTAGTGTCCACGCATTAATTTCCCTGCTGGGATTGTAAACTCCTTGAAGACATAGACCATATTGAATACATTTTTCTACCTCTTACGGTGTTTTTGCATCCTCAATAAATAGTTGTTGAAAGCATAGATAGAAGGATGGATGGTTGGAGAAATGGATGAATGAATATGTGTGTAAGTTATCTTTGCAAATTTGTTGGCTAGTACTGCTATTGATATCCATCAAGGACAGATAACTCAGAGATGTAAAATATAGTGTAATAATCGTGCCTGATAATGATGCTACATCTTCCACAAAACTCATAAATCTGATAAGGTAGTGTACATTAAATACCCATAATACAGTGATAATGCATCGAATTTCCCTTCCCACGAACAGAACCAAATCCTTGCAGATGTTTCCCATATGTCAAAGCTCTCCAGGAGGCCGCTCCCATTTTAGAGAAAAGGATACTAAAATGTAGAGCAGTTGAATTGTTCTGCATCACACAGTACATCATAGGATCAGTGGAATTAGTGGGTGTATTAGTTTTCTATTGATACATAACAAATTACTCCAAGATTTAGCAGAAACAACAACAAGCATCTATTATGTCAGTTTCCCTGGGTCAGGAGTTTGGATTTATGTAGGTTAGCTGGGTGCCTCTGACTCAAGTCTCTCTTTAGGCTGCTATCAAGAGGTTGGCTGTGGCCATCATTTCAAGGCTTGGGTAGGGAGGATCCATTTCCAAGTTCACACACGTGACTGGTGGCAGGTCTTGGGTCCCCACTGACTGGTGGCTGGAGCTATGCATTCCTGGCCTTCTGGGCCTTTCCACAGGGGCAGCTAACACATGGTAGCTTGCTTCCTCCAGAGTGAGGGCCCTGACAGAGTGAAAGAGAGCAAGGAAGACAGAAGCCACAGCCTTTTAGTAGCTTAGCCTCAGAAGTGACAACCCATAACATTTGCCATATTCTATTCGACTGAAGTGAGCCCCTAGGTCCCTCCTATACTCAAGGGGAGGGAGTGACATAAGCGCCCAAGTACCAGGAGACCGGACTCACTGGAGAAGTTCTCAGACATTGTCAACTACAGTAGGTCCCCAAGGCTCTCAGAGGGACCATCAGTGACCTGCCTCTTGCCTGTCTGTATGTACAGTATTTAGTCAGAAGGTGGTGCCAAATAGGAGTTCATAGACACAACCTGTCTCAAAAGTACAACCTCTTTTCTCCTTTTTGACAGAATGCAAGGTAAATGGGGCCTCTTGCTGGGAAGTTCTGTCAACAACCCTTCACATCCTGAGTGTCACCTAAGCCTCCTACCTTCACCACCTGAACTCTTTTGAATAGACGTTGATGGATTTCTGGGAAATCAAAAAAACTATATAGTATAGCCTTGCTCTGCATCCACAACGAGCAGCCAGGCTGGAGCTGCCTGAGATGGCAAGATTGCTTTTCCAATGGGATCAGTGATCAAAATGGTGAATGTGTGAGTGGAGAAAGGAAAAAGCCCTTCTTGATGGTTGGTGGAAGTGAAACCCCATTCTCAAACTAGTTGTCTCTTATATTGGAAAGGAATACTTCAAATTCACTAAATTCTCTAGGAGTTTATTCTTTTGTGTCTCTTAAAATGAGGACTGTATAGTAAATGTAATCAAAGAGGTACCGAATACTAGATAAGAAGTAGAGGGTATGTTTAAGCCCCTTTTGCTTCGAATGGTCATTTGCCCTGCAAGTCCACTGCTATTGCCAAATCTCCTTAACTCCTTAAGCAAGATAATGACAGTTTATTAAAGAGCAATTGCTAGATTATTAGCCACTGGGCTTAAAACACTGGAAGTGTCATCATTCTCCTGCTTCCCTTGGCTCAGATAAACATGGTTTAAGCTGCTTCTGAGATGTGAAGTTCACAGCCAGCAGTTCTCCTCATCCCCGCTCAGAATTAACCAATAAATTAGAATAACTAAGTGAGAAAGGGTGAGACAAAGACAGTGTCAAAACTGGAGGCCAGGGCCTGGGTCATTTTGAATATGAAACGAGGCCTGGTTTATGTTTTGTATTTTATAGGTTTTAAAACTAAGCTAAAGTATAACATTAAGGATCAAGGTCAGGGTGTTATCTTTTGTGGGGTGAACAGGGTGGGGGTGGCGAGGTCACAGCTTACGCTCAAGACTTGGCCCCTCCTTTCTCTGTAACATTTATTTTCTGGAGCTTCTGTCTAATTAATATAAGGCCTTGCTAGAGCGCACTGGCCCTCATTGGGCCTGTCACTCGTTAATCAAGCGACCCTTCTAGCCTTGGGTAATGACCTTGAAAGAATATATCAGCCCATGATGGCGGAAGTGAGGAATTAAATTGTTTCTCTGAGTGCTTATGGTCATTGCTGACAATTTATATCTCACAGCTGCCCTGGACTGGCCACGCTGGCCATTGTGCGGCAATCATTTTCCTGGCCAAGAATGGATTGTGTGCCGGACAGGGACCAAGCTGGCTTCCTGCACGTCCTCATCTTTATGTTATTTCCTTCCCCGTCCCCAACCACCTTCTTTTAATCATGTCTTTGTTTGAGAGGCAGGGATTGTACAAAGTTAAAAGCTTTGTCATTAAGGCCACCAAGAGGCAGAAGCTTGGGGTAAATCGTGTGTCTGGCTCTCACCTGCTTTTGTCTCCGAACACACTGCTTTCGCCTCTGCTGATGTAAGGCTTAAAAGGGAAGTGTCTTGAGAATTATGTTAGCTCAAAACTCCTAAGAGAAAAATTACTAGAAATATTAAAAGGTTGCAAGGGGTGTATTTTGTACAAGTGATTAAGCCTGAACCCTTCCTTGGTCTCTCTAGGAGGTCGGGGAGATATTGGCTGCTGGTCCTGAGGGGAACAGGCAACGATAGGGACTTCCATCCTTTTACCTTTTATGGTGGTGTATTTAGACTTAGTGGTATCTTGGGGTACACTGGTGTGCAGCTAAAATTGTACCCTTGTACCAAGATGCATGTTGTCTGTACCTGAAATTAAGCACTGGATGTCCACGCGGAGTTTGTGCACCCCTTCTCTTCTGTTTGTTCTTCTTGAAACTAAGTAAGTGAATTTTAAGACCTCTTTTCCGTGAGATCCTCTTTTTCATCACTTTATTAGATAGGGTTGAGTTTGCACAAGAATTAAGAGGGAGGGTCTTCTCATTAGCTAAACTCCAGCAAACAAATCGCGTCCCTTTCCATATCTACTTTTAAGCTACATGTTACTGGATTTTGTGTGGAAAGCTTTATAAATACAGTGGCGTGACTTTGGCTTGTCCTGGGTTTTGTCTTGTATGTAGACATGACTTAGTGATCAGTAAATGTAAGTGCTAAAACCTGAAAGAAGAAAAATCGCCAACAGGAATCTCCCCAGGTCGGGAGAGAATTAACTGTACGTAAAACCGAAGCTTGACTTGTAATGCCCTCATGTCGCTGGTTTGCCCTGGTCTCTTTCTCCTTATTGAGCAATGCCTTCCATAGGCAGGGAAAATTTTTTTTCCTTGTGTCTTTACGGCATGGGGGTTTCTACCAGTCACAGCTCTACCTCGAACCTGGAGACAGTCCTTCTTACGTGACCATGTTGTGTAGAGTGTTTAGCTGAAGGAAATGGACAATGAGAAGAGCTTCTGTTTAATTGCTCAAGCATACTGGCCCTCTGTGAAAATAGAGCAAATATTCATTCTGCCCTCAGCCCACCTGGGGAAAGACTGTGTACAAATATGGAAAACGAAGACCTCTGACCACACAGATGACTCTGAAGGCAGAAGAGCAGAATACCAGCTGACCACTTGCACACTAACCCTAATAAGAGTCGCATCTAGAGGTTTGCTCTTTAAGCAGGGAGCTCACGGAAGGCCAGGGCTGCATCAGTTTGATCTTTGAATTCTTTACCACAGCAAATCTAGAGGCTTCCGTAGAGTAGGACACTAGAGAGAAATGAGATGCGTTGAGTGCTGGAATTAGTTCATTCATTCCAGAACGTGAGAATCAAGAACATGCGAATCAGAACATGAGAATCAAGCTGTTTTCACAGCTCTTTGGGAAGTGGTAGGGACAGAAGGGCCACAAAGATGATTTCTGCCCTTCTGCCTTTCTGTTTTCATCCCGTGCATATGTTGTCATGGAAAGGCCGCAAGACTTCAGTTGATGTTTTACGATGCCTCCCTTAAACTCCAACTTTGCAAGAATCACCTGTTCAATGAAGGGGTTGGACTTGCTAATCTCTATGGTTCTTCCTAGCATGGCATTTCTGTAATTCTAGTGGACTTCCTGTCACTTTCTGAGGGAGAAAGCCAAGTAATAGGAAAAGAATGTGTTTATGTATAAAAAATGGCCAGTGTTGCCTGTATGCCTTGCACATGGTAGGTGCACAGAGAGATGGCTTGGACTGGCTGGTGGAAGGAATCAGCTGACAGATGAGAAATTACTCTATTTAAATCACCCAGCCTACTGTCCTTCCCTTATGCGAACATTCATGCCAACCCCTTACTATGGTTCCTGGCACAGCAGAGCTGCCAGGATGCTATTTTTCTGATATATACTTCTAATAATAAGGCTACTATTTACTGGAAGAGTTTACAAACTGAAATGACAGATTTTGAAACTTTCATTTGCTTTTCTTCTGAAGTTTTCAAAATCAGTTGACCATCCCCTTTTGCACAGTGAGTTGGCTGGAATTTTTTTTAACCACCTCTGCTTCTATATTTTCAATGGTGGATGTCTGAATTGCCACATCTAAATATTGTAAGTTTGTTTAATAAAGGATAGAGTTTCATCAGAACAGGAACGAGGTAGATGCAAGGACAAAACAAAAGGAGGGGAAATTCAGGAAGAAGTGAAAGAGAAAAGACTTTATCCATCTCCTTTATTTTCTTTATTTGCCTTTCTTTCCTTCAGAATATACATATGAAAAAAAAAAAAAAAACCCAGCTTCCATTCCCTGCCCCCTACCCCCAGCACTGTGTAAATTGCAGTGAAATATGCCAAGGATCCAGGGTGAGGGGCCATTTGCAAGGCTGATTTTGCCAAAATGCCACTGGGTGTAAAGCATACCCCCATGTATGTCAATGAACTCAGAACATGGGACAGGGCCACCCTGCACAGGAAGACAGCACCAACCCCGCCTCTAGGGTGGCAGGCACATCACATGCTGTCAGCAGAGCATATAAAACCCAGGGAGGTCACATCTGGTCATGAGTTCAGAAACCACGTAGTAACTATGTCAGGGCTGAAATTGGAGTGGGAAGAGATCTCATTGTACCAAGCAGGTGCTGTGTTCCAAGAGTTCTTTGCTAAAGAGCTTTCGTGTGTTTATTTGCTCGTTTAGCCTGAATAACAAATTTGCCAAATTATAATAAATCCCAAATCATTTCAGAAGAAGTCTTGTGTTATGTTCCCATATTATGGGAGAGAGGAGGAGAAATAAAGGCACAGTGAAACTCCCTTTCCTTGTGATATGGTTTGGCTGTGTCCCTACCCAAATCTTATCTTGAATTGTAGTTCCCATAATTGCCACCGTGTTGTGGGAGGGACCCAGTGGGAGGTAATTGAATTATGGGCGCAGTTACCTGCATGCTGATCTCCTGATAGTGAGTGAATTCTCAGGAGATCTGATGGTTTTATAAGGAGCTTCCCCATGCCCCGCTTCACTCATTCTTCTCCTTGCTGCCACCACATGTAGAAGGATGTGTTTGCTTCCCCTTCCACCATGATTGTAAGTTTCCTGAGGCCTCCCCAGCCAGGTGGAACTGGGAGTCAGTTAAATCTCTTTCCTTTATAAATTACCCAGTCTTGGATATGTCTTTATTAGCAGTGTGAGAACAGACTAATACACCTTGGCACAGAGTAGACACAAGGCACAGCTTGACAGTAAGGGAGGTGGTCTTTAGGGCACCCTGTCCTCAGGATCCCTAGGCCCTCTTGCCCTAAATTTCCTGCCCGGTTTCCTGCTCTGGGATTGGACATGGTCTGGGCTGCTTAGTCAACTAAGTTCCCCTCTCCCAAGTAACCTCCTCCCTCACTGCCCCAGATCATTAACCATTTTCCCGAATCCCAGTTCTGTACCAGATCCTGGGCTATGGATAATGGCATATGGGATACACAAAATGCCTAGGAACTCCCCCCATTCCTTAGCAGACCCGATTTCAAGTTAGACAAAGAGAAACCTCTGTGGAAATCAGAATCCAATTGAACAAGCGTTTCCTGAACAAGAAGACCAGAACGTATTTCATCTTCACAATAATGCTTCAAAGGAAGTTCATTATGTCTGTTTTATGTCTTTGCTTTTTCCAGCCATGGTTGTAATACTTTAAAGATGCTTTTAAATTCAAATGAATTTCTGATTTATCAGTTCCCAATTTTTCACAATTAATTTTTTAAAATCTGGTATTTGTTATGCTCAAAATCAATGGACATCCATGCTGTGATGTCAAACTTCATTGACGGAATAATAATGAATTCTCTTTCCTATATTCATTAAGTAAAGGCATATATAACTGACAATCAGAGCTTCTGTGCATCATTAGATAACCAAGGCTGCCATGCAAACTTGCTATTTTTTTGGCAAAAGGGAACGGAAGTTGACATTTTCATCAAGGCTTGTGAAATCTTTCTTATTATGGGAAAATAAATACTACCTCAGCAGAGTCAGAATTCTAAGGACCCAGGGCTGGAAATTGCTACTTTCATTGGTGGAATTTTAGGGATTATAATAAGCAAAAGTGAAAAAATGTGGTGATTATGAGTATCTGCCATTTTGATCAGAGTTCCAAGTTTATTGTTTACTAAAATTCATTTTAATAAAATTTAAAATGCTACTATATAAAAAATTATTTTAGATTTAAATTTTTTTATTTTAAATTATTTAAAAATTCTTCTTAAAATTCCTGGAGTTTTCCCAGATTTCCACCCCTTTCTACGTTCACTACATTTTCTCACAACGGCCTCTATGAGAGCCACCGGCGAAAAGGAGAGTGATGTGGGGCTTGGGGACAGAACAAGTATGAGAGTCAGTGTGAGACAGAGACATCACCACCCTACCTCCTACCCTGCCCGCCCTGTCTGTAGGGTTTATCTGTTTATACAAGTGAGAGATTACCAGTACTATTGTGGTAGGTTCAGAGTTAGTGGCACAGTGACTAAGTGGAACAAATGATCATTACTATCATTATTATTATTGCTATTATCAATGGCAGCTCATATTCCTCAAGCTTATTATGTGCCAAACTCCATTCTAAACCCTTTACAACAAACCTTTAAGGTAGATATGATTGTCTGCATCTTGTGGATGAGATTGCTCCACAAGAAAGTGGCAGAACCTTTTGAACATCTGAGCTCTAAATCTGCTACATAGGGGTAACCAACCAACTAACCAACCAGCCACAACAAGACATAGTTTAAGCTTGATAATTGAAGGCTGGGATTCCTTAACTGCCTTAAAAATCAGGTGGCTATTTGAGATTTTTTCGTTCATTTGTTTTGATTTTGTTCTTTGGATGATGATGTTCTGAAGTATTGAATCCAGGATTCTGGAATTCTGAAGGGTCCAAGGATTATTTTGTACACCGTGTTTTGTGATAGTTTTCCTGGTCCCTCTAACTTGCTTGAGAGTTTATATCTTCACTCTCTTCAGAACTATTAGCTGTGCCAACATATTATCAGTATCACTTTGGTGTAGAATGATCTCTGTCCTTTTTTTCTCTGTATTATTTTATAAACTCTTCAAAGGCAGAATCTATGTCTTCATAATCATCTTTTATTTTTCCAGTGTAAATAGTAGGTGCTAAATAAATATATGTTAAATTAAATTGATTTTGTGTAAATTTGCATTTAACACCATAGGTGACTTGGTTTATTCATTCAATTAACATTTATTTCATGTATGTCTACTATGTATGCTTGCTAGACACCAGATGTTTGTACAAAGAATGCGTGAGACAGTAGACTTCTTCCAGAGCAGACAGGGCTTGGTGGTGAGAGAGCCAGATGGAGAATTTGAAGGTGCATCAGCTGTTCCTCTAAGCCCATTGAAAGAAGCCCAACATTTATAAACTGAAATTTACCAAGACAATTATTTCATAATTACATAATTTTTCTAAAAATTCCTCATCTGGTAAAAGCTCACAGTTAATTTTTACTTAATACATGAATTTAGAAAAACTTAAGTTTGCTAGGCTATGCCTTTGTAATTTTAGTTTTCATCTTAGATGAAGACAAAGGATTATATAATTCCAATTTTAATTTATAGAATTTGGTGCAATTTATGGAAAGTTCAGAAAATGAGATTTCAGGGATTAGACATAGTCATAAAACATCACAATTGTAGAAACACCCAAGTATATTCCATTACATCTTTTTAAGAGTGAGATTTGAAGCAACACTTTGAAAATGGGTTCATTATCTTAAAGAAGGCCTCATTTTTCTATTTCAAACTTGAGTTTGTGAAAAAGTGCCTGGTGTGAAATTAAATCAAGTTTACAATGAGTCTATTTAAACCAACCCCAAATGGCAGCAGTTTCCATACATTCTTTTATCTTTAAATATGTGATCTGCCTCATATTAAAATACCATAATTTTAATTTCTAAAAAAACAGGCATAAGTTTTCTTCACTCCAATTACACTGCTAGTAAACATACTTCATTTCCTAGAAACTTTTGTTTTGAAAAATGAAACGACCTTAATTCCTAGTAGTTTGTGAGCAATGCCACTTCCATATCTGAGTACGGTTTGCTAATCAAATGGTGTCTTGGAGGCAAGTAACCCCTGGTAAAGGAAGTAGAAGTCAGTGGAATGGTAACACTTCAACCCCTCTAGTGGGAGTACTCCTAACAGGAGTATTGAGGCTGCCTTCTGGAACCTTCAACCTTTGAAGTCCCTGGGAATAGAGACTCTGATGAAGCAAGAATAAAAAGACAAGACAGGTGGCATGTGACCAGGAAGAACCAGGGACAGAGAACGGTGGTCTCCTTTGGGAGGTAGAAAATGGGACGGAAAGAAATTCCAATCAACCAAGGTACAAAGCTCAAAGGTACATCATTCTGAAAGTAGGACAACTTATGGATGAGAATGAATCACGGGCCCAAGGTAGGGAAGAATGGGAGGAAGTTAATAAGGAAGAATTTTTTTAAAAAAACAAGGCAGATAATAATTGATAAATAAATAGGTATTTTAGAGATATGTAGAAAAACATTTTAAAAATTTATAGAATAATCCTAAAAAGAGACTGATTAAATGTTGAATGTTTAATCCCAGATAACTGAAGAAGAAATGGGTTTATAACCAATAATGTAGAAAATATCTTTTTTTTTAATGGAAAATTTCTGTCTTCTGATTTACTGGTGGTTTAACTGTTTGTCATAAATAACCATCAATTAGAAATACTGGAGAAAATTCCTGGGCTTCAGATCAAGAAGAATGGGTCATTTTCAACCGTCTGGAATTCAGCAGATCTCCCCTTTATTCTCGAGAAGTTGATGAGCTTGGAAATGTTTACATCTATCTGCTTACTTAAATGACTTGGGAAATTCACATTTTCCATTAGTAGACAGTGAATACCACTTAGTGCCTTTGAGACATTCCTGGACTTTGCAAAATCTCCTTGCCTTCGCTGCTTTGCCTCTTATGTGCCACGAATCTCTCTTGGTGCTTTTCATTCCATGGCATAATAGCCACTGTTCTGTTTAGCTGGGAAGACATGTTAACCTTTTAATGGCAAACTGGTCACCAAGTGCCTATCCAATGCTTTTCGAAGACTTTGTTGGACTCAGAAATGAATGCAGGCAATACGGCAGAACGGGGAAAAAGCAGCCGAAGGATAATTTATGTTAGATAGATGGGTTTCTTTTTTTTCTTTCGGCAAAACCTGAAAGCATTTGCTCAAAATTGTTATTAGAGGAGTTTGCTGTATCTCCCTCTTTGGAGGTCTTTAAAATTCCTGTGTCTGCATAGTGGTTAAATATGTCTTGCTCGGGGCAGAGTCTTCCCCCTGTCAGACCAGGAGCTAACTGTCCCTCTCTGCTGAGGTTTGGACTGACACATCTCCTCTCAGTCCCCTGAATGGGAAATTAATGATGATTTCTCCTCATGAAAGGTTAGGGACCTGTGGATAAGGTGACTTCCCAGAATCTGCCATTTGGCAAAGGGTAATTGAACCAGGCAATAAAAAAGGAACTAATGGGAAAATAACAGAAGTAAATCCTAGTTGTATATGTCCTTATTCAGGGAAATAAGACCTAGCTACATGAAAAAATAAATAACATTTCTAAACACTGTATGCTGAGTCTTAGATCAGCACTTTAAGTAGTCCAGCGAAAGAAGGCGATGATCTCAGTGACTAGCAATGATCCATGTTTAAGTGACCTGCCTGTATCCCTGAGACCTGTCCAATATGGTAGACCATAGTCTCTGTGGCTAACGAGCACCTGAAATGTGGCTAGTCCTAACTGAGATATGTAGAGTATAAAATATATTGCAGATTTCAAAAACTTAGCACCAAAGAAAGTTAGCATCTCAATAATTTGTTTACGTTGATTATGTGTTGAAATAATAGTAACCTGGGTAATATACTGGGCTGAATAAAATGTACAACAATAATTAATAATAAAACACATTATTAAAGTTAATTTCACTTATTTTTTTATGTTTTTTAATGTGGCTACTAGAAAACTTAAAATTATATATGCAGGTTGCATTTGGGACTCACGTGATATTTCTGTTAGAAAACACTGCTTTAGACCTGAGCAACTGAGGATGTACATCGCTGTACCTGAGGGCTGCTTCTGGTGTTATACCAGATTAAAGTGATTGGGAATTTATATTCTCTCCTTTTTCCCTCTACCAATAACTGTCAGGAGTTGGTGTATAAATACCCCAGCTCCCTCACCTCATAGGTGGGATAGTTGAAAGATACTATGTTTGCTACATTTCTAATATTTTTCCTACAGTTCCTCATTGTGGTTTCACTCTTTGCTGCTCCTCCCTGCTCCTCCCAAATAAATTTGATGCTCTCAGATTTCTTGCCTGGTGACTGAAACAACTAACTCAAACTGGGGTAGTGAGGGAAGAAAACTGTAGTGTTAGAGATGGCATTTGAAAGGTAGATGGGATTTGC
Source organism: Homo sapiens (assembly GCF_000001405.40). Lineage (NCBI taxonomy): Eukaryota > Metazoa > Chordata > Mammalia > Primates > Hominidae > Homo > Homo sapiens. The sequence goes on along the minus strand of NC_000016.10, from coordinate 73,517,437 downwards.
AAAGGTCAATGAGAAGGGACATTCATCTGTACATTTATTCATCCATGAATTTTGTAGATGGATATGGAGAAAAATATGAAGGTAGAAATGGCCAAGTCTGTTGAGGGAGCATGAGATGATAAATATTTCTAGTGCAAAGGAAATGAGTGAGCCATAGAGGTAGAAAAATGCAGAGATCCCCAAACAGGGATGGCCTAGATTGCTTTGGAATTTAGTAGTCCACAGGAAGCTTCTGGTTGAAGGTGATGGACGGTAGAACAATACAGTCACTACGGCGCTTTGGAGGTTATCACTTTAACGGGAATATGGGAATGCAGTAAAGCGAGACTGAAGGAAAACAGACCCGCTCAGCCTGATGGATTTGTTATGGGGGGATGAAGACTTCAACGAGGGTGCTAGCAGGCAGAAGTTGAAAGGAATAATTACCCTAAATGTGCACGGTGTTGATCATGCGTTTTTCTGTACTTGATCTCATGTATCAACACAGTGAGGTAAACAAATGCAAAGACACCTCTTAAAGAAAGAAATGACAGACATTGATGTATAACTAGACAGAAAAGTATTCAAGATGAGCCCCACGGTGGGGAGAACAGTGACTTCAATGTCCATCCACCCAAACTATTCAGCACATACTCTCTGTGCAGCTACTGTGTGTCAGACACTGCTCTGGGCCTTGGGAATACAGTCATGAGCAAGTCAGACAGAGCTCCTGCACTCCTGGGTTCATGTGATGAAAATCAATGGAGAACGAAGGAAGAAGAAATTGATTAGAGGAGAAAGGGATGATTTTGGTTTGGGGTATATTGGTTCTGAGGTTCAATTCTCACATGAAAATACCTAGTTCCCTACATATTATTCCAGAGAAGGGGCTGAGCTGGAGGTATGTCTAAGCCTTAAATCCAATGAGGCGATACTGGAAGCTTCTAATCACCACCCTATTGCAGCCACATCTCATGTGTCACAATATAGAACATTTAAACAATCAAATTTGCATACAAGGTAAAGTGGATAAACTTTGGGTACTTGAATATATTTTTGTGTATATGTGAGTTTGTGTATCTCTTATGTGCGGTTAACATACACGTGTATGCATGCACACACACACTCGTATTTTCTTTTCTAACTCTACAGTTCTATGGACATCAGCCACGGTAGGATGTAAGCCCTGGTTACAAAGAACATGCTGCTCTAAGTCCCGCTGTGCAGCCCCAACTCTAAGAGGCGATTTAGTGTGGTTCTCTTTTCTCGCAGTGATTATACTTAGCGTTAGCAATTCGTGTGACTTGTGTAGCTTTTCAAAATGCATTTGTATAGCTCATGGAATGGTATTCTTAAAAGAACCCATGGGTCAGTGTTCAATGATGATGGTGAAGAGTTAGCGACAGAGGTGCTGACATGGTTTCCCCTGTTCTCTGTCTTTGAATATAAATGTATTTCATAGGGATTACTTTGTTCCATGTTATATTCCATGAATGGCAATGACCAATGGAAACAATGTGTTTGCATTTGCACAGAGAATATAATATCTTGACTGACTCTACATCATCTTCCAGATGGGCTTGTTTGACTGAGTTAGCCCATCAGTCCAGCCACATAATCATTGCATTTAAACAGCTGGTCAGATGATCAAAATGGTGAGATATAGATACGGCTCCAAGAAACGTCTCCTAAATAGAGTCCCAGATTCCTCTATGACAGATTTTAAATGATCCCAGATTCCCTCTAGCCATAAATCATTTCAAGGAATTATTTTTCAGCCTCTTCAGTATTACGTACTTCTAAAGAAACTATATCCGTAGGTTCTTGAATTTGTTCTCCTTCAACTCTTTCTCTCCCTCTCTTCCTCTCTCTCTCTCCCTCTTTCTTTCTTTCTCTCTCTTTCTCTCCCTCTCTTCCTCTCTCTCTCTCCCTCTTTCTTTCTTTCTCTCTCTTTCTCTCTCTCCTCTCTGTTTCTTCTTTTTCCTCTCTCTTATCTATCTCTCTCTTTCTCCTCTCTCTTCTCCTCTCTGGTCTTCTCCCTTCCATCTGCTTCTCCATCCTAGTTTAAGCCCTACCACATTGGCACCATCTTTGTGACTAAGGGATCCCTTTACATATTTGACTTGGTCATCCTTAACCAGTACATCCTGCTCCTATTGAAGGTGGTGTGTCTTGCACATCCCCCAGTGCACAGAATTGGTAATTGGCAACTGAGGAAGTTTAACAGAAAGATGAGAAGACTTGTTAAGTTTCCACTGGGCTGCCCTTCTGCACACAAAAATACAATTTAGGTCAATGAAAGTTATGCAGATAAAAGTGTGGACAGGGGTCTTCAGGAAGCACATTTCCTGGCCTGTGCAAGACTCTAAACATTCTGGGAAGGAGCATTCATACCTTGTAATGAATATGCTAGAATTCTTTTTATTTCTTTATTTCTCAAAACTTAAGTCCTTTTGTTTCATGAGAAAAAAGAAATGGAAATATCAATATTGTAAAAATGGCTAAGGGCAGCTCAGTTGTTTATCACCGCATATGTGGGGGAGAGAGAGGAAAAGATGGGAGGAGGGAGGCTGGGATAGGGATCCTGGTAAATAGGTCAGGCACATTGAAAGTTCATGTCAGCTCATTCACTCGTAACAACCTTACCAAGCTCAGCGGCCCACCCACCCCTCACCAGCCTTCCTCCTTGGACTTTTAGGAAGGGAATAGGACAGACATAGAGTGCTTTAGCAGGAGGTAGTCTCAGATCAAGGAGACCTTGGTCACTAAGGCAGAGGTTCGGCTTCTTTGAGCTTCAGCTCGTCACTTGTAAGATGAATAATAACACGTATCTCAAAGAGTTATGATGGTTACATGAGATGATAGGTGCACAGGTTCTTTTTAACCAATAGTAACTAATATCAGTATTGGAATTATAGAATGAGAATAGTAAAAATAATAGTTCAGGATATTCAGCTTCCTTATATATAAAGTAATAATAATAATAATGATGGGACCTAATTCATAGTTATTGTGAAGAATAAATTTGAAAATATGTATAAAATGCCTAGCATAGTGTTGGCATATCACGTAACCACAAATAAATGAAAGCCACTATTATTAATAGTAGCAGCAGCAGCATTAATAATAGTATTCACTTAACAAATACAGACTCATCCTTCACTGTGGCTCTTGTAGCTCCAATATCACTTTTATTTTTTATTTTTTTTTTGAGACGGAGTCTTGCTCTGTCACCCAGGCTGGGGTGCAGGGGCGCAATCTTGGCTCACTGCAACCTCTGCCTCCTGGGCTCAAGGGATTCTTCTGCCTCAGCCTCCCAAGTAGCTGGGACTACAGGTGCGTGCCACCATGTTCAGCTAATTTTTTGTATTTTTAGTAGAGACAGGGTTTCACGGTGTTAGCCAGGAAGGTCTTGATCTCCCCACATTGGGATCTGACTGCCTTGGCCTCCCAAAGTGCTGGGATTACAGCCACTGCACATGGCCTCCAATATCACTTTCTTTGTGCAGCCTTCTTCTGCGTTACCAACCCTTTCTGCCTCTCTGAAACTAATCATCTGGCATAGCCAAGAAGCAAGGAAAGCTGACAGTCCATGGGCTGTGTCCTTCTGCTTGTTCAGCGTCTTCTCTGTGGTGGGCATGAGACAAAGAACCCCATAGGCTTTGTGCTTATTCCCATAAGTCCATCCGTAAGTCTCTTTTTCAGACCTCCTCCTTTTCAATCTTGCAATCTTCCTCCTTCCAGGCTCCTGACCAATGAGGCATTTGCCACTGCTCAGGAGTCTTTGTAAATCTTTATCTCAGACCGTTTTATCCTCACTCCAAATTGAGGACCCAGTGCACAATTCAGAGCTCTGCATTATGAAAGAATTACCCATCACCATTATCTTGTGGGCTGCCCTTGAGGGAGGCTATCAGATCCTGTATAGTTCACATCAACATATTGCCAAACTATCTGTAAACCAGCCCCAAGTTATTTTCTCCATCAGTTGGTCATAGGAAAATGCTCCTACCTTGGGACAATTAGTGTGCATTGAGAGAGGTGTCAGTGCAACAGATTCAGTCAACATGAGGATCTGGCCTCCTGTTCTGGAGCTTCTCAGGCCTGATCCTGAATATTCCTACCATATCCATTATATGATGATATATAGGTTTGCCTACTCAACTTTATGACTCAAGGGCTCTAATAATATCCAGCTACTGAGTGGTAACTGCAGTCACATCATCACCTAGAGCCCCATGGTCAGTGTTCAGTTTCACACCAGGGACTCCTTTTCAAAGAGCTGTCCATCTGTCTCACCCATCAGAACATGCTTTTCATCTATGTGCAGAGATCTCTGGTTGCCAGCTGAGCCTTGCCAGCCATTACAGTAATGATAACCACTCTGCCTTGAGTGATTATGTACCACTATCTGGCCTGTGCTATTCTAGAATTCTATTATCCTCATTGAAACTAGGGAACCCTCTTCTATGATGGCATTTCCATTTGTCCACCCTGATCTACAGAGGTCAGCCACCGATGGGTTTCACACAGATGTTAGTGCCTGCCTGCTTCACTAGTGTGGTCCTTATTGACTTAGTGAAGGGAGTGTCCTCTGGGCCCTCCCAGGCAACATAGTCAGGTAGTGGGTTTCATGTTCTCAAATAATAAATTTATTCTAACATTCCCACCTCCTGACCCTCTGACACTTTCCTGAATGCAAAGCAAAAGCAGTTCTTCTTCTCTTGCCTGTTTACTACAGACCATTGCCGTGGCCAAGCTTTTAAGATCTAGCCCAGGCAGGTACTAAGACTGGCTCCAGGTATCTTTGCCAGACCATCAAACCCTGAGTCATAATGGAACCTTATTTTTCCATTAAATTCTTTGCCCATCTGCCTCCTTTTCCAACTGTTCTGTTCCAATACCCTTTAGATCCATTCTGTAAAAAAAAAATGTTTTAATTACCTTTTTTCTTTTTTTTTTTCCACAGAAGACTTCTGTATAGATCCATTCTTTTTTTTTTTTTTTCTTTTGAGACGGAGTCTCGCTCTGTTGCCAGGCTGGAGTGCAGTGGAGTGATCTTGGCTCACTGCAACCTCCACCTCCCAGGTTCAAGTGATTCCCCTGCCTCAGCCTCATGAGTGGCTGGGACTACAGACACGCACCACCATGCCCAGCTAATTTTTTTTTTTTTTTTTTTTTTTTTTGTATTTTAGTGGAGACAGGGTTTCACCATGTGGGCCAGGATGGTCTCAACCTCCTGACCTTGTGATCCACCCACCTTGGTCCCCCAAAGTGCTGGGATTACAGGCATGAGCCACCAGGCCAGGCCAATCCATTCTTATGGAAGACTCACATTCCACATTTCCCGTGTCCGGCTGTTCCTGCAGCATGTAAGCTATTAATTCCCAGGGCAGACACTTATTTCTCCACTTGAGTCGTCCTGAGATCTAACCCTGGTATCGGGTTGCAGGCAGTGAAAGGTTGTGGGATGAGCCTTGGGGACCACAAGCATGATCTTACGGGAACCTGGCTCATGTTGGGTATTTGCAGGTGAGTCTAGGTGAGGGGAGGTTGCTTTTGCCAGGTTTAAAGGTTCAAGGAAGTCCAGAAATTCAAGATTCTTAGGATCATCTACCCAAATTATTGAATTTCAGGTTTCAAAGTCTCATTCTTTTTCTTTCAGAATCCTGACTTGGGCATAGGAGCCCTGCTAAGACTGTGCATTTCATCTCCTTTGCCACCCTTCTACCCTCAAAGTGAAATCCTTGGCCTGGTTTTTTGCTCTATCTGCCATGTTGGAAATGAAGGCCTCCTCAAATGCTGCCCTAGAGAGCCCCTGGTTTTCACAGCTACCTTGGATTGATAGTTATCCAATCTGAGTTTATCATTTTTTCAAGGTTTTCAAAAACAGTTAACAGAAGTCATTCAACTCCATATTTGTAATGACCGTTTCCTAAGGCTGTGCACATTTCACAGAGAGCACAGAATTTCATAGTCCACCTTCTGCTCATACTTTATCACTTTCCAAGACAGGTGAGGATCTTAGGACTGGGATGCTACTGCATGTCAGGATTTTCACCATGCCTGGCACCAACTGTCTTGGCCTAGATTTCCCTAGAAACAGAGCAGGGGACTGATAGGGGAAGTGATCTCAGATGATAGGAGTGAGGTCATGGTGGGAAAGAGACATAGAACAGAGGAAGGCCAGTGCCAGGGTGGATTGTTGAGTTGGCCACTGCTATGAGTGAATAGTACTGAATCCTACCTGGAACTTGCGAGGAACTTTTCAAAATCAGTCTCAGAGCTCTTTACCCAGATAATAAAAGGTAGAAGCAATTTTTCATTAACTTCCGTTCTCAGCCAGCCAACTTACAGGTGACCATGCCTGAATGCAGAACAGGTTCCTACAGGTACCTCATCTGACAACATCAAAGAAGCACAAGGCACAAAGCCAGAGGTATGAGGCACATCCAAAGGCAAAGCCCTGTCTGGTTGTACCTGCAAAAATCTGGTCAAAGCCTGTGCATAATTAACCATCACATTAATTGCTAGAATAGACTGTAGGGTAGAGGAGATGTGCCACAGCACGTGTGAGTTGCCCTATATGAGTCCACTGAGGTCTTTCTTTAAGGATTTTGTTACCCTAAGGTGTGGACTTAGGGAGAAGTTGGCCAGAGCAAGGACATGGAACACTGAGTTTCTTCCTAGAACAAGAGGTGAAAGAAAAAGTCTTCCTGATTTACCTCCTTGTTAAAGAGAAATCTGAGCTGCTGTATGGTTGCTCAGGTTGGATACTGCACAATACCACATGCTGCTATTCACATCACAGTGATACAGATTTCTCCCTTTGGAATTGTTCAGTGTATCACCTACATATCAGTACATGGTGACCCTACGTAATTTTCCTAACTTTGTAGTAAATAGTTCAAAGTGAACAAAACAGTCTATATCCTTCAGATTTCATGGTTTAGTTGAAGCCTCGGATGAAAAATTAGGATATGTGATTTGATTGATGTTATAGTTATGGTCCATATGAAATGTCATAGACAATGAATAGCAAGTAATAAAGTATGCTGGCATTAGGGTTGGGGCACTCATTCAACACAAATATATTAAGCCCTTTTATCTAGGTGCCAGGGACACAGTGGCAAACACTGTAGACAAGGTTTCTGCTCTGATGGAGAAATGTAAAATTCTAGTGAGGCAAAAGACAACAAGAAAATAAATAAACAGGCAAGTGTCAGATTGTGATAATGCTATGGGCAGAATTAGAAGAGAGTGGTGTAATTGCAAGTGGCTAGATGATGCCTTTAGATTTGCTGATCAGGGGTGTCTTCTCAGAAAAGGTGACATAGCCAAGATGAGAATGACGAGAAGGAGCCAACCACACCAAGCTCATAGGAAAACAGCATTCGATGGAAAGGGAACAACTCATGCAGCTGTCCTAAAGGACGATGCTGAGCATGTTTGAGACAGGCAAAGGCCGGGCGTGATGGCTCATGCCTGTACTCCCAGAACTTTAGGACGCTGAGACAGGTGGATCACCTGAAGTCAGGAGCTCAAGACCAGCCTGGCCAACATGGTGAAACCTCGTCTCTACTAAAAATGCAAAAATCAGCCGGGCATGGTGGTGGGTCCCTATGATCCCAGCTACTCGGGAGGCTGAGGCAGGAGAATTGCTTGAACCCCGGGGGTGGAGGTTGCAGTGAGCCGAGATCACGCCACTGCACTCCAGCCTGGGCAACAGAGCGAGACCCTGTCTCAAAAGAAAAAAAAAAAAAAAAATCAGCCGGGCATGGTGGTGGGCGCCTATAATCCCAGCTACTCAGGAGGCTGAGGCAGGAGAATCGCTTGAACCCAGGGGGTGGAGGTTGCAGTGAGCCAAGATTGTGCCACTGCACTCCAGCCTCGGTGACAGAGTGAAATTGTCTCAAAAAAAAAAAAAAAAAAAAAAAGGAGAGGGAAAGAAAGCTAAACTGTCTGGACCAAGGTGGGAGTGGTAAGAAGGGAAGTGGGAGATGTAGTCAGAGCCCACATCATGCAGAACTGTGCAGTGTGACTTTTATACAAAAAGGCCAGGAGACATCGAAGGGCCTGGCTGATGGATTGTTTAGGGGGTGGAGGGGGAGAAGGGAAGTTGGTAGGGAAACATAGTGAAGAAGAGATGAGAACCGGGTACATGGTAGTGAGGTGGTGCCATTTTCAAAACAGAGGGATCTGGGTTTTAATGGCTATAGGTGGCAGAGGAGAAAGGGCATTTTAAAAAGAAAGAACGTAATTGTCAAAGCCAAAATGTGAAAGCATTCCATTCCAGTAGTCACCGTTGTGATCAACTTGCTTCTATGAGAATCAAGGCCAAAGACAAAGGAGCTATGCCAAAGGAGGGAAGACCTTGGAAATTTCTCATTAATTACTATCAACTTTGTGCACACGCATTTCTCTATGACACTGCATTTGGGATGGGTTTGGTCCATTGCCATTGAATTTCTCTAGCCATCAAAGAGTCTAAAAGTTGCCTTAAGTATTAATATTTGAGGCTTTGTAGATTCAGTACAGGGATATCTTTTTCCTGAGATTGATTCAAAAGACATCACAGACACTCAGCACAGTTCTTACGTTGGTTGAAGTGTCAAAGACACAGCCTCCTTTGACAAAGAAGGAGAAGGACACACTGCTTCTATTTTTGCCTTTTAAGGCCTATGTCTCACTAAGTCACAGTATTCATTCGTGTCTGGACAATAATATATACCACTGCATCTGCTCATATTTCCAGTGTGTACTATTCTCTCTGGGCTGTGTTTTGCCTGTTTTTGATGATGGCTTGTTGGATGATGGAGAATCAATTGAGTATGATTCAGAGTTGTCCAAAGTTCAGCTCCCACTATTTTCCCTAACTGGTTCCATGTGATCACACAAAAGATTTGTTTTCATGCTCTGCTCCTCCTAACTCACATGTGTGTAATGACAGTGCTGAAGAGCTGCATGTCTGTGCTTGAAGCATAATATCCTTTCACTGGCATGGAGTATTCCATGGTGGTATACCCAGATCTTTTTTCTGGAACATGCTTATTGCTGCTCCAGAAATAAGCATTTCCTCCTCCTCCTCTTCCTCCTCCTCTTTCTCCTCCTTCTTTTTAGATGAGTAAAGAGGAACAGCAACAAAAAGGGCAGTCAATACTGGATCTAACTTTATTTCATAGTTAAACATTTTCCCCAGAAGCAAGTTAATTACCCCAAACCTTAATGCTTGCACATAGCCTATCATCTCACCCCTTTCACAGATGGCATTGAGGCCTAGGAAAAATAATTCAGCATCCTAGTGGCAGAACAAATTCACTAACCTCTCTGTGAGCCTCGATTTGATATTCCTGGAGTGCCACGCAGATTGCAATGGATTTGGTTTGCTAATAGGATCAATGAGCATTTGAGGGAAATCATCTTATATCAATACCGTGTATCAATCTTAAGCATTTTCAAGAGGATCACACATGTTGTCCTTGCCCCCCTGCCTTGGTCCTAACATTTGTTAAGCATCTTTTATGTCTAGGTACTAATCGATTCTAATCTCACAAAAATTGTGCAAACTCATTATAATGATTCCATTTTATTGACGGGGTGTCCAAGGATTGGACAGGTTAAAAGTTTGTCTGTAATCTCCCAGGTAAAAAGTGGCAGAGGCCAGGCACAGTGGCTCTTGCCTGTAATCCCAGCACTTTGGGAGGCCAAGGTGGGAGGATTGCTTGAAGCCACGAGTTCAACACCAGCCTGGGCAACAAAATGAAAACCTATCTCTACAAAAACATTAAAAGAAAAATCAGCCAGGCATGGTGGCGTGTACCTGTAGTCCCAGCTACTTGGGAGGCTGAGGTGGAAGGATCACTTGAGCCCAGGAATGTGAAGCTGCAGTGAGCCATGACTGCACCACTGTACTCCAGCCTGGGAAACAGAGTGAGACCCTGTCTCAAAAAAAAAAAAAAAAAAAAAAAAAAAAGTGGCAGAGCTGAATTTCACGCATTTTCTGGTACAGACTCCAGTACACTTTCCACTGTGTCCATCCAAGGGAGGGACACAAAGTACCTGGTTTAAATGGTTCTTCTAGGAGTCACTGTGGGGTGGGAAGTATTTTGTATTGAACTTAAAGGAATCTGGCCTTCAGCCCATTAAACTCAGTATCTATCCTATGTGTATACAGTAAGCACAGTCTATTCCGGATGTTCTATATTACCTCGTTTTTCTATTTTATTCCCTCTTCCTCTTTACTGATACAGTTTCATTCTTCTCCCCACAAAATAAAACACCTGAATCAGAGTGTGCCTATCTAAAGGAATCAGAAAAGCTATATAGGCAGCCATTAGGACAAAAAGCCTTGCTAAAACTGGACTGGGTATTGAATACGTCCCAAGAGTGTCAGTAGAAAACAGGAGAACCCAGAGACAAAGGAGGTTGTGCGAAGGAAGACGCATTCCACTTATGCGTCGGTGGAAGAGACCAGATGAGAAGGGTCAGGTTGGAGCCCTTGAGGTAATACCGTCTATTACACGCCGCACCATTTAGAATGGATTTCTAGACACAAAATATGCATTATCGCTTTGGTTCAGCCAGGAAGAGGGCTCTCTCAAGCAGTATGCATATTAAAGTGTGTAATCTTGCCGTTACTATGGGGAAATAATTTACAGGATCATACAACCTGCTGTCTCCTGTCATCTGCTGGGACCCTGTGGTTGCCGTGGTTGCACATGGGGACTCAGCTACCGAGTTAATGTCACCTACTGTGTAAAATTGCACCTAAGCAGAAGGAGAAGGCTGATTGGTCGCGGTCAGGGCTACATGTGGTGAAGGCTTAACTAAGAGAAAAGCCATCTGAACCCCTGTGGTTCTTGGCCAGGGGGTGTCAGAGCCAGGCTTGACATGGAGACCTGCTCTGGTCTTACAGAGTAGAATCATTCTGGCTAATATACATGAACTTTGTGTTAGGTCTGCTCAACTTTTTCCGTGGGACTCTATTAACCTAAGAAGGTGATTATTCAATAGGGGAAGGAGATCTGGAAGCCAAGACTGTATTTCCCACCATATGCTGTTTATCTTAGTGGGGACAGAGTTAGGGAAGGAAAGGGAAGTAGAGGGAGGTGAGGCAGAAAAATGGGGAAGAGCTCATCCGTTAGATTTCTTAGGCATTCCTACATACTGGGTCCGGGCCAGGTGGCAATGTGGGAGTTTTGAAACTAGTAGCATTTCCTGGAAAGATAGATAAACTTGCTGTTAAAAATCTAGGCATTTCAGATCTGACCAGGCGCATGACTTAGGAGACTGCAAGATCTAGTCTGCAGTGAAACAGCTGTGGACCTTAAGCAAATCCTTGATCCACTCTAGGTTTCTATTATCTTTGTCTGCAAAACGGTGAAGTTTGAGCGAAGTGAATTTCATGGTCCCTCTCTCTCTGAACCCCACCTTCCGCTGTCGTGTGATCCCCTGAGTCTCTCAGTATCCCAAACCCACTGTTCAACAGGGTGCCTTGCACACAGTAGGAACTCAAGAAATACTGAATGGACGGAAAGAGAATGTCCAAGGGCAAAATACCAATCCTCGTGCATGGAGCGGGAAAGATTCTGCTCTCATGAGCCTATTCACATTCATGTGTCTCTGCTCCTTGGCTGTGCTCTGCAATGCCTCAAGTTTTTCCTGGGAACAGTGACAGCACTTTTCAAGGCAGGCAGGACAGTCTTACAGTGTCAGCTGCTGGGAGTAAAGTGAGAGGCAAAATCTGGGATCCTGAGACTGAGAGCTGGAGCAAGAAGGCAAGTTTTAAGCCTGCGGAGTCATTAAGTGTCGGCTCCTTTAGACCAGAATTGTTTCATTCTTACCCTGACTTTGCTGGGCTTCTGATTTTATTAATATGTAATTTTTGTCTTTTTTTTTTTTCCTCCAATGTGTTTCAGCTTTAGTCATCGCCTAAGAGTGACTGTCTAAGTAGTTAACGGACAGGTTTCTTAGGAATAAGGAGACGAATTGCCCCTTTACTTTGTAATCAAACCAGGCAGGATGGTTCATCATTGAAGGGGGTAGGGGGAAAGAGATCAGCTAAAGAGAAAGTGAACAAGTGGTCAGCCCTACTGTTCACGCCCTGCTTCTTGTAAGTGACGTAAGCTTTCTCAGGGAGGCGAGCATTTTGTTATTATTATTTGTTTATCTCCACTATCAGGTGGTGCACTGGCTGACGTTCTGCATTTAGACAGCAGAGCGGGGAGGATATACATATATATTTATATTTATTGTATTTTTTCAAGCACATTCATCTGAAAAGGCTCGGGTTGATGAATATTTTCCGCTGTCCGGTAACCATGGCAATAGGGTCAGCAGATATGATACTTAATTTAATCTTCCAGCTGCCTCAGTGTGCTTCACCAGTGCCCCAAATCATAGAAAGCTTTTTGCCTCTCTCTCTCTTTTTCTCTCTTCCTTTCTCATTGCCCCCTCATCTTTGCCAGTGGCTCTCTCACATGACCCAAAAGGAATACACTGGTTTTTTTTCTTTTTTTCCTCATTTCATTTTGTTTATGCACTTAAAATAAATTCCTGTGTGATTCCACTTCCCACCAGAGCCAGTCTCCCCTCAACAACCCAAGCATCCTCTTCCCCTACCACCTCCACTCCCCACCGCCCCCCCAACCAAGCACTCCAGCAGCCAATCTCCACGGAATGACAGGAAACGTGGGAAGATCCTGATAGCTTTCATAGCTGCACCGTAAGGTTTATGAAACACACTCCTCAGCCAAATGAACCCATGCGGACTCTCCTCCCAGCCGCAGACCCAGGCGATTGGCTGAGAGCGCCTTGCTGGTCCGATGTGCTCTCCAGGTGGGTTAAGTGCATTGCTTTGTCTTTATCTGGTCCAGTTCCCTTGTGTCATCTCTCTTTATTTCCCTTCTCTTTCCTTCCTCCCTCTTCCCTTTGATAATTGTCTACTTCTTCTTCTTTTAAGCTACCATGTTTTTGCACACACTCCATATTTGGCTGGTTCTAGGAAAATGGAAAATTGGTTTTGAAACCTAGGTAGACTCTGATGCAGAAATAAACCAAAAGGAAAAACAGTTTGGGGAAGAAGAAGGGGGTTGAGGCTTGCAATTGACGTTTTTGGTTTTCCCCTTTCAAAAAAGCTGATGTGAATTCTTTGATTTGAGTTCACTTGTTTCTTTCCTTCTTTGGTGTATCATCCTCCAGCCACTGTTTATTCTATAGCTATTTAAAAAAAGAAAACATTAAGATTTTTAAAAATACATTCTTTCCAAAGCTGGGGAGTGGGATAGGGTGGTGGGGAGCATTTAAAAGAAAGAGAGGGAGAGAGAAAAAGAGAGAAATGGCGGTAGTATGGGTTATAAAAAAACTGTAGCTATTTTTCCATTTCTGTTTACTTATTAATCAGACTTTTATTAATACCATCATTGACTCAAACAGTAAGCGTATTTCTCCATTTATGCCCCTTTTCCACCTTTTGTTGTTGTTTTTGGAATACAAAACTATTTCTAGAGCAAAACAGTATTTTTTAAAAAGGAAGAAGTGAATAACTATCACCCTAGTTTCTTCCTCAGAGGAGCACAAACCTCGTTTCATTCCTTCAGGATTTCTTATTTTACTTTTGGAAGAAACAGGTCAAAACTGTTACCAAAAAATGCCAATTGTGAATCCATTGACATTGGTCTGAAATTGACCCAGTTCGGTGGTTACATTTAACCAACATGGAGGAAGCCTCCCCCACGTTTCTCTGACGAAATGTTTTGCGTAGATATGCATTTGATATCTTTGCTCTTCCAGGGCCATCCTGCGTTCTTTCCCCCATTCCCCTATTCAGGAAATCATGCCTCCAGGTAAATCAAAAAACACTGTAACTGACACAATGGTAATTGAAGGCCATGGGACCCAGGTCAGGAACTGGAGGAGAATGGATGTGCAGCTGTCAATCTCCTCCAGGAGGGTAGGTGCCGCCATGGAGTACCACCCCCAAGAGCAGACACGTGCGGTCAACTCCTTTTGCAGGCAGGTCTCATGTTAAGCCATGTGACATTTCTCAGACAGATCCCTTCTATGTGAACAGTTATGACTGAAAGCAAAAGGAAGCCCCTAGTTGTCAGTGTGCCCAACACCGCAGACATCCTCGGAGACAGATACCTGAGGATTTACCCTGGGCTGCAAATGCTATTTACCTAAGTGGCCGTGACATATAGATGTTACAATGTGACACATGCATACAGCTAAGTATGGATATTTAGATAAGTGCCTCTAGCTCATCACCATGGCTACAAACACCTCGGAGATGAAATTGTGGATATCCACAGGCCACCGATCGTGTGGTGTGAATGCTGACTCCCATTTTAGGGATGCATCATCTAGCTCTGATTAGAGCAGCCCCTGAGAGAGCTGGAAAGGGGGCCTGCAGTTCCGAGTGAGCACAACATAATGGGACTGATCATCCCATCACGAAGCCACATGGCACACCAGTGGATGCACCATGAACAGGGATTGCCATCGTGGTTAGAGTTATCATGTTGGTGAATCAGGGAGGCACTTTTAGGCTACAAGGAGCCAAGACTGAGCTTGCCTCAGTTAATAGGCACTGTTTTAATAATACCCAGGGAAATGAGAAGAAGTCCTTCTGCACACAGCTAGGGATCAGAAAGAACTGGAATATTTGGGGGCATTCAGTAGCTCTAGTGGGTGTGCAGCCTGTGTTCATTGCATGGGGATACCAGGTCATCTTCTCACTCTTTCAGCGGCTGATATCCATTGCTCCCACCCCAGCACATCCACTGAGTCCAAGACTGGGTGTCCGAGAGATCCACTGATCTCTTTCTCTGCTTACTTTAGTGTGGTTCTCAGCTCCGTACTGTCTACCATCTTTGGAATCCCTGGGTAGATCTGAAGGCCACATTCTCCACAAGTGAGGATTGGAGTGGTTAGACACCATGCAGGACAGGACAGCATTTTGGGCCAGACCACTTCATGGGCCACTGTCCCAGTACCTATGATTGACTTGGGATCAGGGGCCCATTTCTGACCCTATTAATTGTGGTCAATTACTGGGGCAAGGAGTTACAAGGACAGCATGACGACCTCGTCAAAAAGAGAATGTAGGCAATGGTGGCCTTTCCAAGTTTCTTAACCAATACCTTTAATCATTAAAAGTTTCCATGGTCCTCAATCTGACACTGCCTGGCAGGTCTTGTTGGCACAGGTCGCCAGATTTTGTCAAAGAAAACCAACGGAAAAAAAGTATGCATTTCCAAAGCTGTGTTCCTTAGCCTTCTTTTAGAAGCTCGCATTTACGTTCAAGATGGCCTAACATGTTTCTTCATCTATGGGCTTTTTTTCCCCCACCCCCGATTAGTAACTTTTAATGCTGTACCTTTAACCACTTTCCAGTGGGTTTACCTCCTGGTGGAGAGAAACAGAAAAAAAAAGAGACAACCCGCTGCTGTGGGAGACACAGATTATCAAAGTAAACAAATAGCTTTGTTTTAAAAAAAATAAAAATCCTCTATAACATTAACCAAACCTTTCCTCTGCAAAGTCCTTCCCCAGAGAGGTAAGGAGGCTACTGTCGGCTCCTCACCCCCTTACAGACGAGACGTTGGGTACGACCTATCATGCCAGGAACAGCTTCCAAAGGTGGAGAACCAGCTGCCTCACTGAGCTTCCATCTTCTCCACACAGCAGCTTTTCTTTCAGGGTTCTTTTAATTTTTATAATTAATTTTGGGAGCTCTTTGAGACATTTTCCATTTTGTTCGCAGTTTGAGTCCTGCTCTAAGATGTTCTCAATAAATGTTGTGGTGTCTTCAGCGGAATTCTTCCCGTGTAATGGATCCTTCGAAAGAGACTTGTATTCCTGTTTAATTTAGATGCCTGATCTGATTGTCAGTTTCAATCCAGCAATGGCTTTGATTATTGACGGTGACCCATAAATCATAAGGACTCAAAACACATTCAGAGTAGGGAGGGAGGCTACTGGTTAAAAGTTCCAGAATAAGGGAGAGCCTGTATGGTACGCTTTTTTTCTTGAGATGTGCTGGGGTAGCTTTTCTTCTAAAACAGTTGGCTTATTTAATATCGAAGCCCCACAGTCTCAAATTGTCTGTACGTGAGTGTGTGTACAACCATGTATCACTTAACAGTGAAGATATGTTCTAAGAAATGCCTCATTCATCAATTTTGTCATTGTGTGAAGATCGTAGAGTGTATTTACACAAATCTAGATGGTATAGCCTACTACACGCCTAGGCTATGTGGTTTAGCCTATTGCTCCTGGGCTATAAACCTGTACAGCATGCTACTGTAGTGAATACTATAGGCATTTATAACACAATGGTAAACATTTGTGTATCTAAGCATATCTAAATATAGAAAAGGTATATACAAAATATCGTTTAAAAGATTAAAAAGTGGTACCCCTGTGTAGGACCCTTACTATAAAGGGAGCTTGCAGGAATGGAAGTTGCTCTAGGTGTGCCAGTGAGTGAGTGTGACGGCCTAGGCCATTACTGCACACTACTGTAGACTGTAAGCATTGTACACTCAGGCTACGTTAGATTTATTACAGTATTTAATAAATATTTAATTTCAGTATTCTTTCTTCAATAATATATTCACTTTAGCTTACTATAACTTTTTTCCTTTATAAACTTACTATCTAAAAAATTTGGAATAACACAGCTTAAAACACACATTGTGTTTAAGCTATACAAAAGTATTTTCTTTATATCCTTAGTCTGTGAGGTTTTTTTTTTTTTTTTTTGTATTTTAAAACTCTTTTTTTTTTTTTTAACTCTTTAAACTTTTTAAAATAAAAACTAGGGCACAGGTTGGGTGCAGTGGCTCACACCTGTAATACCAGCACTTTGGGAGGCCAAGGCAGGCTGATTACTTGAGCCCAGGAGTTTGAGACCAGCCTGGGCAGCATGGTGAAATCCTGTCTCTACAAAAGTAGAAAAATTAGCCAGGCATGGTGGCATGTGCCTGTAGTCCCAGCTACTCAGGAGGCTGAGGTGGAAGGATTGCTTGAGCCCAGGAGGTCTAGGCTGCAGTGAGCGGAGATCACACCACTGCACTCTAGCCTGGGAAACAGAGTCAGCCCCTCTCTCAAAAAACAAACAAACAAACAAACAAACAAAAAAACAAAAACCCAAGTAGGGCACAAACACCACATAAGCCTAGACCTACACAGGATCAGGATCATCGATATCACTGTCTTTCACCTGCACATCTTCTCCCACTGGAAGGTCTTCAGGGGCAATAACACGCATGGAGCTGTCATCTCCTATGATAACAATGCTTTCTTCTGGAATTCCTCCTAAAGGACTTGCCTGGGGCTGTTGTACAGTTAAATTTTTTATTTTGTAAGTACAGGGAGCACACTCTAAAATAATGACACAAGTTATAGTAAATACGTAAATCAGTAACATAGTCACTATTACCATTATCAAGTATTAAGTACTGTATATAATTGTATGTGTTATACTTTTATATGACTGGCAGTGCAGTAAATTTGTTGGTACCAGCAACATCACAGACACATGAGTAGTGCCTTGCACAGTGATGTTTTGGTAGCTATGATGTGACTGGGCCATAGGAAATTTTCAGCGCCATTGTAATCTTACAGGACCATTGTCGTGTATGCAGCCCCTCCTTGATTGAAACGTTGTCATGTGGCACATGACTATATTTTTAAAAAGACAAAACTTTGCAGTTTGATTTAGTGTAGAGTTTTGTGACAGTTGGATATTTTTCCTGTTTACATATTTTCTTCTTTTAATTATTAAGATCCCCTCATACATCTGTAGTCTCCATTCCTAAAGAGTTGGGTTTTCTCAAATTTGCTTTCATTGGTTCTAGTGTAAAGCTGCGTCTCTCATGTTTGCACACCAGGTGGGTATTTGTACCATAACAGGAGGAACTTGAAGGCAATTCAGCTGTCTTCCCAAATGTGTGACTTGGAAAGATCCGGTGTTCCGCAATATGGAAAACACAGATGTCCTTCTCCACTTCAGAGAAAGCCCGTCAGTCAGTTGCCACCTGTTCGGAAAAGGAACCACCAAATGCAGAGCGGCAGCTTGTTACCCACCTCTCAAACCCAAGTGCACTAATTAACTCACGTCCCCATCACGCGGACTCATTTGCAACCTGTGGGAAGTTGCCGCTCTCTCTGGCATGGTGGCGCTGAAGGAAATGCCCCTTGGGTGGGTGAATCTGCAGCTTCCATTGTCTTTTGTTGTCTGTGACCCAACAGAGGAGGCAAAGGACCTGAGGGACTGAGAGGATGCCTGTCAGTTTCTCCCACAGGCCATCCAGCTCTCTTTAGATGCATGGTATTTGCAGGCTCCATATCCTTGCTACCTGGGATGCTAAATGAGATCTTTATTTGGATAAACTTGTTCTGTAGTTTTGCCCATGAGTCCAACCCCACTTCAGGTCTCATAAACACATAGTTCACACATTTTGGGGAATGGGTTATGGGTGAGAGTGGCACCTGTTCCTCACTTCTTACCTTGTGGAATCTTCCAGCACCATCCAAGTCCATCTCCCACATCAGAACCGAAGCACTCACTCCCTGCCCCGCCCAGCTATTGGAAATATTGGAGGCTGACTGCTCTCAATAAGGTCCTCTTTTTAGTAGTTGCCCCAGGTTAAACCCCCTTCCCCAGGGTACAGCCTGCATTCCAGCTCGAGAGCTCCCGGCTCAGATGAGGCCTTGGTTTTGTCTGCACCGTAATTCAACTTCTTCTGCTACCCAATCCTGCTCCCTTTACCCCAGCCCAGGAGGTGTTGATGAACTTGGCTCTCTGCTAGCCAATAATTACTCCCTGAGTTCACTTGTGTGTCCACAATGATTGCCAAATTCCATAAAAATGCTCCTTCTTTAAAAAGATGCTGTTGCTATCGCTTTTCCATAAAGAAATTCCTTCTTCAACTCTTCAGGGGCCAAGGTTCCAGGTCTTTTGAAAAATGATTATTTTGACATTTTTCATTGATGTGTGCAAACATATAATAAACAGTGCAGGTCTTGAGTGTACAGCTTACAGGTTAATTTTTACATATACACACATGCGCACACTCACGGAACCAACTGACATCAAGATGTCAAACATGTCCGTCATTCCAGAAAGCTCCCACATGTCCCCCAATGTTTCCCTACCAAAAGCCAACACCATTCTAACCTCTATCCATGTGAATTAATTTGGAGCAAATATTTTGCATATTTTAAGTTTCTATCTTTCATCTATGGTCTTCAAAATTTGGTGAGTGTTGATGGGGGGAGTCACCATTTCTGTTACGCTTTTACAAGGGGATAAAAACATTTAGAAGGCAGCATGCCTAAGAAAGGAACTCACAACTCAATGTTTACATGAAGCACCAAAAAATATAAGCAATGGCCATTGTTAATATTGCACAGATGTATTATTTTACAGGCATTTATAGTTTGCAGAGAAGTGGCTGCAAAATGCTACACCACCAAGTTGTCAAATTATTTATAACTTAGGTTGAAAGAGTGATTGGGCTGGGATTTTGAAGTTGAATTAGGATAAGCAATTTAAGCTCTGGATCTATTCAACTTTTTGTTTTCTAAAAGAGTGATAACATATTACAAGGCATCACCTTGTAATCCTTATAATCCTTTCTCCTTTCTCCAGCAACTATTGAAGAACTCCACCTTTTTCTACCCATATCTTTGGGAGCGTTTCAACCTTTGGTCCCATTCCTTCTTCTGGTGTTCCCAGGATTCCCAGGGAGTTTCCAGTTCTTTTTTCTTTTATCTTTTTAAGACAGGGTCTTGCTCTGTTGCCCAGGCTGGAGTGCAGTGGCGTGAACATTGTCCACTACAGTCTCGACCCCCTGGGCTCAAGTGATCTTCCTGCCTCAGCCTCCTGAGTGGCTGGGACTACAGGCATATGCTTCCACACCCATCTAATTTTTAAAATTTTTTGTAGAGATTGGGTGTCACTTTGTTGCCCAGGCTGGTCTCAAACTCCTGGGCTCAAGCAGTCCTCTTGCCTCATCCTCCCAAAGTGCTGGGATTACAGGCGTGAGCCACTGCACCTGACCTCAAGTAGTATTTCATGAGACCCACAACCGAGTCTTTCTCCAAGAGGAAGAGAAAATCAAGCTATTGTGTAATCTTTGGTGGTTGCAGTGATTTTGTCAGACAGTTTTTGAGTGGCTGAGGACTGGTTAAAGCTGGAAGCAGATTTGTATTTTGCTCCTTGTCCATAAGCTTGTCAGTCGGAGATGGTGGAATAGCCTCCAGGGTCCCCCTGAATTAGTCAGGTCCTGGCCAGGAAGGCAGAACCTATATATAAAACTTTCTACAGGAAAGTTAATATGGGTTTAGTTTAAAAGGGTTAGGCACTGGATGGGCATGGTGTGGTGTGGCGGGGGAGGAGGAGACACTGGAGAGACTAGTAACAGCAGGAAGCTGTGACCACCCTCAGCCTGAAGGAACAAAAGGAGGAGATGGTGGGACAGAGCCCAGAAACCAGGGCTACCTGTTGGAAGGTGGAATCACAAGAAGGCTGTCTGACAAAGCTGGGATCATGGAGGAGAAGCAGCAACTTCCTGTGAGGCCACCCAACGCAGAGGGAGGAGGCGAGGGGAAGCCTCCTACCTGGCTCCTCCCTCACTCCCACCCCCCAGACTCCTCCCAGTGCCTCCCATTTGGCAAATCCCAGGCAGAAGTCATTTGGCAAGAGAGCTCTTGGGAAATATAGTTTGCACTGGGAAGCCCCGCCCCACAGAATATGGAGGAGAATAGAAGGCTAGGGAGGGTTGAATCTGAGAGCAGAGTCCAACCACCAACTAACTTCCTTACCCATCCTTCGTTAATTGGTGAAGAGCAAACCTTCCCACCACTTTGGTATATGGCTAATTTTTAAAAATGTGTTTCTTTTTTGTTTGTTTGTTTAAGATGGAGTCTCGCTGTGTCTCCCAGGCTGGAGTGCAGTGGCACGATCTTGGCTCACTGCAACCTCTGCCTCCCCAGTTCAAGCGATTCTCCTGCCCCAGCCTCCAGAGTAGCTGAGATTACAGGCACGCACCACCATGCCTTGCTAAATTTTGTAGTTTTAGTAGAGATGGGGTTTCACCATATTGGCCAGGCTGGTCTCAAACTCCTGACCTCAAGTGATCTGCCTGCCTCGGCCTCCCAAAGTACTGGGATTACAGGCGTGAGCCGCCACGCCCGGCCACGATGTGTTTCTAAGAAAAGCAAAAGGCCAAGCATTGGGTGCGTCTTTTGTTTTCAGGGCCTAGGGGCTTCCAACTGGAGTTTGTGCTAAGGGGCACTGCCTCTTGCTCCTTGGGAGTTTATGGATGCAGCACCTTACTTTAGGATTTATAGGCTATCTCAGTTTCATAAATCAGCCATGTGTGCTCCGTGTGTGCGAGTCTGCAAATTCTAAACTAATATGTCGCTCTCTTTCTGTCTAGCATCATATTTATGTTAAGGCTCCATAAATCGTGCTCTACGTTTCTGCAGCACGACCGTGATGAAAAGTGATGTAACCCACAATAGGAAAGAATAGAAATTAAAATGCAAGAAAACAAAATGAAATAAAAATTCATGTGACCTGCAGTTTTAAGCTGTTTATTTCAGAAATGTGCATTGATGAGGGGAAGGATATGAAGTGTTCTGTCTGCATTTAGCCACTTGGCCACTAAGCCATTTGGTCCATCTTTGCCATGTCAAATGGGCGTCTTGTCAAGGTCCTAAGATTTGTTTCTGGGTCAGAGGTGATGGTGGTAAGCTTCTGAGCCTTAACGTCTTTTCAGGGGCAAAATTTCCAGAGGGATGTTAGGGACCAGCGTGTTGAGGTGAGATTGTAAGGGCAAAACTGCCATTTTCAAGGGCCAAATCTCCAGCCAGCAGGTGAAGGCAGAAGCCATACTCGAGGAAACACTTTCTCAGGTTTGAGCCTGGAATTTTGCTATTTCCTGGCTAGCTTAGCAGACCAGAACAAGGAGGATTTCAGCCGTTCCATTTTAGCCAAAGCATTTTTGTCAGACAGATTTTAGTCTATTTCATGTGCACCAATTTCTTTCGTTTGCATCCAACTCCTAGATGGCTTGACTGGATCAGAGCTAAAGAACAACTCTGCTAAGGAGTTCACTTGGCTGGCAGAGGGCATGATTTAAAATGGAATTCACCTCCGATACAGAGCATCTTCCTTTTCTTTAGGGTTATTCGCTTTTCAAATTGTTTATTACATTTGAAAACTGACTGAAACATCAGGTTATGCATTAGATCAGGGAATAAAAGGTAATATTTTAACATGCTAAAGGAATTCTGCCAGCCAGTCATAAGTATCAATCCATCACAATTATTAGAAACAACGTACTCTGCAGCAGTAAAGAGATACAGCCAATATGCAGACACACACTAAATAAATTCCCTGTTATGCTGTTTCCTCCCCTGCCAGGGCAAATGCAGAAACGATTGATACAAAAGAGAAACAAGGCGAGTGGAACTCAACACCACTCATTTTTTTCTTTCTGGTTTCAGTCATTCCTGTAAGACTCTGAGTGGAACTTGTATCAGTGCCCCAGGTTCCCTCTTAAACACGTAGTTTTGCCGGGCGCAGAGGCTCACACCTGTAATCCCAGCACTTTGGCAGGCCAAGGTGGGCAGATCACCTGAGGTTGGGAGTTCGAGACCAGCCTGATCAACGTGGAGAAACCCCATCTCTGCTAAAAATAAAAAAAAAAAAAAATTAGCCGGTCATGGTGGTGCGTGCCTATAATCCCAGCTACTCTGGAGGCTGAGGCAGGAGAATCGCTTGAACCCGTGGGCGGAGGTTGCGGTGAGCCGAGATCACACCATTGCACTCCAGCTTGGGCAACAAGAGCAAAAAATTCCATCAAAACAAACAAACAGACACCATAGTTTGTCCCTGGGTTGGGGAGTTTTAATATACACAGAACAAGATTATAATACTAATGATTAGGTCGGTGCATCAACAAGGAAAGAAGGCCAATGGGGAGGAAGAAACAAGGGGTAAATGGAAGAGGCAAATTGATTCAACCTAGAAAATAGACCTCGCCTGAGTGTTTATGCACAAATGGATGCCGACTTTTGTTTCCACTCGCTTTCCTTTCTTTTCCAGCCATATCTTCATTAGCAGAGAGAATGCTGGAGGCTGCCCCCTCTTTCCTGCAGCCATTTGCTTTACGTAAACCAGCTAGCAAACCGCTCCGTCCGTATTGATGTAGACATTACCACAAATCGCCACTTAGGGACCTGAACGAATTGACTAACTGGTTTCAGATCCAATACACATAACTTGATCAGACACAAAGTTTAAGTACACTTGCAGTCGTGCCAACTGCACCTACCGGGAAGCGACTCTTTGCCTGCCAGCTTCAAGAGGCCCTGAGGGAGACCGGGGAGGAAGGCATGCAGACCTAGGCAGGGCCAGTATGGAGTCTTCAAGGAGAAGGTAGAAAGAAAGAAGCCACTCTGGGGAGGAAGTGAGGCCATTTCAAAAGCCACATGGCTTCTTCAGTCTAGGGTGCACTTGATACAACTTTTAATTTGGCTTTTTATCGTGCATTCTAGCAGCTCTGAGGTCTGGGGACAGAGTGCCAGATGACATGGAAGATGGGGAACTCAGATCCAAAAAGCCTTGGCTAGCCAAGGGTCAACCGTGTGTGCATGTGCCCACCCATGAGCCTGCCACACCCAGGAACAATGGTTTTTTTGAGTTCACTGTCTTCTCAACAGCTAGGAAATTACCTGAGTAGATCCAGGGAAAGACCTTGGAAGGAAGGAACAGGTTGACCCTAGGAGCTCAGGACTGCTCTGCTGTGTGGCTGGACCCAAGCACCATGTGAACCTGTCCTTCCCAGGTACAGTGGGCCAGCCTGGCCCTGCCCATGCTGGAAGCAGCTGTTCATTTCTGACCCAATCTAGCTATTACTGAGTTTACTTCATCTCACTCATTTGGATTATAAATTTTTGTCTTCCTCCAGTCAGCTTGGGGATAGGAATGCTGTTTCTCTGTGACATGAAGCTTTCTTTCAGTGTATTATGTGATAGAACTTACAAGCCTGGATGCACAAGTGAAAAATTGGTTGGCCATGTAGCCATGGAAGTTTCTGGAAAAAAAAGAATAATGAGAAAAATCTGTCAGTTCATCTGATGTGCGTGAATCTGTGTGCATATATGTGTGTATATTGGAGTAAGGGAAATACTGATAAAGGGGAACCAGATAGGTTCATGGCAAGAAAGTGATGCATAGTCTGTTGGAAGCAGACGAGACCAGCTGCAAAAAATAGGTGACACAAGACAGACTGAAAGTTAGAACAGAGAGGAGACATTAATTACAGAGAGAGGTGGATACGGGCAGACTTCAGAAAGGATTGTATTAGAAAAAAAAAATTGAAAGAATAATTCCAGCTTATACATAGAGCAAAATATTTCTTTTATGACAGTATATGTTATATATAATAAAATGTATATAATACTTTATTATTCACTTGATTAACATTTATTTATTTATTGAGCACCTACTATGTACTCGATGCACAGTGGTTACAGTGAGAAATAATACAGTCATGGTTGGTCACCAGCTAGAATTTACAGTCTCACCACAGTCCGCTAGGAGCAGTTTATTGAAGGTTTAAGGCATTTGGGAATGAAAACTTAATCCTTACAAACTGCAGTTGTTTAATGTTAAGGGTGACTTTAGAAGCAATATAATAATGACAAAGATAAATAACGGTGAAACATATGGAGCAACCATGCGTGCCAGGGTTTAGGCTGGAGGATTTTTATATGTGATATTTAACCTTCAAGACCACTTTGTAAGGGGGAGGCTTTTAGTCCCATTTTACATCTGTGGTTTCAAGAGGTTAAGGTGCATCCCATGCGTTATGCAGGAAGACCTGGGTTTGAAATGTAGGTCTATTGATTCTAGATCCCTCACTTTTTCTATGCTGCCATGCAGCTTCCCTGGTGGCAATGTGGAAGTTGGATCAGGGTGGAGAGAGACTGGTGTTAGGGATACTTCCTAGGAGAATAGCAGTAAACCATTATTATTATTTTACGTGGATTCCAGTCAACACAGCCATACAAGAGGAAACAAAGGAGACAGAGAGGGATATCAGAGTCCGAAGTCTTGTGGGAGCTAAAAATCTACAGAATTGGGTGGTGTGTGGAACTGTGAAGGGGGAGGAGTCAGGAGTGGCTTGTTTAAGGTTTCCAGCTTGGGTGACTGAAAGGTGAAGGCCAATGGCACTAAAGAAGGTGGGAAAGAGGTTGGAGTCAGAGGCAGGAGATGGCAATGAATTTCATTTTGCACAGATTTCATGTAAGGAGATGGTTGGACATCTCGATAAATGTAACTGATAGACAGCTGCATAGGTATGTAGCATTTGGATATACAGATTTTGGAACCATCAATGAAGGGACCAAGGAAGCAAGAATATGCAGCTGAAAGGAAGCAATTGCTTCTGGCTGTTGAAAAGCACTCAATGGGCAAGATGGGGAGATAGCATTTCCTGGATCATCTGGTAGACCAGAGTTTCTTAGCTTCACCAACATTGACAATTTGGGCCAACAACACTGACGATTCACAGTTGAGATGGGTGTCTGATTTGTGCATTTAGGATGTTTAGCAGCATCCGTGGCCTTTACCTACTAGATGTCAGTGACACCCCCACCACTTGCCTCCAGCTGTGATAATCAAAAATGTCTCTATACACTGCTAAGTGCAATTTTGTCCCTAGTTGACAAGCAACGAGTTAGACCAAACTAGTTTCATTTTAGACCATATCATTATCTATAAGCACACATATTATCCATAGTATGTACACCTGTGCCACTTTGCCAGCCAATGAGACTCAGTGCTACCCATGTAAACACACACGTAATGAATATTGACTCTGTTATGAAGTAGTGAGGATGCCACGGATTTCTGAATGGTTTAGCACAAGTCACATGCCTACAGTTTGAAATCTTTTGAAGCGTATTCAAAATAGCTTCATTATGTTTATTTTAATGCCTGTGGCAGACAGTTGGTGCTTTCCAGCTATCTGCATGCTCTGTGATATTTCTGCAGCACCTTTGCAGTGAATTGAAGCCATGTGACCAATTCCAGTCAATGGATAGGGAGAGAGAAAGTGACATGTATCACCTCTGGGCTGAAACAGGTAAAAGCCAGGTCCTTTTCCATCTCTCTGCCCCCGACACAATAACAGCCAAGGCCATACTCCAGATAACTCAGCTTCAAGAGGAAGGAGGACTTCCTAAGTCATGTCAGCTTTTGTGTGGATGTGATATGTCAAGCCACTGAGATTTAGGGGTTTATTTGTTACCACAGCAGAGCTTAACTTTATCCTGACTAATAGAAATCTCATTAGTGTAAAAAGCAGGGTGACCAAGAATATTTCGATGACATTTTGTCAAAGGTATATCCACTTTATAGAAATATGGCAACCATATATAAAAACTGCACCCAACAGAGTAATGAGATAAATATTAGTCACAGGAGAAATCTGACATTGTATTATATATTCATTCAAAGAAATATCAGTTAGCTCTCACCTCTGCAGTTTCTTAGTTTCATTGGAGAGGCGGTGTTTTATTTTATTTATATTTTGAGAGACAGGGTCTTGTTCTGTTGTCCAGGCTGGAATGCAATGGCACTATCAGGGCTCACTGTAGCATCGACCTCCTGGGTTCAAGTGATCCTTCCACCTCACCCTCCTGAGTAGCTGGGACTATAGCACGTGCCACCACGCTTGGCTAATTTTTGTATTTTTTGTAGAGATGGAGCTTTTCCATATTTCCCAGGCTAGTCTCAAGCTCCTGGGCTCGAGCTATCTGCCTGCCTCAACCTCCCAAAGTGCTGGGATTATAAGCATGAGCCACTGCACTGACCTATTTTATTGTTTTAACGCAAAGGGATTTGTTAAATGGGGTTGCGTCAGTGAAAGGTGGAGTTACGTAACATAGCAATTCAATTTTTATTTCAGACGTATCAGGTCCACCTTGAAACTAATTTCCACATTGGTTAAACCAAAATAAAATTTTTAGTAGCATGAACAATGAGAGAATATTTTTATGCCATTAAAACGTTTTCAATGGGAATTGGGCAAAAGTTCACAAACCTGCCTTGGAAACACTATGGAAAGCTTCCCATCTTTGGGAATATGTTAGTGGAAATACTGGAGTTAGTGTGATGATCCTTGAACTGGATGTCTCAGTAGATGAAGCAGCTGATGTTATTCCTCCATTCTGAGCTGCAGCGGAATTCTTGATAAAACTGTCAGTGTGTCTACTGATAGTATTTCCATTAAGTTAACTTTAAGACGTGAAATGTAAAGGTTTTAAGATATTCTTCCACAAGTATTTGAATAGCTGCAATGGAATTTTGTAGAAATTGGTTGTACAACAGAAATTTGTAACAATTATATAAATGGCACATCTCATGTTTTTCCACTTGATTTGATGTTTTTCATATTTATATAGCATGAATGGAGACACTGTTATCATTTTGTGATTTTATTGAAGTGCAGTTCAGACAAATTTTGACATTGTAGAACACAAGATTTCAGTGACTAATCTCCACTCTTGAAAGAGTGCTAATGTTGTTACAATTACTATGAGCTTTGTTTTATTCAGTCAGAAAAAAAAACCTATCAGAGAAAAATTGTTTTAAGCATTCTGAGTCAGAATTTTGTTTCTTTTTATAAAGTGATGTTACTGATTTTTTTCTACATAATTCTACTCTTTAAAAAAAGTAAGGAGAGATTATTTTGAAATAAATTATTTGTGAATATTTTTTCTTAGAACCGAATTTAAGAAGAAAGATTTCCAAGATAATGCTGCTTAAAGTAAGCAAGTTATAGGAAAAACAAATTGCTAGCATTGGTATTTGTTGCAATTTGGATCTAATGCATCAGGTAATAAGAGTGTATGATGTTAATTGCTGAATTATTCCAGACCTTCGAAAGGCAAATCTTAGTGCTTCTATGAATTATGCTGGATTCAGTTGGAAAAAAGCCCTAAATGGAATGATCTAGAGAAGCTATGGAATCATTTCTACGTTGCTCATCTCACTTTGTCATGAAATGATCTTTTTAATGAACGTTCAGTTCTTAAATCATATCTTAATGAGAACTTGCTAGTCAGATGGGATAAAAATAAAGATCCAATACAGTTGAATGTGCATCAAGATTTTCATCAGGAATACATTAGAATGCCAAACATAAGGAAAGTATAGGATTATCTTCTCTCCCTCCCAGATTCAAATGCTGGGATCAAGAGGGCATTTTCCCTAATTAATATATTTTAGGTATCACGGAAGGTACTGATGATATTCAGATGATGAAATTTTTCTTGATAATCCAAATGAATTGCTCAGAAAATCTGGAGTTCTAAATAGCTATCGAAAATAATCATAGCAACTTTAAGAGTTTGCTATGTATCTGATACCATGCTAAACACTTTGTATAATTTCATTTAATCTTCACAACAGCCATATGAGATAGGAACTATTATTAGTTCCATTTTACAGATGAAGAAAACTAAGGTTAAATAAATTGCCCAGGGTCACTAAATAGTGGGTGGTTAAGCTGGCATTTGGTTCTTTCTAGAACAAACGCTCTTCATCTCCAGTCTGTCTTAGCATCGTAACAACTGGGTATATATTGGACCTCAACTTCAATAGCAATGGGGTCATGAAAATAGAAAAGTAATGTCTGGGATGACAGACGACTTTTGCTGGATTTTGTACATCTTGTCCTACAGTTTTATTTTCCAGGAATCCTATGGCTTCCTAAGTCAGACAAGTGCCTGGAATGAGGGAAACTTGATAATTGAAGCTTTTCCCAGTGTAATCAAAACATCACCCCCATCCCCAGTGTTTATTTGCCCAGGATCCCAGGAGGCAGCCATTGAGATCTGCCAGTTGTTTCCATCCGTGTCAATACCACCACCTATTTTCATATCCCTGTGGTTTCTCCAGATGGGCTGACAGTGCCATGGCCTGCCATTGGGCCATGAGGTCCCTGCTGATGTGGGCTCTGCTATTCTCTCCATCACTCTCGCCTTCCTTTACCCCTACCCCACCCCGTGCAGGTCCATGTTGCTCTTTTCATCAGCACTATAGTAGGCTGTCCCTCCTTCCTTTGCCACCCATATGGCTGCTACCCTCAACCTGCCCTGGTATTGCAACACTTCTGATCAGCCAGCCCTAAAGGATGGCACCATTCCTTTAGCTTTCTTCAGTGTTTGCAGCTCTTACATTAGCTCCCAAAGGAGCAAATTTGTTCTCTCAAATTCTTCTAGGCTCCTTTTGTGAGGACCTTGTACCAGTTATTTATTGCCAAGTGAATAAATCACCCCCCAAATTAGAAGCTTGGAACAAAAATGATACAGTTGCTCACTGCTCTGCAGGTAGAACATTTATGCTAGACATAGTTGGGTGGGTGCGTTTCTGTATCACATCATGTTGGCTGGGCTTGCTTAGATGTCTGGGACCTCAGGTGAGTCAGCAATGACAGGTGGACCTCTCTTTCCATGTAGGTTCTCATCTTCAAACAGGCTAGGCTCAGCTTTTTGCATATGGTGCTAGAAGGAGTCCCAGCAAAGAGCCAGAGAAGGCAAACTCCGATGAATGAGCACTTTTCAAACTTCTGCTTGCATCACATTTGCTAAAGTCCCATCAGCCAAAACAACTCACAAAGCCAAGCCCAGAGTTAGTGCGGGAGGAGGCTAAGAAATCACATGAGCTGAGCGCAGTGGCTCACGCCTGTAATTCCATCACTTTGGGAGGCTGAGGTGAGTATCACTTGAGCCCAGGAGTTGAAGACTAGCCTGGGCAACACAGTGAGAACCCGTGTCTACAAAATAATAAAAATAAAAAATTAGCTGGGCATGGTGGCATGTGCCTGTGGTCCCAGCTACTCAGAAGGCTGAGGTGGGAAGATCACTTGAGCTCAGGAGACTGAGGCTGCAAGGAGCCATAATCATGCTGGCACTCCAGCCTGGGCAACAGATCGAGACTCTGCCAAAAAAAAAAAAAATCACATAGATACAGAGAGGTGTGATTTATTGGACCCTTGCTATAACAGACCTTAGTAAGAGTCCTCCTGAGATGGGTTCAGAAGACATTTGAGTAACTGCACCCTACAGCGCCACACCCAAGCTGCCCACCATTAACTAAACTCTTTCATTTGTTATTAACGTCTCTCACCTATGTGGTCCCTATCCGAGCTTAATTTTTTATGAACCTCCACTCGGGAATCCTCTGCCCTAGCACTCTCCCTATTGATAGTCTTTTGCCATTTCCTCCAGGTCAAAAACCCTCACTTTTTCTAAATAGCAAGCTATTTCAGCATAAGGAACACTATTCTTCTACCCAACTCCAATCTCTCATACCATTTTCCATCGTTTTAGTTCTGTTATTGCTGTCCATTTATAAGTCTTATTTTTCCAAGCAGGTTTTATGCCATAACACATATATACCTAAGATATAAATACCCAGTAACCCAAATTGCCTTGGCCTTACAGTGGAAAGAATTTGCCTTAGTGTTACCTGTGAATTTCTTGCAAGAGTTGAAGTGGTCTTGCTCCAGGTTCTGGGTAAAGCCTGAGACCCTAAAGTGCAGAGTGGACCACGGTACATTGAACGATGGATTCTTTCTTAGCAACATTTGCAGATAAAAGCAAACTTCATTCCTGAAGAGAAAAAAAAATGAGCAAGAGAGACCCTAGATTTAGCAGGAAACCAGGAAAGTCCTGGGCTAGAATAAAAACTGCATCACACCTCTAATCCCAGCACTATCCAGTTAATTTTGGTGTTTGGAATAAATGCAGGTCTATCTTTATGTGGGGGACCCTCTGGGATTCTGGAATTGATAGGTATTCCTCGAAGGCAGAATTCCTCAATGCAAAAGCCAAGTGTTAGAGACCTGTTATCAAGTGATACTGTTACTGGTGGAGGGTGTCCAGGTTCTTGACATCTTGACAAAGAATTGAACAAACACACACAAACAAAGCAAGGAAAGAATGAAGCAACAAAGCAAAGATTTATTGAAAAGGAAAGTACACTCCACAGGGTGGGAGCAGGCCTGAGCACAGGGGCTCAAGAGCCCCATTACAGAATTTTCTGGTGTTTCAATACCCTCTAGAGGTTTCCACTGGTTACTTGGTGTATGTCCTATGTAAATGAAGAGGATGAAGTAAAGTTACAAAGTCATTTACTCCGTGTATGCCCTGTGTAAATGGAGAGGATATTTCCTGTCATAGCTGAATCGAATCCATTTGATTTAGTTCTAGGAAGTCAGCATGAATCAGCCTTATGTTCCCCGCCTTCAGACCCATTCTGCTGCCTCAATACTTTAGGCCCTCAATTAAGCTTCTGAATAATCAGATGACATTCACTCAACATATGTTTATGGCTCAACTGCTATGTGCCAGACACTGGGCTAGGAACTTGGGACACATTGATGAACAAGAGAGGTGGTCCCTGCTCTCCTGTTGCTCACAGCCTTGGAAAAGTGATTAGACAGAAAATTCTGTCATAAGTTCCGGCACTAGGCACTTGAGAGCAGATGGTAGGAGGAGTTTTCACCCAGACTAAGAAAGTCAGACAAGGCTGGAAGGCTGTGTGGGGGAAGTAGTATCTAAGCAGTGACCTGAGGAAGAGGATGAGGATGAGCCAGCCCAAGGGATGTGTGCAGACCTGTGTCACATGGTAGGGCAGTACACAGGGACATCCAGCGGGCAGAGGGAGTAGCTTGTGTGAAAATAAGAGATGAGAAAAAGCATACTGGGTTCAACACACACAGAAAGACACTTAGTGTGGCTGGAACTCTGAGAAGGGAAGAGAGAAAGGTCGAGCAGGGTACTGGACACTGCAGCCCTTATCAGCATGTCAAGGGGTGGACCTAGAACAAAAACCTAAACACAGTCCCCAAATGGTAGAGTATTTTCATCAAAGAATATTTTTTTCTTAAGAAAAATTATTGTAAATGCTAGAAAGTTTTTTTTTTTTTTTTTTTTTTTCTCCCTCACCCTCAAATTTACCTTGAAACAGACTTGAAACCTGGACTGTATCTAAACAGCTGAATGTTCTTCATTTAAAACTAGCAAGGAATGGGGGCCAGTATTCCCTTGTCTACTGAAATGGGATTTGGACATTACACAAAGGAAAGAAACCAGTATCATGGTTGGCTATTTTCCTCCTCACTCCATTCCTGAAGTCACCCATTGGTCCCACCTGCACTGACATTGTGCAAGCAAGTTGCCGTTTCCTCTTACTCATTTTTCAACCCTCTATTTGACTTTGCTATGACCTGATCTATTTTCAGTCCTCCTCCTATTTTTGTTAATTTCCCAAATGCATGCAACTAGCCATTACTTCTTTCTTTACCCTTTGGAGGACAAAATTGGCAGTATCCTTTTATAGTCGTGTCTCTGAGGACACTTCAAACCTTATGAAAATTCCATTTTTTTTTTTCCTTATGGGAAATTCTGTCTGGTTCTAAAGGCGAGTATGTGGTAGTATCCTTTCAGTTATCCAAGTAGATTTATATTCCTTTCTGTGTTTTAACATTGTACATTTGTATGAAATACAATGTAAAAATAAAATGCGAACCATGCATGAGATGTTCCTATGTAACTGGAGGAACATAGATGAAAGACATCGTATTTCCAGAGAGCCCCTTCTCATCGAAGGTGTTCCTCTGGCCAAACCAACAGATGCTAAAACATAGGAAAATGGAAGTTGATTGTTTTAAAGGAGAGAATGCTTTGGGAAGTATTGGTCCTTTACTCCTCACATGGGTATGCACTGTAGGCATCACAGTTCCCTGCTACCGTGGTGATACTGTGTCTCTCCTCTGGGGCAAACTTGGCCCCGAACGGACCATTCTGCCTCATTTACTCATGCCCCACAAAGGGCTGAGCTCATCATAGCGTCATCTGATATGCCGGTGGCCCATCTGGTCACCAGGCACCCAGCTCCCAGGGACATGGAATTAGGCCATCTCAAGGGAATGCCAAGGGCGAAAGTCTGCAAACCTTTTCGGCATGAGTTCGGGGCTTAATGCATCATGACTGGAGGTTTTTCAAGCCCATGTCTGAATTGTTAAGAGATTAGAGCCTCAATCAAGCCAGAACTTTAGACTCTTTGGGAGTGAGGTGGAGGATAAAGCCCAGCTATGCTCCAGGAAGAGATGTTCTCTGCACCCTTACAATACGGAGAAGATGCTTCGTGGAAAGAGCGTTTTCTTTGAGACGTCAGTTTTTAGGCTTCTCTCTTCACCTAGGACTCTGGGCGGGAAGTCTTTACTGCTGCACAACTGCGCCTTTCCTACCTGCAGCCCCTGGGCTCGGGCAACAGAAAGCAGCTCTTCCCCCCGGACCCTCCTGCAAACTTGACATTCTTGCAATCAAGTCCGTGCACTGTCTAGTGGGGGATTTCAGACTGTTTTCTTATTACTAAATGGAGAGGTATTAACAACACAATGCAGAAATTAAAAAAAAAAAAAAAAAAAACAAAGGCAGAGGGTGGGGAACAGGGGAAGAAAAGAAAAGACAGCCGCCTGCGCTTTTCTTCTTGGTATTATTATTTGTGACAAAGCCCTCGGTCCATTTTTCTTCATAATTTGCAGGACTCCTAATGGGAACAGCACCTCCCAATTACCATGGCTGCCAAAGGCTAATTTGGTTACCCTCCGGATCCACAATAGCGAAACTGTGTCGAGCCTTTGTCGATATTTGCATACTATACATACCAGGAATGTAAAACAGCTGCTTGGCCCCTCTCCCACTATCATGGCAATTATGGGTCATTAGCTCCCCCGCCCCCCACTCTCCCTTTTTCTTGTTCTCGTCTTCCAGGGTCTGGTAGGCCCTTGTAGGCAGCTGACGGATTTGCAGAGACAAGAAATGAGAACGCGGAGCTACGTGGCCTATTTGTTCAGCGTCGAGGCTGACGGAACTGCCATTTGAATTGGCAGAGCACAGCCCCCATGCTTTTATTTCTTGATTACCTCCTTCTCATCTTTTCTTCCAGCCCTTTTGGTCCCTACCCTGGCTCCCGGCTCTCTTGAGGAACTCTCTCTCTCTCTCTCTTTCTCTCTCTCTCTGTCTCTCACTCGCTCGCTCTTGGTCTCTCGCTCTCTCTCGGAGGCTCCGTGCACGTGTCTATGCGTACGCATTTGTCCTGGCAGCCCGATGGACCTCTGGGCCAGGCGTGCGCTGGCACTTGGAGCAGGGGCCCACGCGTTCTCTTCCTCCGGGGTCACCCTCGGAGGGATCGGGCCTCAGATGTGCACAGCCAGCCCCCAGACCCTAAGCTGATCCACATTCAGAGGAGGGGATGTTTCACTTTCAAGTTTGTTCATTGAATTCTAACCCCATGGAGGGGGAAGAGGGAGCGGAGGAAAAGAAAGAACAAGAAAGGATTTAGCTACGAAGCTCTCTCTCTTTTGCAACGATGTGTTGTGTCTTGCGGTAGTTAATGGGAAGTTATGGTTTTGAATATAATTTTTTCCCTTCAAGCTGCTAATTTTATTGACAATATGGATAGATTGAAAGATCCAAAGCTTTTGTGTTGTTTTGTTAAAGCGAATAAGTGAGGCACAAATGTAAATTACATCTCCAGGTTCACATTAGAGGTTTGCAAATAATACTGAGCT
Organism: Homo sapiens; assembly: GCF_000001405.40. NCBI lineage: Eukaryota > Metazoa > Chordata > Mammalia > Primates > Hominidae > Homo > Homo sapiens. Next base: position 73,482,785 of record NC_000016.10, on the reverse strand, counting down.
AATGGTTATTGCAAAGGAAAATAGCACTGGGATCAATATTCTATACAGTGGAAGGCGATACCTCTCTCTCTTTTAATCACCTCATTGCAGAAATGGCATTGAAATTTGAAATCTCATTTTCTCCATTTGTACAAATTGAACATAAATCACTATGAGTGAGGGGAGGTGGCAGGCAGCTTCACTCTTTGCGGGATTGCATTACTAATTAGTGTTGGGCTAAAGCCCTACACAGCCTGGAGAGGCTTCCCGAGACCTCTGGCCAAATGCAAGATGCTTTGGAGAGTCTGGATGTGTGCAGGGAGGGGCCGGACCCCTCTAGCAGGGAGTGGGTGAGGCGGTGGTCAGCCCTGCAAAAGAAGGGATGTGAAGGGCCGATCCTCACACGTGATGCCATTTTCTGGGCTGGGATAGCAGATCTCCACCAATTCTCTTAGATTTCAGTGGGATCAGAATGGATAGGACCTCACTGTTCCTAGGAAGGGGCAAGGTAGATGTTGGCTTGCAAAATTTGCCTTTCATCTGTGGCTGCAGGAGTAGGGACTGGGGTGCCAAAGGATGGACAGCCTAGCTTAACACAGGCACTGCTGTATCAGCTCCCAAGGCCACCCCCTGTGTCTCAGCACCAATCTCCACTCCCTTCCCTCTGCCCTTCCCTTTCCTTCATTTTTCCACTCGTATACACTTGCGCTGAGTGGCTCTCACAGCTCTAAGCTGGGCAATAGATATTATTTACAAAGGATATTCAGAGATGTCAAAGGGCCTCTGATATGTACCCACTTCAGTTCCATTTTCTCCAGTTGCTCAAATGTTACTTACACTGGACTTGATTTATTGGCTATGGGGTCATCATGACAACAGGGCTCAAGACCTTTCTCACCCTCCCTGGGCTGACATAACCCATGACCGTGCATTTCTGGGCTGGGCAGATATGGGAGAGTATGCCGTATTTTAAACAAAAGGGTGAAGAAACTGACATCTAAAATGTGGTAGGCAAGCTGGGCACATTGACTCATGCCTGTAATCCCAGGACTTTGAGAGGCAGAGGTGGGAGGATCACTTGAGGCCAAGAGTTTGAGACCAGCTCGGGCAACATAGTGAGACCCTATCTCTACAAAAACAAACAAACAAACAAACAAAAACAAACAAACAAACAAACAACAACAAAAAAACAACACCACGCACATTAACCAGGCATGGCTGGCATGCACCTGTGGTCCCAGCTACTCTGGAGGTTGGGGTAGGGGGGATCACCTGAGACCAAGAGTTTGAGGCTGCAGTAAGCCGTGATCATAGCACTGCACTCCACCTGAGCAATAGAGTGAGACCCTCTTTAATTATTTAATTAATTAAAAAGTAATACTAAAATTTGGTAAGGGGAGAAGAGAGGACAGGAAAGCAATGTGTCAACTTGGCTGGCAGAACTTCTGGATTTAGGACTTTGTTCTTTTTTTTTTTTTGAGATGGAGTCTCACTCTGTTGCCCAGGCTGGAGTGCAGTGATGCGATCTCAGCTCACTGCAGCCTCCACCTCCTGGATTCAAGTGATTCTCCTGTCTCAGCCTTCCAAGTAGCTGGGATTACAGGTGGGTACCACCATGCCTAGCTAATTTTTGTATTTTTAATAGAGTCAGGGTTTCTCCATGTTGGCCGGGCTGGTCTCAAACCTGACCTCAAGTGATCTACCTGCCTCAGCCCCTCAAAGTTCTGGGATTACAGGTGTGAGCCACCACACCCAGCCCGGGATTTAGGACTTTGTTCTTAAAGATTTGGGAAGACCTAGCACAGAGAAGAGTTGCCGAGACCGAGTCCTTGACGTGTCTTTGCAGAGGCCACTTACCCTTTCCCTTGAAGTAAATAACATTCTGTTGGGTGATTAATGGAGGCTATTTAGTTCATTAAACTTGATACCCTGAGGGCAGGATGAACTGGTAAAATATTTATATATTTATATGTGAGGCTGCTCCCATAAGGGCCAATGTGTGTAGATAAACCAAAAATGGAACAAGCTAGTGTCTGGCAATGTGGGCCTCAGCAACAGCTACTGACACTCACATCTCCCCATGAAGCTTAGGGGTCCCTGTAAGATTGGAGAAAGACACCTCTTCACTCCAGCCAGAGTGGCCGTTTAGAAGGCCACCATGCATCCTGCTGTGGGGAAACAGGATGGCCAGGCAATTGCAAAGCCAACAGCACTGCAAACATTCCAGGCACATTCTGCCCTCTGCTGCCTGCCACTCCATCCCCACACCTGGGGAGAAAAGCAGAGTGACTCCCAGAGACTTACCACCCAGGAACTTTTCGTCCTTTGCCTCATCCTTAGCAGTGGCAGGAGGAGTTAAAAATAGGGGAGGTGAGGGGGAAAACTGGAAACAAGGTTCATTACCTAAGGTTCCTCTCATCCATTTCAATAGATGAAAGCAAAGAAAATAAAGCAAAACCCATCCAAACAGTAAGCAGGTGGTGGCCGCTAATAGAGAAGAAATAAAAACCTTTTAGGAATCGGAGCCTACTACCAAACACACTGACAAAGTGGAATGAAAGTTCTGAACAATCAGTTCAAAGAAAAGGGTGTTTGAAATAAACCCTTAAAAACATTTCAAATGCTGAAGGAAAAAAAAAAAATAGCTGCTTTAGATATCTGAAGCCAGGACGATTTAATCTGGAGAAGGGACTTTTTGGATATTACTGGAGGAAAAAAGAAAACAAAAAGAAAGAGATTGAGAGAATGAACTGAGGAGTCCTTGAAAGTAGTGAGGTTCAGAGAACAAAACCGGCATCAGGTCCCCACGACTGCCAATCACAGCAGGTTCATCACCAACTCCTGGGTTGACCCGGAGCTTTTAACCTCCCCATGCCTCCATTTGCCCAGCCATAAACGGGGGTTACTAATAGGCATGTCCTCTCACCCTCAAGGTCCCCAAGGAGGTTTAATAGGATAATGGACCTGATCCTATTGATGGAGAATGTGTAACTGCCACATTGTGACCCCTACCTTTACAGGCCAATCAGGTATCCTCCTCCCAGAGGCTTTCCAGGACCCTCCCCTATTTGGTGAGTTTCAACATTCATTCAATCATTTCCCATTACATATGCCTGCTATGTCACCATATAGGAGGCATGGTGACACAGGATGACAGACTGAGGAAGAAAGAACACACAGTGCCCTCCCTCAAGCTGATCACAGGTTGAAGGAGGCAGGCGTGTTAACAGGTGATCATATAACAGAGTGCAGGAGCATGCCTGGGATGTCTCAGGAGTGCAGCCCAGAGAGGCTTCCAGGAGGAGGTGATGACTACGTTTGTTTCTGGCAGAAGGGCAGAAGTAGCTGGATGTCAAGGCTGAGAAAGGTATCTCCAGCCAAGGTAATAGCATGGATGAAGGATGAGTGGAATGAGTTTCGTGACTTGTATGGCAGGGGTTTGGGGTGCAAGGACAGAGTGGAGGCAGAAGAGCCTGGAATGGGAAGCAAGAACTTCAGCAATGTGTAATTGTTTAGGTCAAGAATTGCAATCAGCTGCTGGGTCTGGAGGTTGGTAATGAATAAATATGGCAGCTCCCCAGTCATTAGCAACACTTATTTTTCTGAACATCTCTCTTGAACAGGTGGCTTCCATCTTCAAGCTCATGTCATTGGTAAGGAAGGGAGGGTGGATAGGGCAGAACCACTCTGCAGGCTCTAGCACAGTCTTTTACAACAAGGGAGGGGTGAGTCTGGTTTTGTTTTGTTTTGTTTTTGAGATGGAGTCTTGCTCTCTTGCCCAGGCTGGAGTGCAGTGGCATGATCTCGGCTCACTGCAACATCTGCCTCCCGGGTTCAAGCAATTCCCCGGCCTCAGCCTCCTGAGTAGCTGGGATTACAGGCGCGCACCACCATGCCTGGCTAATTTTTTGTATTTTTAGTTGAGACAGGGTTTCACCATGCTGGCCAGGCTGGTCTCGAACTCCTGACCTTGTGATCCTCCTGCCTGGGCCTCCCAAAGTGCTGGGATTACAGGCTGGAGCCACCGCGCCCAGCTTGAGTCTGGGTTTTATCTGGGGAGTGGTCTGTGACCTTAATCAGATGGGATTTGCAATCATCCTGTACGACACCCTATCAGATATTTGCACCTCAATTATCTGTTTATACAAGAGCTAGAAGTCCTAAGGGATGGGCACATAGGAAAACACTTTGAAGAGAAAAGGATAAGAAAGTTTGGACATTTGCTTAAGTGAAAACAAAACCCGAGACTCTTAATATATAGGGTACCAAGAGGTCCCAGTTTGCCCAGGGGAATCCTGGTGTATACCTATTATCTCTTCATCTTGTCCACTTTGGATGTGTCACAGATTATACCTTTATTATTTTTAACAAAGTGCTGTTATTTATTACTGCATTAAAATAAACTAGCAGGGAAGAAGCCTGGATAGCTCAGTTGGTAGAGCATCAGACTTTTAATCTGAGGGTCCAGGGTTCAAGTCCCTGTTCAGGCATGTCATATGGCTTTTAGTACCTAATTCTGACTTTTTTTTTTTTTTTTTTTTTGAGATGGAGTCTCGCTCTGTCACCAGGCTGGAGTGCAGTGGCGCAATCTCGGCTCACTGCCACCTCCGCCTCCTGGATTCAAGCCATTCTCCTGCCTCAGCCTCCCGAGTAGCTGGGACTGCAGGACCACCACGCCCAGCTAGGTTTTGTATTTTTAGTAGAGACGGGGTTTCACCATGTTGGCCAGGATGTTCTCGATCTCTTGACCTCGTGATCCGCCCGCCTCGGCCTCCCAAAGTGCTGGGATTACAGGCATGAGTCACTGCGCCCAGCCTCTGACTCAATTTTTAAAAAAGAAGACAACAAAAACAACAACAAAATAAGCCAGGAGGGGTAGGTAGAGAGAGCTGCTTTTTGTTCCACCAGCTCCTGCCAAGATCTTATATAGCTGTGTGTGAGATGCTAGTTCAGAGTTCTCCTTTGAACTTGTGGTCAGGTTTGAAAGACGACCAGTGATACCCAAGCCCTTTTGTTACTCTGTTCCAGACACAAGGTAACTGACACCCCATTCTCAAGGGATGTGAAGTGTACCCAGATATAAGCACGTGAGATCAGCCAGGTTCTCCAGGTGAGAAGTGACTGCTGCTGCCCTACCGGCTACCAGTGCAGAGTGCTGGGGCCCGTGGTGTGCAGCCTGCCACCATGATGCCTGTTGGCAGGGTCCGCGGGAACTGTGGAAACCAGAGGGTAGGTGTGCAGGAAAATATTGGTCCATGCAGGACACAGAGGCTGAGCAGCCCCACCATAGAACATAGAATAGTCTGAATGCTCTTACAATACCAGTTTTGCATTTATTATATAATTGACATTTGCAACTATTGATTTTATTATTTGGTAACATTTTTATTTTGAAGTAATCCCTTTTGGCAGCCATCAGCTCCAAAAACCACATGTACATGTTTAATGAAAAATTAGGTACTGAATTTCCTTACTCACGAAAGCCAATGTACATGTAACTTGCACAAAAATGTTTATCAATATTTACCATTTATTGTGGCAGATGACCACACAGAAAACAAGATTTGCTAACAGAATATCAGCATTTAATTTTAAAAATCGGTAGTTATTTTAAGAAGACTTTCCTATAGATGAATTCACATGTGAATCTGTAGCAGGTGGGCTTACAGATTCTTCTACAAAGCATGATTTTTCATTGTTATCAAATGACTGTTTCTTTGCTAAATTTCTAAAATTTTTTTCTTCCAAGTTTTTGTTATGCAGGTGCAAAACATGTAGTGCCTACACTTAATGTATTGGCATTTGAGACAGAAGAAAAATTGCAAACAGTTTAAAGGCTATCTGTTTTATCAGTGCTATTGGAGACTTCACAAAGAAAATGCATAAGTTTTAATAATTGGTTCAAATTTTCACTTCCACTTCAGGAAATCAAATTATTAAAATTTCTGAAAGTTCATTCTAAAGAAGGTGAAACATCTGACTTATTGTTAATACTAGTAATACTCCATTTTTTAATGAACTTGTTAGTTTAACATTGAAAATGAAGTTACTAAATTTTGTGGTGATAACACCCACCCAAACTTTGGTGAAGCACAAATTCATGGTAAAAAGCAATGTCAATATAAAATTAAGAAACTTATGAGACAGAAATAGGTTTGGAATTTGTTTTGGTGTTCATATAATTCACAGCTTCCTCCCACTTGCTGCAATGTTAAATCAATTAAAAATTGTAGTGGTTTAAATTTACAAATATTTGTGTATACTCCATTAGAGCAATCAAGCCACAATATTCTTGTGATGAAGTTGATGTTGAATATTAAAAAATACTTTAGTGTGGCAGTGTGGACTTTTTATCTTTTTGCTGCTTGCCATCAATGGAGTTTTTCAAGAGTTTGCACCTTTGAAGAGTTTCTTTGTAAATCAACCTACACGTTCTGCAGTGGTTTTGAACTTCTTTTATAAATAAATCTGTAAATTGTGGTTATATTTTATTCAACACCAGTTGGATATATTTAATCAAAATCTCGAAAGAATAGAGTGCTCAAAAAAACTTTACGTTAAAATATTTAGCTTTTATTCAACACCAGTTGGATATATTTAATCAAAATCTCAAAAGAATAGAGTGCTCAAAAAAACTTTATGTTAAAATATTTAGCTAGTTGCAACTGTTGAAAATGAAGCTTGCAAACAGGAAAACAATGAACGTTATCCCTATAACAGAAAGAAAAGAACCGAACAAATTAAAAGTTGAGAGTTCAAAAATTATGCAAGATTTCCTGTTCAAAATTACGATTTCTTTTTGGAATACCTTAACCTCTGGGAAGAATCTTTTGATATTTCTGTTTTTATTTGGATACATTTATATTTTTATTCAATGGAATGAAATGGAAAGACCTATGATTTGGAATCATAAGTTGAGACAACTTATCTAAAGAGTTTTTCCCTTTAAAAATACCTGCCAAAGTGCTTGGGAGGTAAAAAGACAGTATATGAGAAAATATTTGGGCTAAAGTATTTATATATTTTAATCTGAAAAAATAGAAAATTGGAATATACTCTAGCAGAGTTTGCTCTGAATTTATAAGACATCTCAGTAACTTTGGAGAAAGTATTTTCTCAATTAGAAATGTTATTATAATCTTCAGTAACATTCAATTGAGGAAGTTAACAGTTTCAAATTTATTAACAACAAAATGCAACTTTAGTACTTTTTATATGTAATACTTCAAAAAGCATTAAAGTGCAACTTTGAGGAAGAGTATATGATATGCAACTTTATGAAAAAAAGATTAAAAAATAATGTTTAAAATATACATCCTTTAGGCAAATACCATGATATAATAATATTAGAAATAGATATGACAAAAAAATAAAATACATGCTAAACAGTATTGTTCTGCTAACGGTATTGTTTAGCATTCAAATAAGAGATTCAATAAGATAAATTATTTTCATTTTGCTTTCATGGAAACAGATATATGTTACATTTATTTGGTAGAAGGAATTTTATTTTTGAAACTAGGTTTTAAATAAAATTATTTTGTAAGTCCACGAATATCGTAAAGTCAGTGTATTGGTGAATACGCTAATATTTTAAATTACGTAATTTTGATTATTCCCAGCGCTATCTTTTATTCTCAAAAATGTGAGAGTGGCCTCCCTATAACAGAAATAAAAACTGAAGAACTACTCAGCAAAAAGAATTAAGAAATGGATCGAAGAGTCAGAGAGCAGAGGGAAGGCAGGAAGACAGAGGGAGGGAGACAGGATGAGGAATCCCAAGAGACAGTAGTGAATCCCTGAAAATGGCCCAGTGACCTCATCATACAGGGTCCCTCTGGTGGCAATTACCCACCCACTCCTCCCAGCCCCATTTGGAAAGAAATAATGTATCAACTAGAGAGACAGTACTGTCAATGGTTGATTCTTTCCTTTACCCACTCATCTCTTACCCGCTGGCTCCATCATTCATAGGTTAATCGACATAACCAACCACGAAGCATTTGTTGAGCATTTACTATGTGCCAAGCACTTTCTTAGGCACTGGTGATGTGCAAAATGGAATGAGACTAAAGTCAGGGTGTGTATAGTCTAGTTCCAGAGCAGGGCAAGGAAGCTGCCAGCTGGGATGGAGACCTGGAGGGGACCCAGAGGAGCATCTGCTTGTAAGAGGGGACTAAAGAAAACTCAGGGGGCTGATGCCAGGTTCTCCGCTTGAGTCAAGCTGCTGCCTCCACTGCCACCCCCACCACTGCTTCCTCCTCCTCCTCTGGGAATGCTAGTTCACCTGTTGGAGTTTTATATAAAAATGCAAGCAAATGCTCTCTGCTTTTGATATTTTTTAATAGTAAAAGAAGAGGCTGGGTGCGGTGGCTCATGCCTGTAATCCCAGCACTTTGGGAGGCCAAGGTGGGTGGATCACCTGAGGTCAGGAGTTCGAGACCGGCCTGGCCAATATGGTGAAACCTCCATCTCTACTAGAAATGCAAAAATTAGCTGGGCGTGGTGGCACACACCTGTGATCCCTGCTACTCGGGAGGCTGAGGCATGAGAATCACTTGAGCCTGGGAGGTGGAGGTTGCAGTGAGCTGAGATCATGCCACTGCACTCCAGCCTGGGTGACAGAGTGAGAGAGAGCGAGACTCTGTCTCAATAAATAAATAAATAAATAAATAAAAAAGAGCGAGAATCCAGACCCCAAAGAATTTCCTTTGGTGTGGTTTCCAACTCTTGTTTCATTCCTGTCTGGTCTCAGACAGTGTCCTGGGAAGACTTTTAGGACCCAGTAGCCATTTCCTATCTCAGGTTCCTTGTGTGTTGTTTCTGGGCACAGAAACAAATCCAATTCAAGCAAATAATGCTGTCATCGGGATCTTGTGCAGGCATCAGAAGGGAGCAGGCCTGGCCAACGGAGTGCTCTGTTTAAAATATCTTGCGATCTTCAGAAACATTTGTTTTTATTCAGAAGTGTTCATTTGATGCTTCCCTGACCCACACAGTTTCCCTATGGGCTTAAGCTCCCATTTGTTAAAGAAACAGATGGGAAAACCAGTTCAATTTGTGTTTGTTTTAGCATTTAAGACAGCTTACCATGAGATGGTAGAGTTTGGATATTGCAGGTAGCAACATGTTCTTTTCAGCAGGTGTGCAAGGGAACAGAATCATACAGCTGCTTCAGAGAGGTGGAAGCAGGAACCCACCCAATTCCACGGAATAAGTCAGTGGGTGGCACCGAAGTGGAGCCCTGTGATTCTACTCTGGTCTCATATAATTCGAATGAGTCGATCAAACATAGGCCAGGACTCTCAAGCGTTGGGCAGATTTTGCCAACTGCTGTTGGTTTTCTCATATGTCTCCTACCTTATTTTCGCCTCCCCTCCCATTCAAATGGAATGATTCCATACACAAGTCAGCTCACATAGCTTATTATTTTGTTTTTTTTTTTTTTGTTTTTTTTTTTTTTTTTTGCTTTGAGACAGTCTCGCTCTGTCTCCAGGGCTGGAGTGCCATGACACAATCATAGCTCACTGCAGCCTCAGCCTCCTGGGCTCAAGTGACCCTCCCACCTCAGCATCCTGAGTAGCTGGAACCACAGACACACACCATCACGCCTAATTTTTGTATTTTTTGTAGAGATAGGGTCTTGCTATGTTGCCCAGGCTGGTCTTGAGATCCTAAGCCCAAGTGATCCTCCTACCTCAGCCTCCCAAAGTGGTGGGAATAGAGGCATGAGCCACTGTGCCCAGCCCATCTTATACCTGATACATCTTCATCCAGGGGCCCCTGTACTAGTCAGGGTCCTGGCAAAAAAAAAAAAAAGACAGCACACTCAATGTGTTAGTTTAACAAAGAGAGTTTAATAATGGGACAATTTATGGAGGTGAAAGGGTAATGGGAATTGACAAGAGATGATGAAATCCCTCAGTGGACCAAGGTGGCAATAGAAGGAACCATGCTTCTGGGCTGGGCGAGACCTGCAGCTGAGGGAGAGAGGTGGTGTGCCAGGAGCTGTGACCACAGGGAAAGGGACACAGCTACTGCCCAAACCATGGTGAGGCAGGAAGGAGCTGGACTAACCAATCCCCTGATCGCTGACCTCCTTCTGGGCCTTCCCATTGGCCAAACCCAGCTGAAGACAAGCAAATCTAGGTGATGCAGTCTGGAGAGGCCAGTCTCATGGCACAGACGGTAGGACGGAGAAGGAGGGAAAATGAAGGGTGAGTCTGGAGTGGTAAATAGAATAATACCCTCCTGACTCAGGCACTCATGATCCATCCAAAACTCAAGAGGCTATTTCTCCCACTTCCCACTGGTGAAGTAGAAAATTCTCTCTTCCAATGTGGTGGAGCTTTTTGGCAGTGAACTTGAAGCTTTGTGGCTTCATCAAAATCCAGCATGGGCAACAGCCTGCCAGTACTGAGTTTCTTAGTTTTACCAAGCCAGCTAAGTGTGACTTCACATCGTGCCACCATGGGCAAGAGAATCCAAGAGCTATGTCTTTGGGACTTTAGATATGCTGTTTTTTTTTTTTTTTTTTTAAGATTTAAAAAGTAGAATCCTGACCTGAGAGTCTGAAAACATGGGCTCATGTTCCAGGCGGCTGTGGGGCTTTTGATAATTCTCCCTGGGTGTTTTCTCATCTGTAAAATAAGGAACTTGGGGGTAGAAGTTGGTTTAAGACCCTTTTGGTTCTAACATTCAGTAGATCTTTAAATCAAAACCAAAAGACTATTAGGAGGAATGATAGGCTTCTCCAGGTGAAGTGAACCAGCCTCAGAAATGAGTCCGTGGGGAGGAAGAGGAGGTTCTGAGGTGCTCAGGGCACTGGATCAATTGAGCATCACCTTGTCAGGATCAGAAAGTGGGGAGGAGGATCACCACCATGCAGCGGGCTTGCTCCTGTTTGAAATGCTAGCTCCTCTCAGATGTCTCAGAATGCTGCAGGGTTTTTTCCAGGCTAAGACTAACCCTAAAGATTCAAGCAGCTTCCTCATTTTCTCCTTTTCCAGCAAGAGGAAAAGAGATACTTGAGTCTCCTTTATGTGAGTTCTTCTCAAGTGAGATTGTCAATAAAATTCTTTTCCTGTAATTCCTTTTGACCTAGTCCTTGAGGGTATCCTGACCCCTAAAGGGTCCCCTGAGCCCTCCTTTTACTCCTCTCACCCAAGTCAGTTGGATGTGCAGTGAAGGGTAAAACTGAAGATGAATGATGTTTAGAAAGAAAGAGATTCATGGCCAGGTGCAGTGGCTCACGCCTGTAATCCCAACTACTTGGGAGGCTGAGGCAGGAGAATCACTTGAACCTGGGAGGTGGAGGTTGCAGTGAGCCAAGATTGCACCATTGCACTTCAGCCTGGGCGACAAGAGTGAAATTCTGTCTAAAAAAAAAAAGAAAGAAAAAGAAAGAGATTCACAAACTAGATTGGTTACATGCCCACATGTAACCAATGTAGGGCATGAATAGCCTACCTTGGCTAATCTCTTTAGCTATGACTTGCAGTGGTGCATGGTCAATCACTATGGTCGATCACCTCGGAAAGGTACATCTGTGCTCCACTTGCCTTTTTGTAAAAACAGCCCAAGAGCAAAAGCTGTACCAGTTACACATCCTAAGAGCAATCAAGATTCCTACACGGCACCATTAATTGTTGACTATGATAACGCATCTTGTTATCAGCTTTTCTTTGATGAATTCCTGAATAGATGTCATTAGACATTAAGTGCTACATTACTTCCTCTAAAGAGAAATATTTAAAGAAAAAAAAATCATGTCCTGAATCAGCCCTGAATGCCATCCTTAGCAATCTCAAACCACACTGTAGAATCCTGTTCTTCTTAGTGAGATGCTCACATTCACTTCTTTGCCTTCTGAGAATATGGATCTTTGAGGATAGAAATGAAGAGTAGATGTTCACCCAAAAAAGGGGTAAGAGAGTTTATATTCTAAGAAATTGACTGGATCCCCCAGGAAACAGGTAGCCGTGATGAGGTATAGATAAACAATCTCAGTTTTTCAGCACCCTGTGTAGGGAATTAAACTCACAACTTCCATGTTAATGATACTTTCACATTTAATTTCCTGTGTGCCACGCTGAAAATGTATCTGTTGAAAGTGGAATTTCACTCCATAGAGCTGTCTTATTACATGAATGCGTGTGAGGTTGTACCTGTCACAAGATTCTGGAAGCTCATTTAGAACTATAATTTGGGGTGTGGGGGACGAAGCAGAAAGGTTTGTGCCTTGTAGGACTATCACTGTTTTCTCGATGACATTATTACTATTGGTAATTGGTTACTCATTAGCACTAAGCATTAATTATTAATATTAATAAAAGCTGTGTTAAGCACTAGTGGTGTGCTTTCTGCTGTGCTCAACATGGGACACTCTAGATCAACGGTTTAGCAGACAACACGCTAAACGTGAAGGCAGATACAGACCAGGACTGTCTGGATTTCTGTCTGGGATGGTCTTACTTATTATAGGACATGGCCTGGGTTTCTGTCCGGGACGGGCTTGCTTATTACAGGACGAGACAGCTTTGCATAAGTAGATGATGCGTTGAAGCCCCCGTGAATATAGGAAAAGTGTACATTAGCAGGAGAAATGAAAGCGTCAAACTCGCTACTCAGAGTGTGTTCCCAAGATGGGCGGTATTGTCATCCCCTGGGAAGTTATTAAAATGCAGAGTCTTAGGCCCCATCCTGGACCTCATGAATAAGAATCTGCATTTCGGTGCCCTCCCAAGGTGATGAATATACACATTAGAGTTGGAAGACTATCATTCTGGAGCAGTGATTCTCCAGCTTTTCCGCACATTAGAATCATGTTGGGAGTTCTGAAAAATCCCAATGCCCAAGCTTCACCCCAGACCAATAAAATAAAAATCTTGAGGCTGGGCACAGTGGCTTATGCCTGTAATCCCAGCACTTTGGGAGGCTGAGGCGGGTGCATCACGAGGTCAGGAGTTCGAGACCAGGCTGACCAAGATGGTGAAACCCCATCTCTACTAAAAATACAAAAATTAGCTGGGAGTGGTGTCAGGAGCCTGTAATCCCAGCTACTTGGGAGACTGAGGCAGGAGAATCACTTGAACCTGGGCAGCAGAGGTTGCAGTGAGTCGAGATCACGCCACTGCACTCCAGCCTGGGTGACAGAGTGAGATTCTGTCTCAAAAAAAATATATATATATATTGGAGGTTGGGACTAGGTACCAGGATGTTTTTAAAAGACCCAGGTGATTTCAATGGGCATCAGCTTTGAGAACTTCTGCTCAAGAAGACAGTGACACCAGGTTAACATAGAATTCTTTGAGAACCTGCAGAACTCATATTCTAATCCTTAGAGTAGATCCAAGATGGCAGTACATATACAGGTGCTCTGTTCTGCCCTGCACACCTCCCTTTGACAATGTTCCCCTCTCCCCACCGCACCCCTGTTCATCATCCTCCAAGAGCCCCCAGCTCTTCAAGGAACCTTGTCTGGCCCTTCTTGGCTCTATGTTCGCTTGCTGCTTCCCTGAAGTTCTCTTGGACCAGTGTTCTCTTGCTCTATTCCAGCTTTTGTTGCTTGTTCTCCCCTCCAGGTGAGATCCCTTGTCTAGGATTTCTTGGCTCTCCAGCAGCCTCTGTCCTTTCCAAGGTTCAGATTATCTATCAAGGTCGAGGGGCTGGGTGGTGGGAAAGACTGGGGAGCCCCACTCTGCATCCTCCTGCATTTTAACAGTGGCCTCTACAGATAAGGACCTTACCAGTCTTTTGAATTGTTGGAAGCCTCCAGTTCTTATCTCTATCATGAGGATGCTACTACCTACCTTACAACTTTGCTTGTTAAATTCTAAAGCACTTATCACACAGCTTCTTCTTTCCTTCTCCTCCTCATTATGCAGTCAATCCAGAAAGGAGACCATTGTGGTAGAGGCCAGTTGATAAAGTCAGAGCTGACCCTATATGAAGATAATGTAGAAAACTGTGCATTTGTGATTGGAGCATTCTAGGGAGACACTCTCCTGACTTTTGAGAAAAACTCAAATCTTTTCTCCTCCCAAATCTTTTCTCCTCCCAAATCTTTTCTCCCTTTTTTCATAGTAGTATAATTTTTTCTTTGTGCAGTGGTGCAATCTCGGCTCACTGCAATGTCTGCCTCCAGGGCTCAAATGATTCTCATACTTCAGCCTTCCAAGAAGCTGGGATTACAGGCATGTCCCACCACACCTGGCTAATATTTTGTATTTTTAGGAGGGATGGGGTTTCGCCATGTTGGCCAGGCTGGTCTCAAACTCTTGACCTCAAGTGATCCACCTGTCTGGGCCTCCCAAAGTGCTGGGACTACAGGTGTGAGCCACCACGCCTAGCTAATTTTTTTCCTGCTAGGCACATTATTGCAAAGAATAAGGACTACATATTCCAGCCTCCCTTGCAGCTGGGTGTGAAGATGTGACTAAGCCCGTATGTCAGTTTCCAGGAACCGTCCTTAAGGGGTGGCTTGTGCATGCTGTTGCCCCCTTCTTTCTTCCTTCCATCATCCTGCTGCCTGGAAGATGGGGACAGTCATCCTGGGCCAGGAGGCTGAGGACTGTCCTTAGAGGTGTGGGCGATGAGCAGGAAAGGACCAGAGTTCTTGAGATGTTTGAGGACAGCATTTTGGGCCACTTCCATTTGGACTTGGTTGATGTGAGCATGAAATGAGCTTCCATCTTGTTTAAGTCAGTTGTTTGGGACTGTCTGACATTTGTAACCAAATCTAATCCCAACTGATGCACCACCTAAAGTTTCTTCTCCACTGGCCAAAATTCCACTTCTGAAGATCTATTTCATTGGGCATTAAAGACTTGCATCAGCCTTTAGGAGAGCTCTGATAAATTACAGATTCCACAGGCTGGGTTCATAGCTTAAATCCTTACAAGCATTGTTCTTAGCAGGTTACCCAGCCCCAGAAAGGTAGACAGACAGCACTGAGGAGCTGGAAGTCAGCAGGAAGAGCAGACAAAAATCTATTCCTTCACCATTCTGCCAGCTGCTCTTTTGGGATAATTTGTCTCAGGGCCAATGAGGACGAGGGTTGATGATCTTGAATCTGTTTCCTAACTTTTTTTCAATTTTCTATTATGAACATTTTCATACATATAGAGAAGTTAAAACAAAACAAAATAAAACTTTTCAGTGAATACCCATACACTCACCACCTACGTTCAATTGTTAACAATGGAATATACTTGATTTATCACAATCTGCCCATCTGTTTGTCCCTCTGCCTGTCAATCCAGCTTTTATTTTTATTGTATTTCAAGGTAAATTGTGCCTGTCGGTGCACTACCCCCTGAATACTTCCCTGCTACCTACATCTTGTTCATTTCTACACTTTCTTCTTTGTTTCTGTTCAACCCCCATTTCCCTGCAAGTAAGGAGAGCAGGAGCTGTGGAGCCAAGAATTGTGACCTAGAGTCCACATAGGTAGGGCTTCTCTTGTCTATTCCAACACCTGAAGTTATTGGGCAGTTAATGGAAGTGGCAACCAAAGTAAGACAGAGACATTCTTTTGGAGCTATCTTGCTTCCATTCTCTCTCCTCTTCAAGATGCTCCAAGGCTGTTCTCTACGTTTCCGTGAGCTCCATAGGTCTCCCTCTCTTTTCCTGACTCCTGATTCATCCCATTTTTATGACTTCTTGAGATGCAAAGATCACTCAGTTCCCTTTAGCCAGAATCTTTATAACAACTCCATTCCTTCTCCTCAAGTAGCTCTTCCTCTACAAAGCTCTGCAGCATAGCCTTCCTCCCTTTGTCCCATCCTTAGGGCAGCTGGCCAGACATGTCAGGTCTGTCACGCTCAACCTTTGTTACCCTAAAAAAATCAGTTCGCCTCCTCTTTGCTCAAAGCTCATGCTTTGCTCTGTGTCATCTTTCTTAGTGTTCCCTGTGGTTGCAACTCAGCCCTCATCAAAGCCCCAGTCTCCTGAACATCCTCCTTCCCACATTCTAAAAATTTCAGAATATGAGATCTCCTAGCTCTGAAGAGGAAATGAGATATCTACTCAGGATTAGGTCCCTGAGCTTTCTAGTAACAACATAGGTGCCTACTGGGGTTAGTTTGATGAACACTGCCATGGGTTGAGAACAGAGAATGTGCCAGGAGTCATCTAAGTACTGTGCACACATGCATGCTCCATCATTTTATCCCCGCACCCACCCTTCCAGATCAGCTATTTTTTTTCCCTTTTCCGGATAAGAAAACTGAGGCATAGAGAAATTAAGTAACTAAATCAAGCTTGCCTAGGTAATAAAAGTCTTCTAGATGTGGGGTTTTGGTGGTGATGGTGATGGTGGTTTTGAAACAGGGTCTCACTCTGTTACCCAAGCTGGAGCGCAGTGGTGCAATCACAGCTTACTGCAACCCCATCTCCTGAGATCAAGTGATCCTCCCACCTCAGTCTCCAAAGTGGCTGGGACCACAGGTGTGTACTACCATGCCCAGATAATTTTCCTACTTTTTTGTAGAGACAGGGTTTTCCCATGTTGCCCAGGCTGGTACCGAACTCCTGGGCTCAATGGATCCAACTGCCTTGGCCTCCCAAAGTGCTGGGATTACAGGCATGAGCCACCGTGCCTGGCCTAGGTGCATTTTTTTTTTTCATGCGATTGAAAAGAATGATTTCTGTGCAGAATGTGGGCCTCCTGCTTTGTAGAGCTATAATTAAGTTCATGTTTTCATGCTGCTGGGTTTTTGTTTGTTTCCTATGACAATGTTTTTCATACTGGAATCTTCAGACCCCAAGGGTTCACCGACATTCTTGTGTTTTACCACATTTTCTTTGTGAAGAGCTCTGTGCATTCTTCCAGTTTGAGAAACCGTGGCTTAGAGGTGAGGGGGTGGGGTGGGAGTGGGGGTTGTCCCTCGCAGCCTGTCATCTCCTTACTGTCACGGCCTCCTAGACTATAACCTGGGCTGTTTAGATAGCTCTGCCCCTGGAACTTAGTCTCACAGTCCATTCAGAGTAATTCATTTTCTTATCCACCTGATCTGTATTTTGAGTTAGAAGCGGAGCCAAGAAAGGAGAGAAGAACTCAAGGGACAAGGAGAAAAGGAAGCAGTTGTATTCCAGGTAGGGGGAAGACGTAAGCAAAGACCCAGAGCTGAGCATTCGATGATGTGTTCTGAAACAGCAGAGGGGCTCCTCACCTGGGGTGCAGGACTAGGCAGGGCAGCAGGACTGGGCAGGGCAGCTTACCTGCAGAGCCTTGAATGCTGAGCTAGAGAGTGTGGACGATGCTGTAGGTGATGGGGAACCGGAGAAGGAGCAGGTAAGGAGGACGTTCCAGTCTCCAGTGAGACCTCAGAGGCACCAGGAGGAGACGGGCGAGGCAGCTTTCGAGGTGGCGGGATGTGAGATGAGGGTGGACAGGTCCCTCCTGCCTGGCCCACCAAGGAAGTGATACAGAAGAGATTCCCCTGGTCTATTCCTCAGCCATGAGAAGGAAAATACACGCCCTGAAGACTTGGCTTAGCCCTCAGACCCTCCATCTAGATTTTAGCCATTCTGCGTCTGAAAGAAACATGTTTAATTCTGTGTTTTGAGCTGTCCTCTGCTTTGGCGCAGCACGGGCTGGAGTGAGGGATAATAACTATGAACTCCAAGCCTTGAAATCAGGGAAGTGTGCTGAAGGGTCCGCTGTGTCTCTCTCAAGTACCGAGACCATTTCTGACCTCGAGCATGAGTTGAGGAGACACAGATGAGCAAGAGCAGCTGGCCGGTGTGCCGGGTCCTCTCATCTAATGATCGTGCCAGCCTGCTTAGGGCATGTGCACATCCAGCCTGCCTGCCCATGTGAAGGCGAGGCTCTCCCCTCCCGCCCAGCCTTGGTGGGCCCCTGTGATGTCACCACCATGTGTCCAGGCCTTCCAAGGGACCTGTACAACATCAACCATGCCATAGCCTTCGATGGTCAATGGACATACTAGGAAAATGAACTTTCCCATTTGACAAAGGAACGATAAAGAGAGAAGGACCCAAAGGCGGGTCTGGGACTAAGTTGGACCCCAAGCCCCTTGGCGTGACCGAGCCCCAGCACAGCTGTGACATTGGCAGCCGGCATTTGAGGCACAATAATAATTCTTCAGATCAAAGCAGCTCCGTCTTTAGACAATTATAGTAAAATTGAAGCTCTCCTCTAAAAGAAACACATGCTCGTGTTGTGTTTTCCCCTCTCCCCCCCGCCCCTTATTTTATTCTTTATGAACAAATTGGTTTTCAGGGCTATAGAAAGAACCGATTGGAAGCTTAAATTCTCACTGTCTGCCCAGGGCTGGATTCACAGGGGTGAACATGTAACATCTGAAAGCTGACTTTTTTTTTTTTTTCTTAAATTGATATCCAAGAATAAAAGAGAGAATGGTTGGAGAAGCTGATCAGGAATGAATAAAGTCTCCTTTTAAGCTGAAATAACCCCCTCCCCCATCTTCCCTCCAGAAGAGCCGGACTGTAATTGCTTGCAATCACTCGGCACAAATTGTCTCCTCGTATTTGCTTTTTAATTTTGTATAATCTGGTCCATTTCGCTCTCTCTGCCTTTGAGCTTAACCTCTCTCTCCCTCTCTCTCTCTCTTTCTCTCTTTCTTCCACTTACTCATTCCCTTTCTCTCTCCCTTTAATTCTTCAGGACTGTTTACAAATTAGTAATAATTCCCAGTAATATTTGATGGCTTTTACTAAGCAAAGGCACTTAGGAGAAAAAAAATACAGAAATACACACACACTCAAAATGGAATGGATCTGGTTTGCATCCACTTAAATGTTCATTTCTGCATCCACAGTATTGTTTATTTTAATGCATTAATGCTGTTTCTTAAGGCATGGTAGACGTTTTAATAAATAAGTTCACTGACCCCAAAGTGAGCAAAAAAAGGAGTCAGAACAAGAAAGGTAATTTCTCAGAGTCACTGCGGACCATTTTCTTCTGGTTTCCAGCAGGTGTGTGTCTGCTGCCCTTGCTCTTGCTGTAACGAACGCCCCTTCTGTTTAGTGCACTGCATATCCGTCCAGCCACCTCCCTAGCCAGGGCTTGCCCTTGTTCTTACGCTGGTGCTTCATGATATGAGGGCCAGCGAATCTGGAAGAACACACACCTGTGGGTCTGATTCACTTTCCAATAGTATAAAAGGTGATAGGAAGGTGGGGGGAGGGGTTCGACGGGGAAAAAGTCCAGAGGAAACATCCTCAATGAGCAGAGAAAAGAAGAGATAACGAAAAGAAGGGAAACGGCAGGAGGGTATAAAGGGAAAGCAAACAAAATGAAAAGCACAGGTTATACCAGAAACGATGAATGGGATCCAGGCTCAAATCTATGCCTTCTATCGTATCAGCACCATAGGCTCTGGTCTTCTGAGAGAAATTAGAGGTCAAGAGAAAGAACGTTAGTAGACAGCCTGGCTAAGAGTTTGATTTCTGTCCTGCTTCTGATCCCTACTGTGTGACTGTTCACAGCTTACTTAACTTCTCTGTACTTCAGTTTTCTTTTCTGTAAAGTTGAGGGGACAATATCACTTTCTTAATGGGATTACTTACATGAAATAACAATTGTAAAGTGCTTGGCATGTTTTAAGTACTTAGTAAATGTTAACTATTATTCCACTGTAATAGCAAATGATTTTAAGGTATCAGGGTTCAATCAGGGAAGCAGAAACTATGAGTATTATGGACTAAGAAATTTATTATAGACTTCAGACCTTGCATAATTGTGGGAGGAGTTGGGGCAGTAAGATCTGGAAGGGGAGTTGGAGTATCAGAAAAGTCACTGAAGAATTCTGACAAACATATAAAGAAGCATTAACACCAATTCTACACAATTTCAATATCATCCAGAAAAGAAGCACTTTCCAATTCATTTTATGTTGTTAACACTATATTGATGCCAAACCCAGACTAAAATAGTACAAAAGAAAACTACAGACCAGTATGCCCCATGAACATAGAGGCAAAAATCTTTAACAAAGTGTTCGCAAATAGAATTCAACATTATATAATGAGAATGATACACCGTGACTCAGTGGCATTTATTATAGGGATGTAAGACTGGTTAGATATTGAAAAATCAATCAATATAATCCACCATATTAACAGGCTAAAGAAGAGGAATGTATAATCACATGATTATATCAATTGATGCAGAAAAGTATTTGACAAAATTGAATACCTATTCATGATAAAAACTCTTAGAAATAAAGAAATAGTAACTTCATCAACTTTATAAAGAGCATCTACAAAAACCTACAGCTAGTGTTATACTTAATGATAAAAGACTGAACACTTTTCCGCTATAACCAGGAACAAGGCAAGGATGTCCACTCTTAACACTCTCATTCCAAATAGTACTGGAAGTTCTAGTCAATGTGTTAAGGTCATAAAAAGAAATCAAAGGTACACAGATAAGAAAGGAAGAAAAAGAAGTATTTTTATTTGCAAAATACATAATTGTCAACATTGAAAATCTCAAGGGATAAGGAAATTTAGGATTAGAATAAAAATGTTTTTAATCCCAAGGAATCTACAAAAAACAATAATGACAAAGCTTTTAGAATGAATAAGTTACTTCAACAAAGTCACAGGGCATAAGATAAACTTACACAAAAGCAATTGCACTTCTGTATACTAACAATGAGCACATGGAAACCAAATTAAAAATACATCATGTACCATAGCTAAAAAAAAATACGCAGGTGTAAATCTATCAAAACATGTACAGGACTTGTATATTGAAAACTGCAAAGTGCTGATGAAATAAATCAAGGAAGACCTGAATAAATGGAGAGACATTCAATGTTGATGGAAGACTCAGCATAGGAAAGATGTCAATTTTCCTCAAAACTGATATATAGGCTTAGTCTAATTCCTATCCGAATTCCAGCAAGTTTTTGTAATATAGGAAAATTATTCAAAAATACTTATGGAAGGACAGAGGAACAAGAATAGCTAAAACAGCTTTGAAAAAGAAAAATAAAGTGAGAGGAATCATCTAGCCAGTTTAAAGACTAATTAAATAGCTATAGGAATCAATGCTGTGTGGTATTGTTACACGGATAATGAAGAAGAATAGAAAACCCAGAAATAGACCCACACAAATACTTACAAATGATTTTTGACAAAGGTATAAAAGCAGTTCAGTGGAGGAAAGCTAGCCTTTCAGTGACTGCTGCTTGTATACGTGGACTTCCATAGGTAAACAAAAGTGAACCTCAATCTTGGTTTACACCATACATGAAAATGAATCCAAAGTGGATTGCAGAATTCAATGCAAAACATAAAACTATACAACTTTTAGAAAAAAGAAGAGAAAATCTTCAGGATCTAGGACTACAAAAGATTTGTTGGACTTGACACATAAAAGCAAAACTGATAACTTAGACTCCAAAAAATTTAAAAACTTTTACTCTATGAAAGGCCTTAAGAGGAAAACAAAAAGATAAGCTATAGACTGGGAGAAGATACCTGAAACCCCATATCCAACAAAGGACTAGTATTTAGACTATATAAAGAACACTTAAAACTCAACAGTAAGAACATAAACAATCCAATTAGAAAATGGGCAAATGTCATGAAGAGACATTTCAGCAACGATGGTACACAAATGGCAAATGAGCACATGGAAAAATGTTCAACATCATTAGCTATTTGGGAAACATAAATTAAAAGGATGATGAGATATCATGACAAACCTATTATAATAAATAATTTAAAAACAGTGACAATGCCAAATTCTGGCAAGGTTGCTGTATTAGTTTGTTCTTGCATTGCTGTAAAGAAATACCTGAGACTAGGTAATTTATAAAGAGAAGAGAGGCAATTGGCTCACAGTTCTGCAGCCTGTACAGGAAGCATGATGCTGGCATCTGCTGGGCTTCTGGAGAGGCCTCAGGAAACTTACAATCACGTTGGAAGGCGAAGGGAGAGTAGGTGTATCACGTAGCCAGAGGAGGAGCAAGAAAGTGGCAGGGAGGTGCCACTCACTTTTAAATGGCCAGATCTCACGAGAACTCACTGTTGTGAGGACAGCACAAAGTGGATGGTGCTAAAGCATTCATGAGAAACTGCCCTCATGATCCAATTAGCTGCACCCAGGCCCCACCTCCAACATTGGGAATTACATTTCAACATGAGATTTGGTCAAGGACACATATCCAAACTATATCAGATGCAGAAAAATCAAGTGACTTATACATTGCTAGTGAGAATGTACAATGACACAGCTACTTTAGAAAACAATTTGGGAGTTTCATAAAAACAACAACAACAACAAGCAATTACACCACCCTACAACTGCACTCCTGGATATTTATACCACAAAGATCATTTATGGAAATTTGTGTTCACACAAAATACTGTACATGACTATTTATAACAACTTGATTTGTAATAGCCCCAAACTAGAAACAATCCAGTTGTCCTCCAGTAGGTAGATGGTTAAGCAAACTGTAGAATATCTATAACATGAAATACTACTCAGCAATAAAAAAGAGCAAACAATTGATACAGGCGACCACTTAGATGAATCATGTGAGAATTACGCTGAGTGAAAAAAAGCCAATCTCAAAAGTTTACAGACTGTAATATTCCATTTATATAACATTCTTGAATTGACAAAATTATAGATATGGAGAACAGAGGAGTAGTTGCCAAGGGTTAAGGAGAGAGTGGGAATGGGAGGGAAGGGGGTGTGGCCCAAAGGAGAGCTCCTTGTGGTGATGGAACCATTCTGTATCTTGACAGTATCAAGGTCACTATCCTGATTGTCATATTGTACTGTGGTTTTGGAAATATTATCATTGGAGGTGATATGGTTAGGCCTTGTGTCCCCACCCAAATCTCATCTTGAATTGTAATCCCCATAATCACCATGTGTCAAGGGAGAGACCAGGTGGAAGTAATTGAATCACGGGGGTGGTTTCCCCCATGCTGTTCTTGTGATAGTCAGTGAGTTCTCAGGAGCTCTGATGGTTTTGTAAGGGGCTCTTTCCCCTTAGCTCAGCACTTCTCCTTCCTGCCACCTTGTGAGGAAGGCGCCTTGCTTCCCCTTTATCTCCTGCCATGATTGTAAGTTTTCTCAGGCCTACCCAACCATGCTGAACTGTGAGCCAATGAAACCTCTTTCCTGGCTGGGCGTGGTGGCTCACACCTGTAATCCCAGCACTTTGCAGGGCCAAGGCGGGCAGATCACTTGAGGCCAGGAGTTCGAGACCAGCCTGGCCAACATGGTGAAACCCCATCTCTACTTAAAAAAAATTTACAAAAATGAGCTGGTGTGTTGGCATGTGCCTGTAATCCCAGCTACTTGGGAGGCTGAGGCAGGAGAATTGCTTGAACCCAGGAGGTGGAGGTTGCAGTCAGCCAAGATAGTGCTACTGCACTTCAGCCTGGGCGACATAATGAGACTCCATCCATCTCAGAAAAAAAAACAACAACAAAAAGACAACCTCTTTCCTTTATAAATTACCTAGTCTCAGGCAGTTCTTTATCGCAGTATGAAAATGGACTAATACAGAGGAAATGGCAAATGATACATATACATTTACCTCTGTATTGTGTCTTCAACTGCGTGTGAATCAACAATTATCTCAAAATAAAAAGGTTAGTTTTTATAAGAAGGAACTCACCACATCCAGGGACTCCATGAGCTTTTCCATTTAAAATTAACTTTTTGTGTTTTCTCTGGTCTGTTTGGAGGAATTATTCAGTATGTCTCACATACGTGTCTACTCTTTGCTATTGCCCATCTTACTGATACCCATAAACAGGGCAGATAGGTGTGATAGAAAGTGAGACGTTAAAAGCAGATGGAAGAGTTTCATTAACTCCAGTAATTAGGCAAATGAGCTTCTTGGGTAAGTCGTTTAGAATGCTATAGACAGGGATGTTTATTCTCCATGTCATCGTACGGAGGTTTCAGTTGTTACTAATATGAAGACTTACAGATATGTTAAAATGATATTGATTCCTTAATTATTTAAAACAGGGAAAAGAGTTTACAGAGCAGACAATCGGAAATCATTTTAAATGTTTTTACTAAAAAGGAAAACTATCATACAAAAGCATAAGAAAATGCGATAAAGGTTGGGGGTGACCTGGGGTAGGGAGAGGTGACCGAGGGAGCCAACCCGCATCAAGACAAAAAGCAGGGGTCTAAAGAGCAGTTCAAAAGTCAGGTGTAAGCCGAGGTGAGTGGATCACCTGAGGTCAGGAGTTCGAGACCAGCCTGGCCAATATGGTGAAATACAAAAATTAGCAGGGTGTGGTGGCAGGTTCCTGCAATCCCAGCTACTCAGGAGGCTGAGGCATGAGATTTGCTTGAACCCGGGAGGCGGAGGTTGCAGTGAGCCAAGATTGCACCACTGCCCTCCAGCCTGGGCAATTGAGTAAGACTCAGGGAGGGAGGGAAGGAAGGGAGGGAGGAAGGAGGGAGGAAAGGAGGAAGGGAGGGAGGAAGGGAGGGAGGAAGTGAGGGAGGAAGGGAGGGAAAGAAGGAAAGAGAGAGAGAGAAAGAGAGAAAGA
Source organism: Homo sapiens (assembly GCF_000001405.40). Lineage (NCBI taxonomy): Eukaryota > Metazoa > Chordata > Mammalia > Primates > Hominidae > Homo > Homo sapiens. Next base: position 73,458,272 of record NC_000016.10, on the reverse strand, counting down.
AAGAAAGGAGAAAAGAAAAAAGAATTCTACTTGGGTGTCTTGGCAGGTAACCACTCTGGGGCTGAAAATGTGTATAGAAAAGGAAGAAAGAAAAAGAGAAAGAGGCATAATAAGAGAGAGAAGGGGTTTGAAAGTAATTTCTATAAAGATAGATGTTTCTGTTGACTAACCAGGAAACAGAGAAATGAAAACCAAGTCATTTCAAGAACAGGTGTCTATTGCGGGATGGTGCAGGACAAAATGGTTCAAGTGCCTTCCTGTGAAGCCAGCACCTATAAAGTGCTGGAGAATCTGTTAAACACCTGAGCTTAAGTGCCCCTTATTTAGCTAGCTAGTGTCTCCATCTTCCTGGGAAGGAAGTTGGGATGGAAAGGAACTCCAATCAAGCTTTTCAGAGCTAGGCTGTGTGCTGAGAACTTCCCATGCATTCCTTCACTGAGTCATCACCATGAAGTAGGTATGACTCTCTCATTTTTATTTTATTTTATTTTATTTTTTGAGACGGAGTCTCGCTCTGTTGCCCAGGCCGGAGTGCAGTGGTGCAATCTCGGCTCGCTGCAACCTCCGCCTCCCAGGCTCAAGCGATTCTCATGCCTCAGCCTTCCCAGGAGAGCTGGGAATACAGGCATGCGCCACTACGCCAGGTTAATTTTTGTATTTTTAGTAGAGACAGAGTTTCACCATGTTGGTCAGGCTGGTCTTGAACTCCTGGCCTCAAGTGATCCACCCACGTCGGCCTCCCAGAGTGCTGGGATTACAGGAGTGAGCCAGCGTGCCCGGCCGACTCCCTCGTTTTGTAAGTGTCTGAATGTGGTTCAGAGAGGTTCAGCAGCTTATTCAAGGCCCTTCTACTAATAATGCAGATTTGCATAGAAGGAAACTTTCCAGCTCACGTGATGCAGTCAAAGCCAGGCGCTCTGGGGCTGCCACCGATGGGGGAAACTGTCCCTGAAAGACCAGACCTCATGGTCTCCATTCCTGATGCCAGCATTTTCTCTTTCATGGGGGCCTCTCATCATTATCGCTTTGTCCACCAGGATGGTTTCCAGAGAGATGCCACCTCTTGGAAGAAAACTGTCACTTTCCTCTATAAAAATTCTCCAAAATAGGAAGAGGGTTATGCTGGTTGGGGGAGGTGGTGCAGGAAAGGGAAGAGAGTGGTTCTACCAGTTTGCTCAGAAGCACAAGGCTCCGCTACCCTCTATATGTGGTGGTTTTACCTCCATTTCTAACCAAAGTAATCAGTAGATTTCCTTCCACCTGAATGTTATCTCCAATCTGTCCCTTTCAACAGCCCCAGACCCTTCTATTACGCCTCGCTGAAGCGGAGTTTTGGGGCACTCCTCTGACTTGGCTGTTCAAGTATTTTGCTCGGAATATAATTGCAAGATTTAAAGGGGAGGCCAGCAGAGAATTATCAGTTTTTAAAGGTCATGCATATGGTTTTCAGTAGTTGATGCTTAGTAATTCTGTGTTCAATAAATAGTCAGTGCAGCTTGATTAAATCTTTTCCATCCCGATAGAAGGTGCATCTGGATCCCACTCTCCAGGCCTTGGAGCGGCACTCTATTAATTTGGAGGTTGTAATTTTCATTTTGACATTGGAGCAGCTACTCTTCAGAACTGAAACAGAAGAGAGAAAGAAGCTTGTGATTCTGAGTAGCACCTTCTTTCTGTCAAAGCTGGCTGTGGTCTTGCCTATCAGAACATAGTGTCCTATGTTTTGCAAGTCGTTAGTGGTAAGCGTTCTGTGTAAAGAAAGTAACATTCACCAAGGACGCCCAATTGCTGTGGATGTTTTCCTGTGGATATAGCTGCTGTGATACTTCGTCTTTTTGCTTTGGGTAGTGTGGAAGGTGATCTAGGTAATCACATGGGCCTTCTGTGCTGCAGAAGAAGATAAAGGAGGAAGGAAGGGAGGGGGAAAGTGGGGAGGAATGTATCTCTTCTATTTGAAAATTAATCTCAGTTTAAGATTTTTACAAATTGAGAAATCTATTTCTTTTCTTTCCAGGGACTTGGAGAACAAGGAACAAGTATAAAATATCCCTGTCTCACGACCCTGTCAAGTTCTCAGGGAGATGAACATATGAGAGATTGCGGGACATCCTTGCAAGAGGAGAAAGGCTCCTGACTCCTGAGGAGGACTCTGCTGCCCGCTGGCCCCGTTAGACGGACGGCTCCCCTGGCATCCTATTCTTGTTTGGACATTTTTAAAGACCACATATGGTCTCCAGGACTGGAGGAGTCTGAATCACAGTTCTTCCCAGGTAAGGGATATTTCTGCTTCGGGTTCTAAGAAATCTGAAGAAGAACAACAATAAAATAAATAACGCAATGTGGTTTGTCAAGGGACACCCAGCACCTGGATAGTAGTGCATGTGCCACAAATCGGTATAATGCTGGGAGCGCGTACCAACCCAGGTGAAAGGATTGCTCCAATTGGGCCCCCTCACTCCAACCAAAATCAGATTCCTTCTGTAGAAATAAATTGGTAACTGCTTCTTAACAAACAAAGCTTTGAAGTTAAAAAAAAAAAAAAGCAATATTTTAAAAAAAGGAAGAAAATTACAAGTGTATTTCTCCTGACACAGTTTTAAAAGCTGTTTGTAGCTGATTTACAATGCTCATAGTATTCAGCTTTTCATTTGAAATTCTAATAAGTCCTTTGAATGGGTTGGAGCTTGTTAGAAAGTAAAGGGAATGAAATGACTTCATTGAATTATGAGCTTTTGCTGGCTTCCACATACACATCCTGGGTCTCTCTTCAGCATCACCTTTCTTTTCATGGAATGTTCTTGAGTTGAGACAGGCAACAAAGGGACCTCTGGGGTGGGAAGAATGTAGAACCATCATGTATGTTCCATTTTGTTTAGCCCCCTGGGTCTTTATTTTCACTCTTTAGTTTGCATGTTCCTATGATGCACTAAGGAACTGGATGAATGATCTCTATTCTCGCAATCAATTTTCCACTTTTTCCAAACTCTGAGAATGCAAATGTAAAGTTCCTGGGAAGCATTTGGACCTCTCAGATAAGAGGTGCTATTTTTATGAACTAAATGCATTCACCTTTGTTCCAAAAGCAGGTGTGGCTGGTATGAAAACCAGGTCTGTGTAGGTCTTGTTTTCTATCAAGGGGTCATTCTAATTTTATGAGCTACTCCATCTGTGATGGACACCTGACAACGTCATGATGGTTCAAAAAAGAGTCACATCGGGATTTGTAATGACAAGCTTCCATTTGTAAATCGTGTGAAAAATAAGTAGCATGTTCTTGGCATAAAAGGTCTTCATTCTCATTTGGTCTGAACTTGGAGAAGATAAATCAAAGCCCAGGTTAGTTTTCTATTGTAGTTTTTTTTTTTTTTAACTGTCTTATACTTGAATATCCTAGCTTTCCCAACACTGTTATCATAAATGATGGAAAAGTCTTGAATATTTGCATAACATTATAGAAGATTTGTGATTGAAAGGACAGGATGTAACTTATGCAAAGCAGATATATCTTTGCTTTTGTGTTTGTAGTCTCGCTCCTCTCCCTGAGCCACACACACTCTTTATTGGGTGGGTGGGGGAGAGGGGGGTGATACCCTAACTGGGAAAAGGAAGCAGTAATTGTGAAGACTTAGAATGGACTGGGGAGTGAATAGAAAAATAAAGAAATTGAGATCTGTGTAAATGGCTTTTTTTTTTTTTTTGAGAAATTTGGCTGTGAGAGTGAGGAAACAGAGCCTCATTTTTGCTAACTAACCTAAGTCAAATTTCTGAGAAAATTGCTGAATTTGGTAGCTTGAATGGTCCCATTACTGTCTTAGGGAATTCAAAGAACACGAATGAACTCCTCTTGAGATATTTATTCCTTTGGGATCGGCATCAGGTTCAAAATTTCCACTAAGTCTGTCGAGTCTACTTCAAAGAACCTACCATCTTTGTATCATCTGTAAAAGAGATCCGGGTGGAACATGGTTCTGTCTGGATTTTCTCTCTAGAATAAAATGTCATGGGTACCCAAGATTGAGACAAAGACATGGTGCATACTGTAGACTCTTAGAATGTTTCTCTTATCTATTGTTGCCATGCACACCATCCCAAAACACAATGGTGTAAAACAGCTGTGATTTTATTATGCTCATGGATTCTGAGCATAATAAAGAATCAAGAATTTGGGTAGGATGCAGTGGGAATGCCCTACCTCGGCTCCCTGATGTCTAAGGCTGAGCTGGGATGCCTCAGGGTGACAATAAGATGGGCAACTCACTCCAGAGCCTCACTGATACGGTTTGGCTGTTTCACCACCCAAATCTCATCTTGAATTACAGCTCCCACAATTCCCACATGTTGTGGGAGGGACCTGGTGGGAGGTAATCGAATCATAAGGGTGGGTCTTTTCTGTGCTGTTCTGGTGATAGTGAATAAGTCTCACAAGACCTGATGGTTTTACAAAGACGTGTTTCCCTGCACAAATTCTCTTATCTGCCGCCATGTAAGACATGCTTTTCACCTTCCACCATGATTGTGAAGCCTCCCCAGCCATGTGGAACTGTGAGTCCATGAAACCTCTTTTTCTTTATAAATTGCACAGTCTCAGCTATGTCTTTATCAGCAGCATGAAAACAGACTAATACACTTGCTTTTCCATATGGAATCCACGGGGCTGGACTGTCTGAAATGTTTGAGACGGTTCCTTCATTTGCATGTCTGGCTCCTGGGCCAGGATGGTTAAAACAGCTGAAGGTGGCTAGTGTTACACTCTGTTTTCTGACACCGTCTCTTTAGGTGACCAGCTTGAGTGTCCTTCCGGCATGGAAGTCTCAGGGTAGTGAGACTTCTCACAAGGCAGTTAACATTCTCCAGAGCAAATGTTCCATGTTGAGGGAAGAGGAACCTGCTGGTCCTCTTAAAAGCAGGGCCCAAACTGGCACAGTCACCTCTTCCACATCCAATTACACAAAGCAGTCACAGGTCAGTTCAGATTCAGGGGGATGGAACAGTAGACTCTACCTCTCAATGGGGAATCAACTAGTTACAACTTTTTTGGAAACAACAAATCACACTGGATTTCATGCCCAGAGGGCCAACCGACAACCCAGTAATTCAATCAGTCAACACACATTTATTGTACCTATTACAAATGGCCAGTTACAGCGATAAGTAACTCAGATGTGGGACTGTCCTCTTAGAGTTTATAATTTAGCATGAAAGACACACATTAAGTGGATGGATGGGTGGGTGGGTGGGTTTGTAGGTAGGTAAGTAGACAGATATCTCATGGTCAGTCCAACCCAATGGAGAAGGACTGGATATGATTGATGCTTGCAGCAAAGTGGACCAAAGGTAACCTCTTTGAGAAAGAGAGATTTAGGTCAAGTCTTAAGGAGTAATAAGAGACTTAATGACTTAATGTCTGGTGCGTTAATAGAAATGGTAATCATTGGTTGGAAGGCAGCACTTTGTAATAACTTCAGTACCAAATGAAAATTTCTTGCTCCCAATTCCTCACTTCATTTGAAATCCTATTGTTCTACCTTGAAACTTTAGACAGGCACAAGCTTCTCCCTTAAGGTAAGTAAATCCAACAAATGGAAGGCCCACCCACATTTTGGTCTTCACAAATGTCTTAGTTTGGGAGTAGGAATGGTTTTCCTAGGGTCACCATTTGCAAGAAATTCTTACCTATCAAAATGCACTGATTAATTGAGAAGAGATTCTTGGCTGAGTTGAACTAAACCATTACCTCTTCACAAGACAATATTTTTGGCTCCTGAACAAGATGGAAAATGATTTAACTACCTAGGACTGCCTGCCTGCATCAGATTTTTTAGTGTCTTTCTGCCAGCTAGAAGAGTTCATTATATTTTTAATGTGATTAAAAAATTAAAATAAAAAGGTGATTTTTATATACAGACGTTGATGAAAGATGTGTTTTTAAAGCAGTAAATTAAAATCTCATTAATGTTTCAGTGAGAATATTTTGTGCTTATCTGTTTCATCTCTATTTTTGACCTATGGCTTAGAGTTCACAGCATGAAGGAGGTGGAGAAATCTGTTCACCATAAAATGTTAATTATAAGTAAATTACAGCACAAACGTTCAATCAGACACATTAATTCTACATAAAGTGAATTATTGTAGCAGAAAATTTTGAAATGTGACTGAATTTTGTAATCTTTAGTCTCCTTTTTCTGCCTCTCCCACTGATTCCCATGTGTTTATCCCAGAAACTCTCAGCTCTTTGTGTACTGCTGAGCTCAATCTACTTACTGTGTTTTGAAAGTTAAATACAGTATGTAGCCCTCATCTCTCCAAATGATTCTGAATTGTCTATAAGTCTGTTTGTCCATGGCAACTTAAGCAAAATCTTTGATATTTTTCAAGAAGAAAGTTGGGCTCAAAATGACGGTGTTGTGTTTATCACATGGAACAGTTCTCCCCTAAAATATGTTCAAAATATGCACACGTGTATGTTATTGTTATAGTCATTTTCTGCTGTATTTAGTTCCGTTTTTTAAAAAAATTCTTTTATGCCCAAAAACCTAAGGATCTCCCATCTGGGGTCATTTCCCAGTTAACAGAAATATTAAAAGAGGCAAAAATCTTACTCAGAGAGTAGTAATAACCAAAATAATAATTTAGAAAAATGCTTAAAACACCCAGAGTGCAGGTGGCTCACTCCATCAACTATGTTAATTGTTCAGTAGTAGCAAAAATACCGATGCTTTCTTGAACAAGAATGCCTTCATATATTCATCTGGTAATTAGAAATAAGGATGCTTATCAATGTTAACAGGATATTTAGTGCGTTGACTAGATGCCTTCAGATACTGGCTACAGGAGAAGCCACAGATTTTACAAAATATTAGGGAGAAAAAATTTTCATTGATTGGTGCCACTAATAGTCACCTCAATTCAAGTAACAAGTAGTCTAAAGGAATTGCATCGTAGGGGCTCTCGATTCTTAGTTGCCCTTCATTGTAAAGCATTTTTTGATGGATCTGGCCTGTGTCCTTCCACTTACCAAGTCTAGTATATCCCCTAGTGTAAGCTGAAAGCTTGGGTCACATTCTGGGAACACCCCAGTTCAGATCAGGTGCCTGTTGTTTTCAAATCAGAAGCTGCAGGCCCTTGACTGATCTCATCTCACCCACTGAGGCAGCATCATTGCTCCAAACATGTATCCTGTGGCCTCATGAGAGCCTTATGACTTAGTGGAACACAGAGCATGACCCATGTACTGTTTGCCTACCAGTGTCTTGCTTCTGTATTAAAGATCCGTCTTCCCATTAGTTGAAAGTAGAGTTTTTGCTTTGCTTTGTTCCCTCAGATAAGCCATTCCATTTAATACTCATGAAGCTCAACAGAAAGCTAAAGCAGCCAAGAAAAATAAAAATGCTCTATACACTACATTAATAAGAAAATGCAGAAATGGGAATCATAGTACTATTAGGAGAAAAAGACTCCCCCTGTAAGAAAGATGAGGGAAGGGATTTCCAATTTGCTAATGGCAGAAGCTGTTAATCTGCAAATGCATGCAGGCATTGGTGAGTTCTCCTTCGACATGTTCAGGAAACCTTGAGGATTAAAATATGAAAGATTCGGAGTTAGGGATCTGGCAGCATCAAGAGAAAAGAAGCATCAGTTTCCAAGAGGCTAGCTCTTCTAAAGAAAACAGCAGAGTTTTTAAAAATGTAGTAAAGTCAAGTGATTGCTACTTTCGTTTGATACCATAAGCAAAATTATGAAAAACACGAAGATGAAAACCACAAACACGTGTTAAAAGCCTATATTTTTTCTTTTATGGAATAATGACTTTTTTTTTATAAAAATGACACATGTCCGCTACATAAAATTAAAAGTGGTAGAATACAAAGAAAGCAAAATTTCATCAAAACTTCTACCACCTAAAAAAGTCTTTCAAATCTGTTGAATGTCTAAGCATTTGTTTACCATGAATACGTGAAAGAAAAGAGAACAGTGAGACAGATACAGAGAATAAAAGATTCAATGAGGTTAAGAAAAACAGATTTTTAAAAAGGGATTATGAAGACTGTAATGAAAAACACTGTGTTGTTTACCTGAAGTTTGATAGGAGTGGATTTAAGGTACCTTCACCCCCAGCAAACACACACAGTAATGGTAACTATAGGTGGTGATAGATATGTTAATTAATTTGGCTGTGGTAATCAGTACACAGTGTATATGTATATCAAATTATCACATTGTACACCTTGAATATGTACAATTTTTATTTAAATATTTTAAAATAGGGTTATGCATGACAAATATCAGAAGTATTGCATTTAATGGGTAGACATTGTTAGGTTAGAATTTAACAAAAAATATAGACTTGAAATTGAAGCATTTCTGATCCTCAGAAGAAAACATTTTTTTTTGCCAGAATATAGTTCTGAAACAATCTATGATTAAGAGAAAAAAAATGGAGAAAACCTTTTTCTAGATCGATTACTTTAACTTCATGCTTCAGTATTAGACAATATTGACTGACTCCTTGCTTAAAAGATGAGAAAATTAGCACACAGCTACTCAATTTCCTTCCCTTACCTCCTTTTACTAGTTATTGTTTTACTTCATCAAGGTTTGTAATATTTGTCATCTTGTTCTCAAGCCACATTCATTTTGTCATATTTTATACTTCTATATTAAATAATTAAGTGCTCAAGTTTTTTAGATTCATGTTCTTCATTGTTTTTTATTTACCTTTATTAGGCGAATTTTATTTTTAAGAAGAGTTTATATTATTGTTGTTGTTGTTATTTTTTGAGATGGGGTCTTGCTATGTTGCCCAGGCTGATCTCTAACTTCTGGCCTCAAGCAATCCTCCCGCCTCAGCCTTCTGAGTAGCTGGGACTCCAGCCACAAACCACTATGCCCAGCTTGTTTTTAAGAAGACTTTTAGAAGATCGTTAGATGCTCTATTCTAATTTCTTGCGCATGCCTAAGAATGTCTATTACCTTTATACTCAAGGTGCACTGTGAAGGCATAGAAAATAAAATAAAAATAAACACACAAGAATAAATGAATAAATGAAAGGACACATTAGCTGGGTATAAAATTTGAGGAATCACACTTTCTTTCCCTCAAAATGTGTTAGACCTTTGTCCATTGTCTCACAGTACTGGATACTGTCCTTTAACTGCACAGTTGTTATATTTTGTTTGATTAATACATGGACTCATAGGTGTCATACTCCGAGTTTGAGAATATTTCAGTGTTGCAATTATATTCAAACATGAACCTGACTAGACATTATATTCTATGAAACATACTTCCTTGTTCTTTAGAACCTTGTAAATATGGCTTTCTTGTCTTTTGGATGTTATGGAAAAGACTGTGGCTTATCTAAATTTCCTTTTATAGAGTACATGAGTTTTCTTTCTGAATAAATACAGAATTTTTTCTTTGTTCTTTAAGATATACTCAGGATCAAAAAATTCATATTAGTTTCTCATAGAATGTACTGTGAATAGAGAATGCAATAGACAGAAAAAATTCATATATAGGAAAAAATGAATGTGCCTTAAAAGAGGAAGATACACACACACACACACACACACACACACACACACACGTATATAAATATACACCTTCCCCTTTTAAGGCACATTCATGTTTCTCTTATATATGATTTTTTTCTGTCGCAGTCTCTACTCCAGGAACATCTATTATTTTCTTTTTCTATTACCTTCCTTATTTTTTATCTTTTCCTTTTCGTTCACTAAAGACTTTCTCAAGCCTTTGCCCTGTAGCAGTTTTTCTATTTTCAGTCTTGTCTACTTCATACTATCTGTGCTAATTTATTTATTAGTTCTATAATGACATTTTAGTCCGCAGTTTTTTCCCTAAGCTCCAAAGTCTTTTTAAAAATCATTATGTTACTTTAATAGCTTACCACTTAGTTTGTATTTTGGTAAATGTGTGCCATATTTAACTATTCTACGGCATAGTACTAAAAAAGATAGTTGTTTTCCCTTGGGTTGTATTTTCTCCCAGATGGGTGTTTCATCTCTTTTGTATACCTCATTCCCTTTTTAAAGTTATTATCCTCAACCTTAATGTATAATCTTTTGGCATCCTGGCTTAATGTGAAGAAGTTTCTTACTAGATTCGTTACCCTGGATGGGCTCTGAGCATTAATATCTGCCCCTGCCCCCTGCCCCCACAAACACACAGCAAGGCTGTCAAAACCAACATCCAAATGTGCTGATTTGGCAAATGTCCTTATTGGCGACTGCTTGTGGATAAAGAATGTTTCTCCTGTTCTTTTCTTTCAGGGTTCTAGCAGGCCCTTCAGTTTGACCAACTCCTTTACCTCACATCAACTCCTCAATGCTTTTAAGGTGTTTTTACTATTTTTTACAGCATGATGAAGTTGTTTTCAGCAAAGCTTTAGTCTGAGAGGACAAGTTTGCCATTATTAAAAATAGAGTTCCCTTCATGCTGTTATTTATTTTGTTCTTGCTTAATATGTAGAGCTCCGTGTAGACCTCTGTACTAACAGATATTAAATAAATTCTTCTTGACCAACTTCCTGCTTTACCTGAGACCCTTCTTTCCTCTTAGCAGCAGTTTAATGTGTTCTATCTGTTGTCTGTATTGGGTCTTTAGTGGGAAGAGTTGCTCTGATGGGCTGTGTCTCAGAACCAGGGACTCTGCTCCTTTTCATGAAATTCTGTTAAATGTCCTTATAGAGGCAATGTTCCTGCCTCTAGCAAGAGGTAGAGAGCTTCTAATCTTGAAATTATGTTCCTGACTCCACCCAAGATGCCTATACACCCCTTGGCTTGCTTTTCTCCGAACTGTGGGGTATTCAGGGAACATTCTAAGTATTTTCTTTACTTCTTTCTACTCATTCTGGGATTCAGGGTATGGTTAAAAGCAGCGTTGTGGTACACCAAAATCATTGTCCTACTCTTCCCAAGCTGACTTTTTTTGAAGATTATGGCTTGTAGTTCTACCATTTTCTTTGTTTGACTGTTGCTGGTGTTTTCCTGATTTTTTTCACTACTTCTTGTTCCTTTTATTAGATGTTGGAGCAGAGAGGTTTTTGTGTTTTACATTTTTTTTTTTTTTTTTGAGATGGAGTCTTGCTCTGTTGCCCAGGCTGGAGTGCAGTGGCGTGATCTCGGCTGACTGCAAGCTCCGCATCCCGGGTTCATGCCATTCTCCTGCCTCAGCCTCCCGAGTAGCTGGGACTACAGGTGCCCACCACCACGCCTGGCTCATTTTTTTGTATTTTTAGTAGAGATGGTGTTTCACTGTGTTAGCCAGGATGGTCTCGATCTCCTGACCTCATGATCCACCCACCTCGGCCTCCTAAAGTGCTGGGATTACAGGTGTGAGCCACCGTGCCCAGCCTTTTTTGTTTTACTTTTAAGTTCAGGGGTACATGTGCAGGTTTATTATATAGGTAAACTTGTGTCATGGGGGTTTGTTATACAGATTATTTCATCACCTGGGTATTAAGTCTAGTACCCATGGTTGATTTTTGCTGATTCTCTCCCTCCTTTCACCCACTACTCTCCGGTAGGCCCCAGTATATGTTGTTCCCCTCTATGTGTTTATGAGTTCTCATCATTTAGCTCCCACTTATAAGTGAGAACATGCAGCACTTGGTTTTCTATTCCTGTGTTAGTTTGCTAAGGATAATGGCTGATATGGTCTGGCTCTGTATTCCCACTCAAATCTCATTTTGAATTGTAATCCAAACTGTAATCCTCACGTGTTGGGGGAGGGACCTTGTGGGAGATGATTAGATCACTGGGGAGGTTTCCCCATGCTGTTCTCACCATAGTCAGTGGGTTCTTTTATGAGATCTGATGGTTTTATAAGGTTCTTTCCCCAGCTTCACTCTGCACTTCTCCCTCCTGCCACCATGTGAAGAAGGACGTTTCTTTCCCCTTCCACCATGATTGTAAGTTTCCTGAGGCCTCCCCAGCCCTGAGGAACTGTGAGTCAATTAAGCTTCTTTTCTTTATAGATTACCCAGTCTTGGGTATTTCTTCATAGCAGCATGAGAAAGGACTAATACAATGGCCTCCAGCTCCATCCATGTTCCAGAGCAGGAAGATTCTGTGATCCAAATGTACTCCACCATTTCCCCCTCAGACTTAAGATTCCACACCTTAATAGACCATAACTTTGTGTTACTGAGGCTATGCCAAATGAATGAGTGCATTGTCTTCATTTCAGAAACAGATCCTCAGGAAAGTATTCAAGTAAAATTCATTTATTTGTAAGGTGATCCCAGGAACTGAGAGAAGCATAAGAACAAACAAGAAAAGAGAAGGATGATCATAAAGAGAACATTATCCAGCAAGTTTCAACTGTGGGCAACAGGAACTTCATTTCAAGACAGAACTCATGGAAGAGTGTAGAACTCACACCTCACAGTTATTCCACCTCAGGGGAAAGGGAGCTGGTGTATTTTATTTACACACTAACCCTGCTGTGCATTTGGACACCTGCTCCCAGGTGTTAATTCCCTCTTACTTCCTGCCTACCGCAGGCACAGGCAGTGCAGCAGCCTCAGAAGGTCAAAGCTCTCAATGAATGAGACTCCAGAAGTTGGAAGTTGGGTTTCTGTGACCTGAAGTGATCAAATCCAGAGGAACATTTTACCATTTTTTCCCCTATGCTGGGGCACACTATGTGATTGTGAATTTCAGGCATCTTGCGTCTGGGTAGAGCAGGCCTGGGAGGCAGGAAGATCTTCTCAGGGCTGCTCAGATAGTTCCATTTGGAACTATCCTGCTTGATAACAAGTAGAGACCTTGACCATTGATCCCTTCTAATTGATATGGTTATAAAATCCCTTTAAATCCAATGAAAAAGTCAGGGGAAATATCTTGGGAGGCCTGAAAAATGGTGAAGGGGTGCTATTTTGGTCAATAAAACTGGGAAAACCATGGATGCTCTCTCTCTCTCCCCCCCATACATATACACACACACACATACATATACATATATATATACACACATATATACATACATATACACACATATACACATATGTATACATACATACACATGAATTATATATTCGAATTATGTATATACATATACAGAACTACATATATACATCTATATTCATTGTATATGAAAAGATTTTTTTTAAAATTTTTCAGACAGTCTCGTTCTGTCACCCAGGCTGAAGTGCAATGGCGCAATCTCCGCTCACTGTAACCTCCGCCTCCCGGGTTCAAGCAATTCTCCTGCCTCAGCCTCCTGAGTAGCTGGGACTATAGGCCCCTGTCACCACACCTGGCTAATTTGTTTTTTTTTTTTTTTTTTTTTTTTTTAGTATAGATGGAGTTTCACCATGTTAGCCAGGATGGTCTCAATCTCCTGCCCTCATGATCCACCTGCCTCAGCCTCCCAAAGCGTTGGGATTACAGGCGTGAGCCACCGCACCCGGCCATGAATAGATTTTTCTAAGAGGTGAGCACAGGTCAGGTGGCACATACAGAATAAACATGCATGGTGTTGCATGCTGCACAGGTGCTGCACTTCACTTGAGAGCTTTGAGTGTTGCTCAGTTGCATCCCCATCAGTTGCTATCTGACATGCACCAAAGAGAGAACATGTTTTCTGGAGGCCACTCACATAAATGTGCTCACCTGGAATTCAACTTTCAAGTAATGTCCTTTTATAAAGATATTCTACTGATTTTAACATTAGAAGGAGCATAACTTTTGGCTGCTGTATATGTCATATATCTGAATGGAGACTTACAAATGCATCCCATTTATGCTGTGTGAACTATCTGACCTTGTGGTTAAAAAGTGGCAAATTACATTAAATCTAAGGGAAAAAAACTTAAAAGATTTCCAGACTCATTGAATAAGGTAGAGAGAAATGGTAGAGAAAAATGGTCATTTTAGATACAATACAGGCCAGGGATTCTGATCAGCTGTTTTGCACAGTAAAGTGTTTATACGGAATATTCTATTTTAAAAGGCAAGTGTACCTCAGAAGTCCCACCCAAGGGATCAGAGCTCTGTGTATATTCATGGCAGAGGGAACAGCAGCTTGTTCACTTCATGGGACTTGAAAAAATTATCCATACTAGAAATCATTATTTTAAAATGTAGGAGTATTTTGTCTAATATTTTATTGAGGAAAAGCTAAATCTAGGATATCAGGTGGCAGTGGTGGGAGAATGTGTAATATTTATTTGACCAAGAGAAAGCGAAGGACTTGGCGTGGTGGCTCACGCCTGTAATCCCAGCACTTTGGGAGGCCAAGGTGGGATGGTTCCTTGGGCCCAGTAATTCAAGACCAGCCTGGGCATCATAAATAATACAAATATTTTATTATAAAGAAAATAAAAAAATTAGCTGGGCATGGTGGCACACACCTGTAGTCCCAGCTACTTGTGAGGCTCAGGTGGGAGGATCACCTGAGCCCAGGAGGTAGAGGCTGCAGTGAGTTGTGATCACGCCACTGCACTCCAGCCTGGGCAACAGAGCTAGACTGTCTCCAAAAAAAGAAAAAAAGCCAAGGAGTAACTTAACTGGCTAAATATATGGTGGAATTTTATGTGGATATTTTTGAATCATTATTCTCCATATCCATAGAGAGAGAAAGGGAGAGAAGGAGGGAAGGAGGAAAATAGATTTGCAGGGAATGGGAAAGAGAAGGAATGCACCAAAGTCATAAGGCTGAAAATGCTGACCTTTGGCTTCCATTAGCAAGAGATTTGGGTAAGACATAAGGAATAACTTTTTGTCAGGCAAAGTGATAAATGATCACCGTGGATCTCCAAGGGATCTTGTGGTGTGTCCATTGGAGGAGACTTTCAGAGAAGAAACTATCATCTTTTGCAAAAACTTTGCATGAAAGATCTAGGCAATAAGTTGTACATCGTTATCATGTCCGGGAACTCTGATTATTCTCTGAGTGGGAATTGTCTATTTTTTAAGAAAAATGTACACACAGACACACATCTCCGTAACTTCCATCCACAAAGCTGTTTTCTTGCTCTTCAAATCTTTACAAGTATGTCATAAACATTTGGGCTGCTCCCCATGCTTGCAAATTTATTTCTTTCCCTTCTTTCTGTTATTGTCATATAAAGAAAGCTTCAGATCCAGCCATGAATTTACATGTTGTTCTGGGCTGAATTCTGCCCTCTGAAAAGTCATGTGTTGAAATTCTAATCCCCATACCTCAGAACATGACTGGATTCAGAGATAGGATCTTTAAATGGGTAATAAAGTTAAAATGAAGTTGTTAGGGTGGGCCCTAATCCAATATCACTGGTGTCCTTAGAAGAAGAGGAAATTGGACAGCTTGGGCAACATGGTGAGACCCCGTCTCTACAAAATAAATAAAATAAAAAATTAGCCGGGTTAGGTGGCACATGTCTGTAGCTGCTCGGGAGGCTGAGGTGGAACTCACTGCAGCCTCAAATTCTTTGAGCCCAAGAATTTCCCAAACACCCATTGCCAAAGCCCAACAGACAGCAGCCCTTATGCCTGGATCCTGCGCTCATGGTGCTCCCCTTTATTCAAATCTGGCCCTTTTGGCAAAAAATTAAGGCTGTGAGGAAAGAGAAGAGGGGCATGGCCCTGAGGTGGGTCAGCTACTCACCTGAAGAAACAGGTCTCTTTTAAGATTACCATATACTGGGAATTCTATTCGGAATTCAATACTGAGACACTAGTTGTTTTTCCACTTTTCTATTATAATCACCTATGTCATCTCATGGGGTTTTTTCACTTACATGGTTAACTACGCACACAAAAGATACTAAAGATATTGTTCACATTTTTTTTTAATTTAAAAAAGATTCCTTGAGCCTAGGAATTTAAGGCTGCAGTGAGCTATGATCGTGCTACAGCACTCCAGCCTGGGCAGTAGAGCAAGACCCTGTCTCAGAAAAAAAAAAAAAGAGGAAATGGGATACTGATGTGGACAAAGGAAAGACAGTACAAAGATGCAAGGAGAAAAGGTTCATCTATATAAGAAGGAGAGAGGCCTCAGAAGAGACCAACCCTGCCAACACCTTGATCTCGGACTTCTAGCCTCCACCTGCAAACTAACATGAATGTCCTTTCCCTTCCAGGCTCCTCCTTCCCTTTGCCTTCTCTTGGGAGAGACTTGTCTCAGCTCCCTAACATTTCTTTCATTCTGGTCATCTGTAAACACACCCACCCTCCCTTCTTCAGGTCTTGGTACTGAGAGCCATCATTGCCTGCCTGCCTGACCCAGGTCTCTCTGGAGAAGGGGAGAGACCTGGAGTCCTGTTAAGAGTGAATCCCAAGACACTAACTGTTGAGAAAATTCTCATCCGCACACGATGTCGCATTCCACCATTTTCATTTTTCTCAAAACGGTACACGTTTCAGGGAGGCTTTTTGTATTTGTGCTTCTGTAGCACATTTCAGTTTACAAAGTAGTTTTGCAGATTTGACTTTGCTGAATCTTCCCCACATTTCAAGTCAATGGTTTTCCAAGACACTGAGACTCAGAGAGGGTAAGTAACTTGATGAAAATTACTCATCTAGGAAATGGCAGAGCTGGAATTTGAACCAAGGAGAAGATACATGTTGTCACTGACTCCCAGCTCAGGGTGGTTGGCGATGGCTGCTTTATAGGGTGGCTGATTTCTCTCTCCTCTGAGCTGGACTTGCGTGAACTTCCTATTGGTATGCGTCGTTACCCCTGGCTTGGAGTTTGCTTGTGAATCATTATTACCCCAACTAAATTGGAAGCTCTTGGGAGGCAGGTTTTGGGCTGTGCTTGCTGTTTGGTTACAGTGTTTAGGGAACATCTGTTGATTGATTGGTTGGCTGGATGGGCTCTTTTACCAAAGGATACAGCACATCTCTTGGCATCTGGTTTTTCAAAGACACATGCAAAAATGACAGGGAGTTCAGGATGTTGATCTGGTCTTTTAGACAAAGGTTAGGAGGGGGAATGTATAAAAATAACACCATGGATTGACATTATATTACAATAATTGTAATTATTATACCCTTTATTTTTACAGCATCTCTCTCTCCCTCTCTCTAAGGGGCTCATAGTCCATTTGTAAGCAGTGGGCCTTATCCTGCTGCTAAATAGAAAATAAATTGCTTATCTCTTGGAAAAGAATTAACTCTTTCAGGGCACTGGGGTACCATTTAGTAAATTAGTAATCCTCTAAATGGCACTCTAGATATGTAACAACCCCTATATAAACCTGGAAAATGAACGTGTTCCCAGTGCTTAAAAGAAATCAGGGCATGCCAAACAGAAATCAGACAGCAAGCTTAAAATACAAATAATGTGCTTATCTCTCTTCCCTAATAACTTAGTGTTCATTCTCATGGAAATCTGTTTGTGACTAAAGATGAATCTATTTGCTAAAAGCTGGCACTTCTGATCTTTTAATCTACTAATATGAGAGCAATAAAGAGGAAGGGGCAGATGATAGGAAAACAGAGTGGTGGTGTTTATACACATGGGAGCTGGGGGAATTTGTTCAGCTAAACAGATTTTGAGAGACTGATGGATTTTTTCAAAGCCATTTGAAAGGCTGGCCATGATGGTTCCCTTAGGTCCTGAAAATGTTCATCTTCTTCCAAAATAGTGGCTGGTGAATTGGAATTAGCTGCATAGATCTCGTTGGAACCATTACTAAGGTAGGTAGAGGCAGGCACCACTGTGAATCAATAGTAGCTATTTCCAACTTACAAATCCAACTCTCAATCTGTCAGAAATGAAGCTGATGAAATTAACACAAAGTCGGAGCTTCTGGAGACTTTCCGTGGCAGGCACGGAGAAATGGGAATGGTTAATTGGTGCCAAATGGGTCTATTTTTCAAAAAAGCAGATTGACTACAGTTTTTCTGTCTTGTGTTCGTTTTCTGTCTCCCAAATTGGTGGTCTGATCACCTCATCCCATGTAAAATTTCTGGAGTTCACCCATGGACTCAAATGCCTCTTGGACACACTCGTTTGTCTGGATGTTGCTCCACTGAATTCTGATTGTAATTCAGTAACACGGTATTGATTGTTGAGACTTTCAGTTTATGTGCAATGAGATAGAATTTGGAAACTGGAGGTGTCTTATTGACTTTCTGATTTGCACTTCTGGGAAAGTCATTGGATGGTCAGATGGGGTGCTGCCAGGCAGTTTGGCAGTTCAGTAAATACTCTGTGGTTATTCCTCCAAATTGTGTACTGTTTCCATCAATGAACCCTCACTTAGTTCCCATGTACTGTGAACAACGCACTTGACTGCTAACAGCCATGCGTGTTCCTCCATCTCAACCCCGTGCCTACACCGTAACCTCTTTTGAAGCCTTGGCCCTTCTCCTTGTTTTTTTTTTTGTGTTTTTTTTTTTTTTTTTTTTTTTGTCCCTCTCCCCTTCCTGCCCCACTGACAGTCAGCTGCCAGGGGCCTCTTTATACAAGCCTCAGCCTTTCAAGGCAAATATGCCACATGTGTCCAATTTCAGCAATCCACACACCTCTGAGCCCCTCAAACTCCAAGGAGCACCCGTAAAGAGAAGAATCAGCAGGCTGCTAAAAAGAAATCAAAGCAGATCAGCAAAACATCTTGAAAGGGGGGAAGGAGGGATGACCACGTGGACTAACAGCCTCCATTTTCCAGGAGGCAATCTGACTGGCAACAAAAATAAACACTAATGGGAAAAATGTATATTCAGTCTAATTATATAATTGCAGTCTGCTTTTCATACATCACACAGGGAGTGAAAGAGTGTAGCATCGGTAAGCAGCTCAGTGATTTCCCTCATGCATAGTATGCATTTTGCATTTAGTTGTTCTTTGGCACAAGCAGAGGTCCAAATACACTGGGCTGGAGGATTCCATGTCCGTGATTCCTAAACGCGCACTTCATCTCAAGATGAAGGTCAGTTGCAATAGCACGCTGAGCTCAAAGGTAGCAAAATCAGATGAACAAAGCTGGCATGAAAAAACAGAGCCACTAATCCATCTCCCAGGTGGCTCTTTTAATATTCCAAACTGTGTTTCATCATTCAACAGTCTGTTCAACTAAGAAGCCCGGTCAGCATCACCCTTCTGCCGGCTGACTCTTCTAACTTTCTAGCAAGTAACACAGCTGATGGATTTCTCACCCCGCCTCTATTGCTGACACTAGACCCTCAGAGAGTTTTCCAGGAAAGAGAAAGCTAGGTTCTATTAATTTGCTTTGGTTTAGGGAGGAAGGCAAAAACCCCCCAGGTTGTATCCTGTGATGGTCTGAGACAGATGTGCTGCTCTTGTCCAAATCTCCATCCTTTCCTTTTTGGCATTCTATCACTCACAGGTTTGCACTCTCAGTGCAATGGGAACTGCTGGCTTCACTGCTTTGGGCCTCTGTCACCTTTGTCTCTGGTCCTGGCTGTCGCTTCTCTTGCTATTTTGTGAGTCTGATTTTCTCTCCATTGGAAAACACTGTCACTCTCTAGGTAGGTAGGAAGTTTCCAAAAAGAAAATTGTTGGGGCAATTACCACACATTTTATTCTCAAATTTTCAAGAGGATGCTGAAAATAAGGAAAGAGTTTGGAGGTTCTGAAATTCTAATTTAACACAAATTTAGTAATAATAATTAAGGGTTATCATTAATGTGATTATTCCTCTACTTTATCACTATATCAAGAATTTTGCTTCTTTCTTGAACTTTGTACAATCCAGAGGCAATGCATAGATGCGTAATATAACTTGCATTTGATGTTTATTGTTTTTCCCTGTCAACATGGAAAAGTATTAATGCGTTACAGTTCAAAATACATTTGGATGATTATTTCTTTTATCTAGTTATGTGTGTTTTGTAACTTGCTTCACATGCTCTCTCTTTCTGATTTTTGTTGCTTTGGTTCAAATGCCCAAGATTGCATTTGGGCCATTATGAGTTCATAGTGATTGAAGGACTTATCCCAGTGACTGCATTATCAGCATCCACCCTTCTGCAGAGAAACATCTCTACCAGGGAAGAGCCCATTTTTGTTTTCCTCCATTTGCTGTTAATCTGACTTTGTGATAATGTCATCAAGCCTTATTCTGTACTTTTTCTTGATGAGCTGAAATTCTCTGGAGCTACGAGTTGCAGGCAGGGGAGAGAGCGATAAACTGGAACCAGAGAGTTAGGCAAATACACTTTTGACATTCCTCTGCCTTGGACATAAAATTGATGGACCCACATTTGCCATTTTTTTTTTTAGGTTTAGAGCGATCCCAGAACCACTTGACTTTCAAATCAAACTCTATTAGAACACCCAACTCAAGAAAAAGATGCCAAGTAAAAAGTTGAACACTGATGTTGAAAGAGAATATCATCCTTATTACAGCTGGTGTCCAATGGCTTCAGAAAGTAGCATGATGATAAGAAAGACTACAGAAGAGTTTGCAAGGACCATTTTGGTTTGCAAATATTTTGAAAACTTAAAACGCATTCATGCATAATGGGGAAACTTTGCAAACAGGGCAGACCTGGAAAATAGCGAGATTTGACTTTCTTTTGATTAATATTTCCCACTTGGAAACAGTTTTAGCCTCCACATACTAGTAAACATAGACTTGTTGGTGAAAATACCAATAATAATAATTATGTCATTTATGTAGAAATTATATATAGTAATTTTGACTATTTGGAATGAAATGTAAATGTCAAAAGTAATGGGGGGAAATGTCTTCTATAGGAAGAAAAGGATGTAACACAAAATGCACACACTAATACTGATGAGGTAAAAATCTTTGGGGGAGTCTCATTTAATGTGTCTTAGGAATATTTCATTGAAAATATTTAAAATAAAAATAATGCTTTGAGGCATGAAGGGATACGCTTCAATTTCCCACCACAATAACATATGAAAACCCCCTATTCCAATGTCAGATAAAAAGGCATGTTATACAAAATCCCTTTCCTAAAATTAGTTAATTGGTATAATACTTTTTGTAGTTTGCTAGTTAAATATAGACACCAAAAAGGGAACTGAGCATTTTGTCCTTGCCTTTGTTACTAGTTAATTGTGTGACCTTGAACCAGTCATTTAATCTCTCTGGCCCTAAGTTTTTTCATCTGCAAAATACGGTATTAGGTTGGTGCAAAAGCAATTGCGGTTTTTGCCTTTGAAAATAATGGCAAAACCCTCAATTACTTTTGCACCATCCTAATATTACTCCAAAATTAAGTTTCTACTATTTGTAAGAAGTCGTGTGCTTCCTACACATCAGAGCTTCCAGATTGCGGTGTCAGGCAGACTGCTGAGCTCCAGGCCTCCCCAGAGCCTGTCTAGCCAAACAACTGAAGAAGCTTCAATCTAAGAGAAGCAAGACCAGCTTGAATCAAGTTCAAGGCATCTGTGGAGGGAAGAAAGGTGTGATTTAGAACTCAGGGGAGTCTGTGTCACTGGAGGGTCTTGGGAAGCTCTATGCCTCATCCAGGGAGAAGACGGGATCACTTTGGTGTCCATCTACCAGAGCATAGAGACAAACAAACAGGAAGGAAGCCATTCCCCACCCCACCCTCCCCTGACTTCAGCCAGGATGTCACCTGGCTTCCTTGCATCAAAGTCACAAAGAACAGCACAGCCAAAGCAAGGGGAGGTCCTGGTGAGTTGATGGTAGCAGAATTCATGGCTTCTTGATAACCCTGGTAGCAGTGGCAGTGGGTGGGTAGCTGATACGGTTTGGCTGTGTCTGCACCTAAATCTTGAATTGTGCTCCCATAATTCCCACGTGTTGTGGAAGGGACCTGGTGGGAGATAACTGAATCGTGGGGGTGGTTTCTCCCATACTGTTCTCCTGGTAATGAATATGTCTCACGACATCTGATGGTTTTATAAGGGGAAACCCCTTTCACTTGGTTCTCATTCTCTCTTGTCTGCTGCCATGTAAGACGTGACTTTTACCTTCCACCATGATTGTGAGGCCTCCCCAGCCACATGGAACTCTGAGTCCCTTAAACCTCTTTTTTGTTGAGACGGAGTTTCACTCTTGTTGCCCAGGCTGGAGTGCAATGGTGTGATCTTGGCTTACCACAACCTCCACCTCCCAGGCTCAAGCGATTCTCCTGCCTCAGCCT
Organism: Homo sapiens; assembly: GCF_000001405.40. Lineage (NCBI taxonomy): Eukaryota > Metazoa > Chordata > Mammalia > Primates > Hominidae > Homo > Homo sapiens. Next base: position 73,436,216 of record NC_000016.10, on the reverse strand, counting down.
CCCAAGCAGCTGGGATTACAGGCATGTGCCACCATGGCCAGCTATTTTTTGTAGAGACAGGGTTTCTCCGTGTTGGTCAGGCTGGCCTCAAACTCCCAACCTCAGGTGATTTGCCCACCTCGGCCTCCCAAAGTGTTGAGATTACAGGCGTGAGCCACCGCGCCGGGCTACCTCTTTTTCTTTATAAATTACCCAGTCTCAGGTGTGTCTTTATCAGCAGTGAGAAAACGGACTAAAACAGCAGCCATCCCTAGTGCACTGGGCCGTGGGAGAACTCACCACCCATTCAGTGAGCCTCAGCAGGTAACAGGGCTCTGGTGCAGACACCAGGCAGGATGCCCTTGAGGTCTGCAGAGGCCGCCCAGGCTTCAGCAGCAGATACCCCTGACCCCAAATAGCAGATTCCTAAGGTCCTGAGGGTGACTCATTGGTGAGTACCTGTGAGCCCCAACTCAGAACAGGGGAGAACTTGAGTGGAGGCCTTGGTTCTAGGATAGCAGGTGAGACACGAAATGGGAACTGTGACTCCTGACCATGGCTTTATCCCAGAGCTGCTCATCCCGGGCAGTTTTGCCCTTCAGGGAACATTTGACAATGCCTGGGAGGTAATTTTGGTTGTCACAAATGAGGGGAGAGAAGTGCTAATGGCATCTAAGGACACAAGTTGCTACGGAGTACAGAACAGCCCCACCACAAAGAATGAATTGGGCCAGGCGCTGTGGCTCACACCTGTAATCCCAGCACTTTGGGAGGCCGAGGCAGGCAGATCACCTGAGGTCAGGAGTTCGAGACCAGCCTGCCCAACATGGCAAAATCCCATCTTTACTAAAAATACCAAAAATTAGCTGGGCCTGGTAGTGGGCGCATGTAGTCCCAGCTACTTAGGAGGCTGAGGCAGGAGAATCACTTGAACCCGGGAGGTGGAGGTTGCAGTGAGCCGAGATCGCATCACTGCACTCCAGCTTAGGTGACAAGAGCGAAACTCTGTCTCAAAAAAGAATGAATTGGTTCAAAATATCAAGAGTCCCAAGCCTGAGAAACCTACTTTACCTCCTTTGTGCCAATCCATCATGCAGGTGTGACCTGGGAAATCTCTGCCTAGGTGCACCTGAAAGCTGAACACAATGCCAGCCAGCCAGCCAGCCAGCCAGTTCAAACAATAATGAGGATGATTCCACAATCCTAATAACATCATAATATCACTGATAACATGTATTGAGTCCTATTTACTTCCTGCCAGGCACTATTGATGCATTGCAGAGGTATTCATTCATTTAATCCACCCCACGACTCTAGTAGGCAGGTGTGACTCTTACTTGCAATGCCCCGTGTAAATAGCCATGCCGGCCACTGACTGGACGGCGTCAGCCAAGCTGCTTGTTTTCCCAGTTTGAGTGGGTACCTCAGTCAGACCCACTTAGAGGACTGTTGAAGTCACTGACCTTCCTCACCTCCACCATTGTCCCAGCAACTGGAGAACAGAAGGCCAGCCCAGCACTCCCAGCCCACTGTTCCACATCTTGAGATCAACCTCAATGATGTTATCTGATCACCTCCAAAAACACATTGTTGTTTTCTGCAGGAAAAAGCAACAACAAAAAAAAAACACCATCCATAGATGAGTCAACACAGCACAAAGTCAAGTGGAAAGGGGTAGGGAGAGAAGCCAGGAACTTGAAATTTCTATTAAAATACATCATTAAAGCCTCCAAAGTCTGTTTTTGCCTCAGTTATTCAAGCAGATGCAGATTGTTTTTAAATGAAGCAGATAACTGGGGCAGGGTAGCCCTAGCCTGTTTCCATAGGACCTTAGTAGATAAACTTAATGAGATGGACTAATTAGTCCTCAGTCCCTGCTTCAGGGGCTTTGGTTTCCTTAGAGGAACACCACAGACCTCCCGTTCACCTTTCATCTCAATCAATCCTCTTGTATTTACTAAGGGCCCCAGGAGTGGGGCACGAGAAGTGTAGATCATTCAATGTGTCGCAGCACATATTTTCAATATTATGATAAGAAGACAAGGGACCCTGCATTTTGTCAACTTTCGAGTCCAAGATCGATCAGCAAATAGATGGGCCTCCCCGTATTCTGAATTACAGTGTGTGTTTGGGCGGTTTATTGACAGTTGATAACTACTGACCACTAGTCCTGATAGAGTTACAAAGGTCAGGTCAAGGGAGGTCAGAGCCACAAAGGACGCCTCCTCTTCCAGCTCGCCCCCCTCCCAGAAGGGACACGCAAGTCAATAACTAAGCCACCTGTGGGGTCTGAAGGCTTTTCCAGTCTTTCTCCCTCTGGCTGTGCCATGACATAACCCCAGTGCAGCCTCGTCCTCTCTGGCTTTTACTCTGGCCACTGCCCTGGGAGTCACCCAGGCGGCCGGGAAGCCACGGCTCACCCAGTAGGCACCGTGCAGCCGCAGAGTGGGCTCAGCTCTGTCTGCCGCTGCAGGCTCACTCCCCAGGCCCTTCCAGAAGCATCATTGCCAGTACAGGCTGGGCGTCTGCCTCGTAACCCCAGAGAGTTAAGGACACACAGAGGCAAAGAAAGTGGCAGGCTTTATGGCTCCCCTAGGAGCATGGTCCCCCTGTGTGTATGCAAACTGCTCTTGGCAAGCAAAAGTTTAATTAAAAGCCTCTCAGAATGCCTCTCCAGCTGGGGTGGGCGTCGGTTGCCAGGAGGGGCCTTATCAAGTGGATTTGAAAACTTATAAACGATAGTCCTTGTTCCCAGGAAATGTCATCTGGTCTGCCTCATTGGGCGCCTTGCTGAGGAGGGGGTGCTGTGCATGTTTTTGATGCGGTATCTATTGTCTACCTGCAAGATGCAAATGATATTCAAATTTGGTTCCAGTGTACAGGCTGCGTGCATATACCCCACAGCAGCCCTCAAGCAAGTGACTAATGGGAACATGTGTTCTTCCTATTTTTATAAGTCTGGGAGAACAAGGGGGTGGAGGGCTGAGCTTGTGGGGTTTCAAATCTCTCTTGCAGGGGACATGCCGCTGTCTGGAGTGATAGTAATACTCAGTGGCAGCTCCATGGCAGCAGGCCCCGACCTGCCTAGATGCTCTACTCCACGGAGGACCTTGAGCTGAATAAATAGTCCTGCCTGTCCCTTCCATCCCCCCAGCCAGGAGAGAAAGCCAGGGACACAGCAGGGCTCTTAGGACAGTGGCGAGGCCCCAGCCTCTCCCTCCTGTGGCTTGGCCAGGAGTTATTCTCAGCAGGACCTCGTTGGGAGCTAGTAGAGTGATTATCTCAATATGATCTAGTTGGTACTGCAATGATCAGTGTTTTTAATTAGATGATTCTTAACTGTCTCTGTCAGGTCAGCTGTGGGGAGGCAGGGGAGCTTGAAATGACTTCAATAAAACCCATCTATCCGGAGCCTTGTGTAGCCTCTTGCAGCCCAAGGTAGAAAAAAAAGAAGAAGAAAAACACACAGAGCGATTCTAAGATGCTCTTAGGATCACAGACGGTTTCTGCTGCTCAGTCCCTGATGCTGACATTGCTGTGGGTGCAGCAGTGGGTCTTTCTGTATCTTAATGGCTTCTACTTATACCTTGATCCAGTGAACAGGAATTACATGGCAAAGAGGCATGAGGTGACAAACAACAGCTCTTGCATATGGGAAACATTCTCTTCATATGTGAATAACAGAATGCATGAATCTTGAAGTGCTGGGATTTGGAGGGATAAGAACAGATCAACTAGATCAGTGGATCACATAGGATTCCCAAGAGTCTTTTCAGAGGGGAAGGAAGTGGGTTGGGCTCTGGACTCCTCACCCCTTTGTCAAAGAGTCTCACTCCAATTGATCTGCTTTATATTGTCTGTTTCAATATCCAGTCTATCAAATGGAGTTATATGCTAACTCCAGCCACCTAATAGGGGCTGCCTAGATTGCTGTGTGGAAGACCCCAAGGCCAAGTCTTGGATGTATGAGAGAGAGAGCACTGTAATCAGTAGGTACAGGATGAGAGAATAATGGCCTAGAAACCATGCATTTGCTATCCCTAGTATCAAATTTCTTTTGAAAACAAGGCTCTGAGACTGTAAAAAGTTTGAAGACCACGAGACTCTATTTCTTGTGCTTAGACAGAAATCTTCATCCATACCTAGGCGGAGACGGATTTTTATTTTAAAGATGAAAATTTCCCCTGTGCTCAGGGTGACCTCGGAACTCAGAACTCAGCAGTTCTGAAGAACCTCTTGGTATAAGAGAGCAACACGCTGCCTTCATAAACTCAAACCCAAACATTCCCCTTGTCAAATGGAGGAGAATCTCGGGGATGAAACTAGAGTCCCAAGGTCTAGTTGCTTCTCCAGACACAGAGACTCACCTCCAATGACACTACTGGGAGACCCCAGCTTGTCCCGTGAAGGCCATCGCCTGCCTCCTTACACTTGGTTTGAGGATTCTTGGGGGCCATGTACTTAATACATTTCCAGTATTGTAATCAAAGTACATCCCTTTGACCAAATTGCTGGGATTTTCTCTCCCAAGGAAATAAATCATGGAATTGTATATAAAAGATATTCATTACATCATTATTCTAAATAATAAAAACTGGGATTAACTGCATGTCTAACAATCAGTAATTAAATTTATAAATAATGGAACATTTATGGAATATATATGTACTTTTATAATCAGAAGACTGTTTTTTCTTGAGACAGCGTCTCCCTCTGTCACCCAGGCTGGAATGCAGTGGTGTGATCTTGGCGCACTGCAACGTACACCTCCTGGGTTCAAGTGATTCTGCCGCCTCAGCCTACTGAGTAGCTGAGATCACAGGTGCATGCCACCATAGCCCGGCTAATTTTTGTATTTTTAGTAGAGATGGGGTTTTACCATATTGATCGTGCTGGTCTTGAACTCCCAACCTCAGGTGATCCGCCCGCCTCAGCCTCCCAAAATGCTGGGATTACAGGCGTGAGCCACCGTGCCTGGCTGACATAAAAAAAAAAAATACAAAAAAACAGATTCCCATAAAAATTAGAGTGCTTTATTTTTAAGAGTATCCCTAGAAACAGACTACCTTAGCATGTATAAAGGAAAAGCAAGGTGAATTTTCTGTCAATGCCGTTTAGGGTTAATAGACAAATTGCATAATTCAGGCTAAAAAGAAATCCACTCTTTCTCTGTAATTAGATGTTTGTCCTTCTTTATCACAAAACTTGCTTCAAATTTCCATTTCTCTTTACTTCTATGGAGACAGTGAACATCCACACCTTATGTTCTAGAGCAGGCACAATTGTGACCCACTAGCTGACCCATTTTGTCCCCAGTATGTCCCAACAATGTGCTGGGCACTGGAAACACAAAGGTAATTAGCGCAACATCCCTTCCTTTGAGGGACTTTTTGGGCTAAGTGGGTCACAGAAATGGAAACGATTAAGAAATAGTGCCATGTGTCACCTGGTTCAATGCACTGGCCACTTACTTCATGCCAGACATTGTCCTAAGTGTGTATGTGTCACCTCCCCTGTTCATGACCTGCAGCAAAGGCACTGTTGCCCCATTTCAGTGATGGGGACATTAATACCCCCACAGGCTCAGCAGCACAAATGACAGGCAGAAGAGCCAGGGCTCCAACCCAATGCTTCTTGTTCCTACTCCTGTTATAACTCTTGAGCCAAAATGATGTTGGAATAGAAGAGGAAACCCTCTCTTCTGCCCGCAGAAGCGCCATGTGCAAAGGGATTTTCTTTTGATCTGTTTTGTTTCCTGCTGTGTCCTCAGCACCTAGAACAGTGCCCAGAAAGAATGTAAGGTGGGTGTGGTGTAGCTGAGGTAGCTTTGCCAGGTTTAGTGGAGGAAATAAAGGACACCCATATACATTTAAATTTTAGATATTGCATCATTTTTAGTTTAAGTATGTCTGATGCAATATTTAGGGCATTCTTTAATTAAATGGATTCATTGTTAATTGAAATGCAAATGGCACTGGGCATTCTAGTGTACCTGGCAACCTCAAGCCAAGGCAGTGGATGGCAGGTTGTAATGAGTTGAGTGGAGGAGAGCCAGCAGGGTGACCCGTGCCTGTAATCCCAGTGCTTTGAGAGGCCAAAGAGGGAGGATCACTTGAGGCCAGGAGTTGGAGACCAGCCTGGGCAACATAGCAAGACCCTGTCTCTACAAAAAAAAATTTTTTTAATTAGCCAAGTGTGGTGGTGCATGTTATATCCCAGCTACTTGGGAGGCTGAGGCAGGAGGATCGCTTGAGCCCAGCAGGTCAAGGCTGCAGTGAGCAGAGATCACACTACTGCGCTCCAGCCTGGGCGACAGAGCAAGGCCCTGTCTCGAACCAACAGAAAAGAGTGGAAGAGAAGGCTCTCATCAATTACACAAGTCAGGGAAGGCAGAGCCCCAAGCCATCTGTGGGGGAGCGAGGATGGTTTTCCCAGGGAGCTGTGAGCAGCCTGGTAGGGACAACCAGACTAGAGAGCAGAGTTCCCACCGGGGGCCTATGGGTCGACATATTTTGTTCCATCTTCAAATTTTAATTAGTTCTCAACGTTTAAAATCTGGCAATTTTACATTTTTAAAAATTGGCTTAAAAAAATCCGAAGGTCTTGGCCTGGTGCGGTGGCTCATGCCCGTGATCCCAGCACTTTGGGAGGCCAGGACAGGCGAATCACTTGAGGCCAGGAGTTCAAGACCAGTCTGGCCAACATGATGAAACCCCATCTCTACTAAAAATCCAAAAATCAGCCGGGCATGGTGGCGGGCATCTGTAATCCCAGCTACTCAGGAGGCTAAGGCAGGAGAATTGCCTGAACCCTGGAGGCGGAGGTTGCAGTGAGTCGAGATTGCACCACTACACTCCAGCCTGGGCAACAAAGTGAGACTCCATCTCATAAAAATTATATATATATCTGAAGGTCTTTATTTCCAAATGACATTTGATAGGAGGTGAGTAGCAGCTGTCCCCTTGGGCATGGGGGAAGGCTGGACTCTATCGGCTTCACTCTCCTATAGCTTACTTTACCTACTTTGCTCTCTTGAACCATAGAACTTCTGTGCTGCTATCCCCAGAGTAGGGTGATTGGGAGAGTTGCTAGATATGGCCTATAAAAATTGACAAAAGATGAAAAAGGAAGGAGGGCCCTGCCCCAGGTGTAAAGAGCCTGTAAACCATGCTAAGGGTTTTCCTCTAGACATGGAGGGGTCCACAGGGTGTTGTGTAAACCAGGCCAGTGGCATACCTGGATGTCCTTTAGAATATGACTTTGGTGGCCTCGTGAAGGAAGAATGGGAGCAAGCAGTGGCTGGAGTCTGTTGGAGGCCCCTGCAGTATTCACTGGATATTTAACATGGTGAGGCTGACGGGAAGAACGCAATAGAGAAGACAGTTCCAATAATTACTGTCTTCAGATCCTTATAGAAGGGCCTCAGACCCTCTGGAATCCAGAGGATTGGATTCAACTCCTGAGCAGGTTGTAAATGTGTGAGCTTCAATGGAGAGCGTGGCAGGTTTAAGGGATAATGACTTGTAGTGATCCATATTTATTCTATCTCTCTGTCTGTCTATTAATTTATTTATGGTGGGGAGGGAGGAGGAAGGCAACAGATGGAGTTATAAATGGACATGACCCTGCATTTGCTCTGCTAACTCCCCTCGGTTTAAGGAAACATGGCTATTCCTCGACCCTGCATGCCTGGCTGACCCAGGCTGTCCTCGCTGGTGGCTGGTGGCTGGGGGCAAATGCATTTGTAATGGAAGAGGTGAACTCACTGTCGGGGGTTCGAGGGAGCGCGGGGAGGTGTTTTCTTCTGTGGTAATAAGATTGTCAGGGCCCCTTCCTGGCTCGTGCATTGCATGGACCGATGCAGGCTGCCAGAATGGGAAGCTCACTCTTCTTAATTAGTCCTAATGCAGTTGAGGCTGTTTTCTTAGCCTGACCAAAGGGAGTAGTAATTAATATGGTGGGAGAGACAGACGGAGAGTTCAAGGCCGGCATGTGTGCCCCCGACCCTGGGGTCACTGGGGAAGGGGAACCTAGAAGACAATAGCCTGGCTCCCGCAGGCCTGGACAAAGGCTGGTTCTGGTTCTCAAACCTCAGCTCACTGTGGCCTTCCCATTAATGAGAAATTCTGTCCTTTCATTCCTGGCAAAGGGACCCGGCTTAGTAGACCTCCCAAATAATATGTGTGTGTCTACGTGTGTGCATGCATGTGTGTGTGTTCTAAGGGATAATTTGTGTCCCACTTAAATAAATTCACGAGGCCTGGGGCAGTACCTGTTTCGGTTTTTTTTCTTTTTGAGACAGAGTCTCGCTCTGTCGCCCAAGCAGGAGTGTAGTGACACAATCTTGGCTCACTGCAACCTCTGCCTCCCGGGTTCCAGTGATTCTCCTGCCTCAGCCTCCCGAGTAGCTGGGACTCCAGGCGTGCGCCACCACGCCCAGCTAATTTTTGTATTTTTTTTTTTTTTAGTAGAGACAGGGTTTCACCATATTGGCCGGGCTGGTCTTGAACTCCTGACCTCGTGGTCTGCCCACGGCGGCCTCCCAAAGTGCTAGGATTACAAGCATGAGTCACTTTGTCCAGCCAAGTACCTATCTTAATGCTAGTCAGTGGCTACTGTTGCTGCTGGTAGGGCTGGATTTGTACCACCAACGTGCAGGGCACAGGACTCATTTCACCCTAGGTCTTGCACAGCATCCTGGAGCTAGAAGCTTGGAAATGAGCATGGCCTTTTGCAAGCTGGGAAGAGGCTATCTGGGTGGGAGCAGGTAGCTGGTGCCCAGGTACTGCTGCCGTTAGCGAGCTGGGTGGCAGGCAGGCTGCCGATACACACACAGTGAGGACAAAAGCCAGAGGCAGTGATAGCTCCACCTCCTAGCAAATCCCCACAGAGAGAGGGAATGAGGGCCCCAGAATGATGGTGAATGGGATGCAAACAACTGTCTCACTCATTACACATGACCTTACCACTCACAAATGATAGGTAGACACAGAGCCACAAATAAGTGACAATATATTGCATTTGTAGTGCCTCTTCCTTGTTTGGAGATGCTGATCTTTCCAGCAACAAAATTTAGTTCTTTTTAGGTTTTGCCCTCTACTTTCCTTTGGCTTGTTCTTCTTCTCCTCTTTTTTTGCTTTAATTAAATATTGCTGCCTAACTCTTTCAGGTCAGCAGCAATGTCACCAGCATCAGCCATGAATCATGGCTGAGCTGACATTTTAAAAATGGCATCGTCAGGGTAGCAAGTGCAGGCCAGACACCCAGGCACAATGACTGGACCCCGTAAATTACACTAAAAGTCTAATCAGAATAATCAACACGTTGACATCTTTATGCATGTGGGCAGAACTCGGGGAAGGAAAAGGCACTGACTTGGATTGCACTGAGATTTTGCTTACAGCAGATTCTGGCACTTTCTGAGGATGCAAAAAGAATCTTCAAGGTGTATCTTTTGAGTATGCAGTGACTGCTTTCCCCACATTTACATGTTGTGATTAAAAACAGATGTAATGAGTATCTCTCAATAGCATGTTGGTTTATATGCAGCTCATGCAGCCGTCATATTTTTTTTTCCTGCAAACCTCCCACATACACATATTTCTTCATCAGTGCACGTACGCATGAATGGCTCTCTCTCTCACACACACACATGCACACACACACCCTATGATTATAATTTGAAGACATTCTTGGGTACTCTGGCTACAGAACTGCATTCAAACTCTGTCATTATGAGAATGGTTTTCATAATTCTGACCAGTTCTGTACTGATCCCCATTAATGTGATTTCCTGAGGCCAAACAGGATAGCCACCCTCCAGCCCAGGCCATTTATCACCTTTCTTGCTCCATTTTAGTTTTTGACCTTTACTTTTTTCTCTCTCAAACCTCCCCCTACCCTTGTCACCTCCTTTTTGTCTCTCTAGTTTGCAAACAAACAAACAAAACCTCCTAAAGCTTTGTCCTCCCTGACTCCAAGGGGTGCTTTTGGCCATATATAATGCAGAAAGAGCACCTCCCAGTGATTAATTGGCCCCACCAGGTCACAGGCACAGAGAGCCCATTTGTCACCAGTGAGCTCTGGCCATCACAACCAGGCTGTCCAGGGCTCATGGGCGGCCCAGTGCACACCAGCTGGGACTCACCAGTTAGTACCCACTGAGGTGTGGCCAGCCAGGGCCCAAGGGTGAGTGCTATGGGTTGGCTGGAAGGAAGAAGGGGGACACAAAAGGAAGAAAAAGTGAAAAAAAGAGGATCACCGTTGACAGAGGAGAAGCAGAAGCATTTTTTTTTTAATGGTAAGGAAGTAGGCTTTATTTTTCTTTCACGGGTTTCTCATTTATTGAACACTTACTGTGTTCCAAGAGTGAACAAGATATGGTCCCTTAATCTGGTAGTGGTTTGATAGATTAGACCCATCTGATTTTCGCAATGATCTGAAGAGAAGGATATAGCTGATATCTGTGTGCTAATTTTTCAGATGGATAAACAGTGCCAGGATCTCTATGATCTGCCCACAGCCAGATGATTATGCCTCCTCCCCTAGAGCTTCTTTTGTTCCATCACACACGAGAGGGGTCCATCAGCTCGACCCATCTGCCATACCCTTGAGTCTTCCTGCAATGCCCTGACTATAGAACAGCCATCAAACCCATTAACTCCTGGCTATAAACACCTAGGCTCTGGTTTCACTTTTGGCTTTTTCTACATACCAGCCATAAGGCCTTGGACAAATCACTTTAGCGCTTGGATCCTTAGTATTTTCATCTATAAAATAGGTTTCATGCCCTTAGAATTGTGACGATTATATGAGATTATAAAACTTGGGGTATTATGCTTGGCATAGATTAAGCAATTCATAAATTGCTAGGTGTGTAAGGTACCTATGTATGTATTTCTATAATCATTCTGTAAGGGCCGAGCTGTCTGGGTACCTGCAAGTGGCCCCAGCATCAGCACGCATCCCAAGGCACAAGACTGGGGAGAGAGATAACCAAAGAGATAGATGTCTACAAAGTACTTGCCAGGAATATACTTCCCCAGCTTCTCCCTCTCCACCCTCCTGCTACAGTGCTTCCTGCAGCCAAGCATTTGCTCAAGAAGTACTTGCTGATCATTCCATTGGAAAGCACTATATTAGGTGCTATGCACTGGTCAGGGCAGAGAGGGCAGGAAAAGGGCAGTGACAGAAACACAGAAGAAGAGAGGGTGGGGACAGGCAAGACGCACTCCCGCTGGTGGTCTTTGGCCCAGTTATCAGACCCCCTCATGGGCATGTCCTGCTTTAGAAAGCTCCAGATAAGAAAGTCCAGCCCAGTGAACAATTTCAGGAAAGGGAGATTTCTATAGAATAACGAACTCTTTTGCTTTAAACAAACAAACAAAAAAAGATGGTGAAAGATGGTGATTACTTTTAAGTCAGTAGTTCATACTAGTTCTTTTTTTTCTTTTCTTTCTCTTTTTTTTTTTTTTTTTTTTTTTTGACACAGGGTATCACTCTGTCTCCCAGACTCAAGTGCAGTGGCGCAATCATAGCTCACTGCAGCCTCAACCTCCTGGGCTCAAGTGCTCCTCCCATCTCAGCCTCCCAAGCGGCTGAGACTATAAGCATGGACCACCATGCCTCACCATGCCTCACCAATTTTTCATTTTTTGTAGAGACAGGGTCTTGCTACGTTGCCCAGGCCAGTCTCGAGCTCCTGGACTCAAGTGAACCTCCCACCTGGGCCTCCCGAAGTACTGTGAACAAAACCATCAGTAGCCCAGATTGTTGAGTTGCTCTGCTTGTGAGTACATATGCAGAAGGTGCAAGGTGAGCCATGTTCAAGCTACCAGAAGCCCCTGGAAGAGCAAAAGCTAGAAATGGCCTCTGTGTTTCAGACACTTTCTCCTTATGAGGCACTGAGTTGGGCACCTTGCATGACAGATTTCACTCAAGTTACACAGTGATGCCACAGAGTAAGTATCATTACCTCTGTTTTACAAATGAGTCAGGAAGCATGACTAGTGAGAGACTACTAGTAAGTGGTCTGAAGCCTTTCTATTGGTCAGTATGCTTTCGGGGTGAAAGTAGTAAGAATCTGTTTCAAAGTGGCTTAAATAATATGAAACAGTTTTGTCTCACCAAACAACAAATGTAGTGGTAGGGTGGGCTCTCAGATGGGTGGATTCAGTGGCTCATTGATGTCACCAAGAAATTTTTCCATTTCTTCCGGATAGTGCTCTCCTTGATGTGTTAGCTGGCCCTTCTTTCAGGTCCCCTTTGAATGGTAATATTGGCACAGAAATTAACATCTCACAGAGACCCAATATTGTCCAGAGATACAAAGGAAGCATCAATTTCTAGATCTCTCTCACTTTTTTTTTTTTTTTTTGAGATGGAGTCTCACCCTGTCTCACAAGCTAGAGTGCAGTGGTGTGATCTCAGCTCACTGCAACCTCCACCTCCCAGGTTCAAGCGATTCTCCTGCCTCAGCCCACTGAGTAGCTGGAATTACAGGTGTGCACCACTGCGCCTGGCTAAGTTTTGTATTCTTAGTAGAGACAGGATTGTGCCATGCTGGCCAGGCTGCTCTCAAACTCCTGACCTTAGGTGATCTACCTGCCTCGGCCTCCCAAAGTGCTGGGATTACAAGCATGAGCCACTGTGCCCAGCCAATTTCTAAACCTCTTAACAGCAAACTTTTCCCCAGAATCCTTCAGCAGGCTTTCCTTCCATTGGGACAAATGACCAGACCTAAACGCATCACTGACAAATGCATGAGATCACAGTCTGCCCGGTCTCACCAGCACCCAGTGTGGTGGAATGTGGAGGATAAGACCCTAGGGCAAGTCAAAAAAGGATGAAGGGGAACTGGGAGTTGAGGCAACAGTTACCTTTGTCAGCTGCAGCCAAGACTCCAACACTCTCTGAGAGCAAAAGAGGAAATGTTAGTCGTCTAGCTATAAAACTGTGTCTGTCCAATGCTCAGCAAAATTGAAGGAATTCTGATTTTTTTTTCCCTAACAGCTCTTGAATAACAAAGGGTGGTGTTATAGGATGAATTTTGTCCCTCCCCAGCCCCTGCAAAAAATCATATGTTGAAGTCCTAACCCTCAGTATCTCAGAATGGGACTGGATTTGGGGATGGAGTCTTTGAAGAGGTAATTAAGTTAGAATGGTAAGGCCTGATCCAATTTGACTGGGATTCTTATAAGAAAGAAGGGGAGATTAGGACTCAGAGGGAAGACCATTTGAAGACACAATGAGAAGACAGCCAAGGAGAGAGGCCCCAGGAAAAACCAACCCTGCCAACACCTTGATCTCAGATGTCTACCCTCCCAGAACCTGTAGCCTTCTTTCTCACAGAGAAAATGAATTTCTACAGCCTGAGCTATTTTGTTATGGAAGCCCAAGCAAACTAACCCAGGAGGATTGTCTGTTTCACAGTTTCCTTCAAATCCATAGTATTCAATGGAGATTGGGAATGACATAGGTGGTAGAGGGAGTTGGGAGGATGACTGCAATTATTAAGAGGAAGGAATAGAGCAAAGAGGCAGAGGAAGGAGGCACATGAGTATTTGAGAGGAAATGTGAATGCCTTTGGAAATTTGACCCTTTGGGCAGTAAATCTAGACCTAAGTCTGGGTGCTAAGAAGTCATGAGGCCACTGACCTCTGGGAAGTTGGAAGGGAAAGTTGCTTTGGGGAGAAAAATGACTTTGATTTGGGGAAAAGTCTCTTTATTCTTTGTTAACTATGAAATCAATAATTTATGCATTTTCTGTGTGCCAGTCACTGTGCTTGGGCTGTGAAATGGATAGACAGGGTGGCCCCTGACTTCAGGGAATTGGTATTACTAAAAAAGAATAAGTTTAGCATGAGTGGTGGGAGGAAGATTAGTTTCAGACATTTTATTGCCAACCTCCAAAGCTCTGTTGTCAGGATGTTTAGGATATGCTGGAGCCATTGATTTGTAAAGACAGATGACCCCATTCAAGGGTTGAGCAGAGGAAAGTATCTGCAGAGGTGGCCTCCCAAATAGAAAAAAAAAAAAAAATCTTCTGAAAACATCCTGTTTTATTTCCATGAATTATCTTCTTGGGCTTCTTAAATGGGAGAAGAAAAGAAAAAGATGCTTGGATTTAAAGTAGAAATAGGTAGAAAGCAAGAACATCCAGAAGATAACCTGTGCTGCCTGTTTGCCCCGGAAGCGTGGTAGAGGAAATGTACCTTTTGCATGAGGAAGCTCCAAGCAGGTGCCAGGTCTTATTGTATGTTGTGATTTGTCCTGGAATCTTGTAGGCCTTTGCTCAGATGGAGGAATCTAGGTGGGTTTCATGTAGGCTTTTCTGAAGTTCTATGCAATCTAGGGCTTTATTCCCTCATTATAAGTCAAGGCAGGGCTTTGCCTCAAGTTTTGTCCTGGGCATGTGTGCTCCTGAAGAGAAAACCAAATCCTGACCAACAAACCCATCCCCCACCCAGACAGAAGCCCTGGAGAGATGAAACTAGGGTGGCCCATCCATCAACAAACCTAGGTTCTGCCACAAGTGCAGATTCTGTATCAGTCAAATGAAACAGGAGGTTTATGGAGCTCCACAAAGATGACAGTTTAGGTTCTCCTGCCTAGAATTTCTTGTCTTTTTTTTCTGTTGATTTTTACTGGCATAAAATGTTGTACATTTTGTACATTTATCACTATGGTATGGATGTTTAGACGATGACTATAAATGAAATACGGATGTATCCTAAAGATATTTATGTAATTTAGCAAAATTATTTTGCAAATTCATTCAAAAGAATCTGCTCAGTTCACGTCTTGTTAGCATCACAAAACATTTCACAAATCACACCTTAATGTGGGAACAAGCACACTTTACTTAAACATACCAAATATGTGAATGTACAAATAGTGTTTAAAATATTTTGTACAATAGATTGTGATCACTCTGTTAAAATACCAATTTGTAGAGAAAATTGATTTCAGAAAAATATCTAATCACAGTGCCCCGTGAAAGCTGCATTTTTTCAGTATCATTTAATTTTCAAGCCAAGAGATTTGGACGGTTGTCTCATTTTGTTTTCCTTTTATTTTTTTTTCCATTCATTTGCTGAACAATCATCTTCTGAAACATCCCACTTCTGCTGTGGTATCAACTGGCATGTTACCAAAAAGATGTAAATGATTTAATTGAATTAGTTTAATTAGGTAAATTAACAGTTAAGCATATCACACACAAGCTTGTTCTGTTTATACTACGTTATGGAGTTAATTTAGTGCAGAAGGAGAATGGGCATGACCAAAATTCCAATGAAATGAGCCAGATTAGCTGGCAGAGGGGAAAAAAATACAAAGATAACAGTTGCTGGCATTAAATCTGAGTAAATAATTTATGTGCTGGATTCATTATGTAATTTGAGTCATAGACAACCAGTTGATAGTCAATGAGTGTGCAAAAACGTTGCTACTGAGTGGAAGCGTGAAGACGACTGAAGAGTTTCTGACCTTTCCCGAAACATATTCCCAGGGAAATTCCAGCGGTCCTTGGTAATTTAGACAAACTGAGGCGACACCAGCCAGCTTGGTTCATCAAAAATCTGAAATAAAACAAAAAAACAAATGAACCGTAGTTTGACTGCCTTCAAGTATATGCCATGTCATTACATCAAACAAAGCAGGGTTATTCCGTCTTGGCAATATGCGCTTTGTTTGGGAGGACTGGCATTGGAGGGAGTTTCTAGGGCATTGTAGGATGCTTAGCAGAATCCCTGGCATCTACCCGATAATGCCAGCGACGCCGCCTTCCCTGCAGTGGTGATAACCCACATGTCTCAAGACGTTGCCAGATGTCCCCTGGGCAGGGGTGTCAAAATAACCCCAGCTCAGAACCACTGAAATAAAACCATTAGATACTATCTAATATGAATCTTTAGGAATTCTGCTTTAGTAAATTATTCACAATGAGTTGTAACATTCATAGCACTTACACAGAATCTTATATAAAATTTAAAAATATTTATTACCTCAAGTATTTGAAACATTTCCTGGCTGGGCACAGTGGCTCATGCCTGTAATGTCAGCACTTTAGGAGGTTGAGGCAGGCTGATGGCTTGAGCCCAGGAGTTTGAAACAAGCCTGGACAACATAGTGAAACGCTGTCCCTAGAAAAAGTACAAAAAATTAGCCAGGAGTAGTGGTGCATGCCTTTAGTCCCAGGTACTTGGAAGACTGAGGTGGGAGGATTACTTGAGCTCAGGAGGTCGAGACTTCAGTGATCTGTGATCACGCCTCTGGACTCCAGCCTGGGTGACAGAGTGAGACCCTGTCTCCAGAAAAAAAAAAAAATTATCTATCTATATATATATATGTTAATTCTCATTCATTCACTCAGCAAGAAGCAGGTATTAACCACTAAGCACATAGTATCATTAGATTCAAAAAGTATCAACACCCTTATGGACAAGGAGTCCCAGGCAGACTTGTGAATGAAGAAATCACATAGCCAAAGCTGGGCACGGAGGGGCGCACCTATGATCCCAGCTATTTGAGAGGCTGAGGCAGGTGGGAGGATGGCTTGAGCTCAGCAGTTCAAGTCCAGCCTGGGCAACATAGCGAGACCCCATCTCAAAAAAAAAATCATATGGCATATAGTAAATGCTAGCAAAGGTGGGAAGACTGAGGGAACCACATTTTTAAGAGAGCCCCAGCCTTACGTAAATAGCTTTTAGTTCTGTGGGGCAGCAGGGGCCACCACCAAGGCATCAAAGGCTGAGCTGAGACAGTCACTGATCTAGTGGCAGTGAGAGAAACTGGGAGGTTTTAAGCAAAGGAATGTTACATACAGTCAGTGTTGACTTCTGGAAATAGCAAAGGTTTTAAAGTCACACTCACATGAGTCAAATACTGATGTTGTCACTTGCCAAGTGAGGCAAATTGCAGATTTCTGAGCCTCATGTCCATATCAATAAATAATAGCTACCTCATTGCAAATGGTGAGTGAGACAGTGTCTATGGCGCACTTAGCATACTATCTGCCCCATAAAAGTCACTCAATAATTATCAGTACTTCTTTCCTTCATTAGCCGGTCTGTCTCACTCAACATCTTGCTTGTACAGAACACAGTGGAAAGCCTACGTTTACAAGGTTTGCACTCCCCAACATCTGGGTTGTGTTGTCAAACGTCGCTGAAGTTGTCCAAAACCTTGCCACTGGATTTTGTTTACTCTAGAGCTGAGTGTTTAAATCCCTTAAATTGGTAACGTCAGTTTGACGTCCATGTTAATCTTCCACGAGATTTCAGGATCTGGAATTGGGAGGTGGCTTTCTCTACCACATCCCCAGGTTTGGAGCCAAATGTGGTCATTATTACCACAGAAATCAGGGAGGACGTGAAAAAGTATCCATTGGAAGAAGTGATTTTGTTTATATATATGTACAAAGGAATGTAAATGTTTTGCCAAGCAAGTTTCTGGCAACAGTGCCTCCAATGCCAGTATTTTCATTCTGTAAGGAAACAGCCACAACCAAACAGAGGGGATGGGAGACCTGTTTTACATTTGGAAATACGGACAAAGCCACATTCCCACCCCTTCTGCAAATGTATCACTAACGTACACAACACTTTGTATATATAATGGAAGGCAGGGCTAAGCTGTTGTCTGTGGGATTCTGACATGTCTCTTTCTTTTTCTCACACATACTCTGCAGTGATACATCTATAAATGAAGGGGACATTTCCAAGAACACATTTCATTGTCAGAAACATATACACACTATGTAGAACAAACACAGCCTGAACAAAGATGTCCTCTTCCCCCCACCACTCCTTCCCTGGGTACCCACTTCTCATCCTTTCCCGTGACAGGGGGACTCCCTATTCCAGGTGATCGGGCCAGGTAGCTTCTGGGAGTTGAGCCTGTAGGGCGGCTGCCCCAAAGTCACTCAACAGAAGTCCTGGTACCACCGTCTACCAGCTGCAACTGATGAGGAAATCGGACTCTTCCTTAATCCCTTCCACGCCCTGGGGCTTATTCTCAGAAGTTTATCTAACTTGTGAATGTTATGGCTATAATAACGTACAAGTTCTGATTAACCCAAAAGGGAAATAGCGAGTTCCCAGTGGCCTCTGTCCATCTTTTAGGATTTAGAAGGTTCTAGAAGGAATGGTCAGCTGCTGTGCTTTATAGCTCCATCCCATGACTTACTGTCTTTCCTTGCATCCCACAGCCTTTTCTTTTTCCTTTTTTTTTTTTTTTTTTTTTTTTGAGATGGAGTCTCGCTCTGTTGCCCAGGCTGGAGTGCAGTGGCGCGATCTCAGCTCACTGCAAGCTCCGCCTCCTGGGTTCACGCCATTCTCATGCCTCAGCCTCCCGAGGAGCTGGGACTACAGGCGCCTGCCACCATGCCCGGCTAATTTTTTATTTTTTTATTTATTTTTTATTTTTTATAGAGACGGGGTTTCACTGTGTTAGCCAGGATGGTCTCGATATCCCAACCTCGTGATCCACCCGCTTCAGCCTCCCAAAGTACTAGTACTGGGATTACAGGCGTGAGCCACCGCACCCAGCCTCTTTTTCCTTTTTAAAAAATTATTTTTAAATTATTTTAGACAACAAAAAATTTGCAAAAATTGTTCAGAGAGTTTCTGTGTATTCCTCACCCAACTTCCCCAATGATAAAAATCCTAGATAACTGTGGTGCAACTATCAAAATTAGGAAATCGGCTGGGCATGGTGGTGCATACTTGGAATCCTAGGTACTCAGGAGGCTGAGGCAGGAGGATCACTTGAGCCCAGGAGTTTGAAGACAAACTGGGCGACATAGCAAGACCCTGTCTCCAAAAAAAAAAAAAAAAAAGAAAAGAAAAAATTCCTTTTCTTAATTAATGGGTACAATACTAATACCAAAGTATAGATTGTATTTGGATTTCACCGGTGTTTTCACTCACGTCCTGTTTCTTGGATCCTATCCACAATCCTAAATGTAAGACAGCTTTTAGCTGTGTTTCCTTCAGCTCCCTTAATCTATGACAGCCTCTCAGTCCTCCCTTGTTTTTCACACCTGGACACTTGAAAAAGTATTGCTCCATGACTGGATAGAATGTATAGGAAGGTTCTCATGATTTGATCGAAGACATGCGTATGTTTTGGGCAGCAATAGCAGAGGTGACGTGCCCTTCTCAGGGTATTATATGCGGGGTGCGTGATGTCAGTTTGGCTTATAACTGATAGTCCCTTTGGTCACTTGGGTAAGGTGGTATCTGCCAGGTTTTCATGCCGCAAAGTTACTGTTTTTCCCTTTGAAACTGTTAAGTATATTTTGGGAGGTACGTTGAGATGATGATAATATCCTACTCCTCAACTTGCTTTTTTTTCTGTTTGAGACGGAGTCTCGCTCTGTCGCCCAGGCTGGAGTGCAGTGGCGCGATCTCGGCTCACTGCAGGCTCCGCCTCCCGAGTTCACGCCATTCTCCTGCTTCAGCCTCCCTGGTAGCTGGGACTACAGGCGCCCGCCACCGCACCCGGCTAATTTTTTGTATTTTTAGTAGAGACGGGGGTTTCACCATGTTAGCCAGGATGGTCTCGATCTCCTGACCTCGTGGTCCACCCGCCTCGGCCTCCCAAAGTGCTGGGATTACAGGCGTGAGCCACCGCGTCCGGCCGACTTCTCAACTTTCGTCTGCTAAATTGAGTACCCCTGGCAGCACCGGTCTTGCCTACGACATTTATGACTGTGGTATCCTCACAGGGACTTTTCCATGTTCCCCCTAAAGTTAGAAATTAATTTTCATAATGAATGAGTCCAATACTGGTTTTCTAGTCCTCCCATTCCATCTACCTTTATTCATCAGCACTCCCACAACCTTTGGGCTGACTGTCTACAACATTTTTATTCTCACCTTGTAGAATTTCTCCTAATTTCCCACCCTGGTCCCTATAAAGGATTCTGTAAATATTTTCAGAAGTGGGAAAGAAGAGGAGAAAGAAGACAAGCAAAGGAATAAAAATGCCTACAGTGATCCCAGTCTGTGCTCACTGTGTGACTTTGAACAAGTCACTGTCCTTTGAGCTTCTGTTTTCTCTCTGTTTTTTGTTTGTTTGTTTTCCGTTTTTTGTTTTTTTTTTTTTTTTGAGATGGAGTCTTGCTCTTGTTGTCCAGGCTGGAGTGCAATGGCATTATCTCTCGGCTCAGCACAACCTCCACCTCCCGGGTTCAAGCGATTCTCCTGCCCCAGCCTCCCGAGTAGCTGGGATTACAGGTGCCCATCACCTCACTCAGCTAATTTTTGTATTTTTAGTAGAGATGGGGTTTCACCATGTTGGCCAGGCTAGTCTTGAACTCCTGACCTCAGGTGATCCACCAACCTTGGCCTCCCAAAGTGCTGGGATTACAGGCATGAGCCACTGTGCCCAGCCCCATTTTCTCTTCTGAAAATGCCATCTCTAAGCCCCTTCCAGCTCTAAAATGCTGTGATCCTATGACAGGCAGCTGGGTTGTGATGGAATCTGCAACTGGCGTCACCAAACTGCCCAACAGTGAGATGAACGAACATGGGGCGGTGACGGGACAGACAGGGGAATTCAGTAAGGGGAGGAAATGGCCTATGAATCTTTTACAAGCACTGGGGATACTGACATTAATAATACTTTCCACACGGAGAAATACATTGGAGGGAATGCTAAGGTTTGAGGAGGAAGCAGCTCCATTTGGGATGAAGTCTTTTATCTTTGCCTGGCCCTTGAAACAGATGAATCAGCCCTTTTCTCCCCAGATTGAAGAATCCATAGTGTGTGTTTCCACCATCTGTTTCATTACTTTGAATCAGGCTTAATACCCATTTAAGGCTTAATGGTTGCAGAATTATACTGGATGTAAATATAATTTTTAACAGCATGGCTTAAAAGCTGAAGTTTCACTTTTATCCTCTATATAAAGCTCACAAAACATGCAGACCTCAAGACTAAAAATTTTCTTAATGTCTTATAAGCCAAGTCTGTTTCTTCTGGTTTGCAGCCCAGAACCACTTCGTATTGATATTTTAAATATACAATTAGAAATTACTGATTATTTTGCCTATCTTGCTAGCTGATTTTAGAACATCGGTCATTATTTTAAAAAAATAAAATAAAAAACTGAGAGAGAAACATTTGGAACTACAAAAGGGAACTTTGGCTCCCAGGAATGAACTGTGAATGCTGGATTGGGCTAGACACCCAGGAATTGATCATGGGTAGTGGTCTTTGTTAAAGAGAGAGAAGAATCCAGAGATGAGGAAAATCAAAATTTGTCCCCAGCTGGGGTTATTCGAGCCAGTTCTTGTGAAACTCCTTTCCTAGCTAGTCTGTTCTCACCTCTGCTGGCTAATAGAGGAATGTACTGGTTTGGGATCCAGCCTCTTGTTTTGTTTTGTTTTGTTTCAGACGGGATCTCACTCTATCACCCAGTCTAAAGTGCGGTGGCGCAATCACAGCTCACTGCAGCCTCAACCTCCCAGGCTCAAGTTCTTCCCACCTCAGCCTCACAAGCAGCTGGGACCATAGGCACGTGCCCCCATGCCTGGTGGATTATTTTAAATTTTTGTAGAGATGGGGGTCTCCCTATGTTGCTCAGGCTGGTCTCAAACTTCTGGGCTCAAGCAATTCTCTCATCTTGGCCTCTCATTTCCCCCAGTGGGATCCTACCTCTTAATTACCCTTTTTAAATAAAGAACTTTTGAAATATCACTGTAATAAAACTGCTTTGGTAAATATAAGTTGGAGAATCACAGGGAAAGTGAGGGTAGGAGAACGAGTGGCCAATTTGTCCCACCTTGTAGTGAAGATTTGGTGTTACTGATTAAACTGTAAGTTTAGTTCTTTACAGACAGGGACAAACATCTCTTAGTGACTGCTGTACTGTGAATTCCATACATAGTGCCTGGCACATAGTAGGTGGTCGATAATCTGTGATGCAGCAATAAATGGTTAAAAGGTAGAAATTATCTCTGTGTGGGTTATACCCTGAATTATGGTCCCTTTCATTTACCTTTCAGGTAATGGTTGGAGCTAGAGGTAACCTAAAAGGAGTAACTACACTTGAAGGTCTATGCCTTAAGTTTATATACTACTTTGTAACAATATTTTTCATAATGTGTTTCTTGGAAGGTTAGTAGATATTATTCAGTAAAAGAGTCCTGTGGTCAAAGTGTGAACTGCGAAAGGTTAAACAGTTTTTTTGTTTACTTTTGTTTTTAACTGCAGGACTTGTCAGGGCCTTTGATCATTTGTATGGGTGTTGGGATTTACCAAGGGAGGCATAAAAACTTTGAATATTGAATCTTTGTTTTCTTAAAGTATCCTTCATTCTAATAATCCAATGATCACAATTTGAGAAACATTGTTTATAATATGCAGAGCATTTTTACTTGGGCAAATCATCTTAGAACATTTGGTTTCTCCAGTCTTTGACCTTGAACTCATTACATACGTGTAGAAAAATTTCCAAATCAAATGCATAACATGAACAATGCCCCTAGGTATGCAAATACTTGTTCAGTGGATGGATAGATGGATGGATGGTTTAGTGACTGTATCAGAATAATATTGTTAGATAAATGACATCATCAGCACCAAGATCTGGGAGAGTTCTTGAGATTTCCCCAAAACCACAATGTTCTCACTTCGATTGCCTCTCTCCTCCACCCCAGCCCCCAGCATAGAGCTACTGATTGCCTTTTGCTAATTGTAGGAGCTTCTAAGTGCTGTTTCCACATCTGGTCTCACTGCCCTCCAATCTGTCCACACGCAGGCCTGCTATGTCTTGGGGTCAATTACATGGCAGTCCTTCCGCAAGGTGCCCAGAGCCCTCTCCAACACAGTCCCAACTCACTCTTCCAGCCTCATCCTCCTTCACTCCCTTATGTACAGGTCACATTTCACCCAAACCAGCCTCCCCTCTGTTTCCCAAGTTTCCTTTGAACTTTCTCACTCCTGTGCTGTTCTTTGCTCTGTTCTGTGTCTGGAATGCCTGGGGAATCCCACGTCATTGATGGCAAGGGCCTCTTGAACTATTACCTATTTTTTCACTTTCATTCCAAACCATCTTCTTCATAAGAATGTCTCTAGTCCTGCTATTTTCTGAATCTCTGTGGCCTTCTCTGATATCATTCATAATCGCCAGTAATCCATCTATTTGCCCCATTTCCACCTTCGTGCCCAACACGCACACTGTATTGTGAACTCCTGCAAGGCAGCTTTCTATACATTTTTCCCCCAGTACTTTGCACACGGTGGGCCCTTAGCTATAGTTGGTGAGTTGATCGCTCCTGTTAAGATCCATAAATGCATCTGTATTATTGCTCTTCAACAGCGTAGCACAGAGAGACAGATATAGATCTTGCCCTAAGAAAACACGTTGCAAATAAGAAAGCCCAATTATCTTCTAGAATTTGGAAGAATCCAATGTACTAATAGGCTATGATGTTGCAGAAGTTCATTTTAAGTCTGTTGTTCGGAACCTGGGTGAAATACTCCCCCAGAAACAGTATCACGCATGGTGGTTGTATCTCCCGCCAGCCCACAAAAGCCTATTTAACTTGTAATGTGTCTAAAGTCCGATACTAATAGCAGCCCCAGGGGTTCATCGGCCTCTTCTCTCAGGCCATCGGCAGTCTTAACACTACAGACCTTGCCCTGAGGCAAAGTATGAGGCCGGGATGGAAGAGGATAAGGTGGATGATGGAGGGAAAGGAAGGGGAGGGGAGGGGAGGGAGTTGTCTACTGTAAGCAAGAATGAGGGAAGCACAAAGAACATGGCCATGACAAACTGAGCAAGGGTCTGGTCTGCCATGGCAATTCAGGTGGAATGGGTACAGTGTGCACTAGTGCAGGGACTTCAGGAGACAAACACATTCTCTGACATTTACTTTTTTTTTTTTTTTTTTTTTTTGAAACAGTCTCTCACTCTGTTGCCCAGGGTGGAGTGCCGTGGCGTGATTATGGCTCACTGTAGCCTTGACCTCCCAGGCTCAGATGATCCTCCCTTCTCAGCCTCCTGAGGTAGCTGGGATTACAGGTGTGCGCCACTATGTCCGGCTAATTTTTGCATTTTTTGTAAAGACTGGGTTTCATCTTGTTACCCAGGCTGGTCTCAAACTCCTGGGCTCAAGTGATCCACCTGCCTCGCTCTCCCAAGTGCTGGGATTACAGACATAAGCCACAGATCCTGGCTGATATTTATTTTTATTGGAAAGTCTTTGGAAGACTGCCTATCTGTCTTAGAGGTCTTTAATTGCTCTTCCTTAAGTTTTAGCCCCAATAGAAACTAAATACATCAACAAAGGAACCAAGAAAGACTTATTTCCACACATGGAGGCACCTGCTATCATGTAGACTGGAGGTCACACACTCAAATGTCTAAGGAGACAGGCAGGCCATAGAAATTCATGAAACACAACAGGAGTAAGGATGCTGGGCGTGGCAGTAACCTGCAGGGTACATGTCCCATAAAAAGGACCAGCTTGCACTAAGCTTCAGTCACATGTCCACCCAGGGTTCAAAATATTCCATGTTTTCAAGAGAAGCCATCGATCTGAATTTTTATGTACTATCTCCTGGATTTTATATGCTGATAGTTAATTTTAAAATTTTAAAACAAGGTAAACTTATACCCCAACACCCTCACAGGCATACAGATACACTTATGGGTCCTACCCATGACATCTTTGCTGTATATGGTCATATTTCACTTAATGTGATCCTGAAAAAAAACAAAGAAGTATAAATGGAATTTTTGTGGAGAGAATCATATATTCCCATTTGATGGCCATTAAAATTTCAGAAAGGTATTCCCACAGATAAAGATTTTTGTTCAACAACACTCTTGAAAAATCATACTTCAGGGAATAGTTTATGTGCATATTTCAAAGGGCAGGTGCCAATTTCTGATGAAATTTTAACAATAATACACAAATCTCCTATAAAATTTAATTGCTAATCTCTTTAAATCCCACTGTACAAGAAGTCAAAAAATTGAGGACATTTTTGGCCAAGGACTGAGGTTCTAAAGTCGGAAATTCACATCAGCATTTCTGAAGTCAACTCTAGCTTGTGGTTGTTCCCAGTCTCTTCGGATTCTCTGTCACAGGGCCCTGTCTTTAAAATTCCAGCAGCATGAAAGCTGTCCAGTTGGTGGCCATCCGTGACATATTCAGAAGTGCTCAATGCCATCGGCAGCTCTAGGAGAGCAACCCATATCCATCTTATGTATCAGAGCTCTGTGCTATGTCGGTGGGATGACAACTGGATATTTATAGCCTGGCATTTTGATTATTCGGTGCTGGGCTGTAGTTCTGCACCTGCCACTGTGAACCTGGGCAAGTTACTTTGAGTCTGTGTGCTTTAGTTTCCCATCACCCATGGGTTGTTACGGGAAGGAGATGGAATCATGCTTGTGTGTGTAACACACATGTTTTATACTTAGTAGATAGTAAAAGCTGTGATTCTTCATTCTTAGGAATACCATTAGTATCATCAGAGGATGCAGCCTCTCTTGTTGGGTCCTTCCTCCATCTACTGGATGTCATCCTTTCAGATCACACTGGTCCAAGAGCAGGAGATGGGACAGCACTCATCTGGGCTGTGGCTACAAACTGAAGACTTTTTTCTTAATTGTGGATACACAGTAGTTATATATATATTTTTGGGGTACATAAGACACTTTTATACAGGCATACAATGCATAATAACCACATCAGGGTAAATGGGGTACCCATCACCTCATGCATTTAGCCTTTCTTTGTATTACAAACAATTCAATCGTACTCTTGTAGTTTTGTTTTGTTTTGATTTGTTTTGTTTTGAGACAGAGTCTCTCTGTGTTGCCCAGGCTGGAGTGCAATGGTGCGATCTTGGCTCACTGCAACCTCTGCCTCCCGGGTTCAAGTGATTCTCCTGCCTCAGCCTCCTGAGTAGCTGGCATTACAGGCAGCTGCTACCACGCCTAGCTAATTTTTGTATTTTTAGTAGAGATGGGGTTTCACCATGTTGGTCAGACTGGTCTCAAACTCCTGACCTCAGGTGATCCACCCACCTGGGCCTCCCAAAGTGCTGGGATTACAGGTGTGAGCCACCATGCCTGCCTCTTGCAGTTATTTTTGAATGTACAATAAATTATTGTTGACTTTAGTCACCTTATGGTGCTGTCAAATACTAGATCTTATTTATTCTATCTAACTACATTTTTGTAGCCATTAACCATCCCCACTTCCCACCTGCACCCACCCCCCTGCCCCACCCACTACCCTTCCCAGCCTCTGGTAACCATCAACCTACTCTCTTTCTTTATCTCCGTGAGTTCAATTGTTGTTCATTTTTAGCTCCCACAAGTAGGTGAGAACATGTGAAGTTTGTCTTTCTGTTCCTGGCTATTTCACTTGACATAATGTCCTTCAGTTCCATCTATGTTGCTGCAAATTATAGGATCTCATTCTTTTTATGGTTGAATAGTACTCCATTGTGTTATGTACAACATTTTCTTTATCCATTCGTCATGTACCCTTAGGTCACTTCCAAATCTTGGCTGTTGTGAACAGTGCTGCAATAAACATGAGAGTACAGATATTTCTTTGATATACTAATTTCCCTTCTTGGGGATTATACCCAGCAGTGGGATTGCTGGACCATATGGTAGCTCTATTTTTCGCGTTTTGAAGAACCTCCAAACTGTTCTCCATAGTGGTTGTACTAATTTACATTCCCACCAGTGGTATGCAATGTTTCCTTTTCTCCACATCCTTGCCAGCATTTGTTATTGCCTGTCTTTTGGATAAAAGCTGTTATAACTGGGGCATGAAAACAGTTCTTAAAAGGAAAGGTGCAAGCATGTTCCAGGAGTCAAGATTTCTTACCATGTATCCAAGGCATGGCTGTCCCCAGACCAAATGAAACCATATTTTCTTGTCTTTGGCCACACCCAGGGTTGAGGACTCAGCCAGGATATCTCTTCTCCTTGCTGAGATATGTCACTGGGGTCTCCAGGGAACCCTAAGCTTTTAAAGGTCAGGACATTTTCTCCTGGCTTATTCTCTGCAATGCTGTACCTTGGTGCTATAAACCAAAAGGTATTAATAGTTGGCTTGGTAGCAAGTAAGCTGCTCATTTGGGTGAATGCTAATATAGCAGATAAGTTAACACTTCTACTTTACTGTGGCTGACCTTGACCAAATGAATGAATCCCTGGATTGAATGCAGAGAACGAAGTGTTTAAACTAACAGTGGGAGTCCCTTGCACAAGGCCATCCTGAAATGAATGGGGAGAGAGCCAACATTTTTTTTGGCGGGGTGGGATAATCTTTGGCGTTCATGTCTATAAAGTTTGAGCAGGTCTGGAAGATGAGGACAACTTCGGTTGCCTCGCTGGAATTTGATGCCGCTTGTGGTCCTCTCCCATGGGAGAGGACCAAACACCTGAGTTCC
The DNA here is from genome assembly GCF_000001405.40 of Homo sapiens. Classification (NCBI taxonomy): domain Eukaryota; kingdom Metazoa; phylum Chordata; class Mammalia; order Primates; family Hominidae; genus Homo; species Homo sapiens. Next base: position 73,408,799 of record NC_000016.10, on the reverse strand, counting down.
ATGCAAAGCCATGCCTGTCTCTTTTCTGAGCAAGGGCTCAGACCCTGGCACACAGCAGCATCTGGCCAATGACCCAACCCTGTGGGCCACTCCCTGGAAATGTCCAGGCCACCGCTGTCCTGACTTCAAGCCTAGAGGGCCCCAAGTTCAGCTAGCTGGGAACGGATTTCCAAAGCCCCGCTCTGCTCGTGTTCCTCTCATTCCCAAAGGAGTAAGTATTCCCAGCCCAGAGGCTTCCAGACAATTGACACATATGGAACTGCAGCACTTCCAGCTGTTGGGATTCCAAGTTGCCTTTATTTCTTGGCTGGACTGCACTGGGGATGAAAAGGAAGGGTGGACGTGTCAATGAGGAACCAGTAGCAGCTGCATCTGCTGCTGGTTACAGTTATTGGCATCCAAATACCTTTTTATGTCATCCCATTGGCTTGAGACCTCACGACCTTGTCAGGGACTCTGGCTTGTCCGAGTTGATTTCTTCTGCCCAAGTTCACCCTCTCTAGTCGATTCTGCTCCAAGATCATTTCATCCACACGTCTATTTTTATGGTGGACACAACAATAGACTTTTCTTTCTCCTGTGTCCACTCTGATATCATTTAATGCAGAAATGCCTATTAGGGGGTCAGAATGAACAACCATCTGTTTGGGTCCCAGGCCAAATCCCTCCACCCAAGCAAAAAAAAAAAAACAAGTTTCACAGGTATCTGCAACCAGAGCTTCTTCCCCCACCCACCCCCATCCACTCCTGCAGCTCACCCCTTTTCACTCCCCTCCTCTTGGCCTCCCCAGGGGTCCAAGTCTCCTGTTGCCATCACAAGAGAAGGTGGATGCACTTCCCCAACTGCTGTTTGCTTTCCCCAGCCTGTAGGAATCAGAGGTTGGGGTAGGAATTGATAAAAGCCAGCATTTTGCCATAAAAAGAATCTAAGAGGGCAGTGGAAGACCATTTGCACGATTCCCCAGGCTGTCTGTCTTTGAAAAGGAAGATCTGGCCAAACCTACAGAACTTGCTGCCTCTGGAGTTTACTCTTTATTTCACTCTGTGCTGCACATCCTTGTGTATGAATTAAAGATTAAAGTCAACTTAACCTGCATTTGCTATATCTCTATATGCAGGAGAGGAAGGGAGGGAGCGAGTGTGTGTGTTCAGTGTGATCTCCTGGTTCTAACACCAGCCTAGGAGGTGGGAGACTAAAGGTGGAAAGCTCAGTGGTCTGTTCCTGACCCTGCCACTCCCTCATGCTGTGGTCTCTTGCAAGTCATTGAACTGTACTGTACCTCCATTTCTCCAACCATGGAATGAGCACAGTGACACCTTCTTGGACTACTGATGTGTCCTCTGCCAAGCTGTGTGGGTCTCAGAGCATTGATGATATCATACCACAGGCCATGGAACAAAGGACCCAAGGGGTGAACCACCATTCAGTGGAAAACCAGCATTCAGGCCCTTCCCTCATTTTCCAATGCAATCGGTTTTGGATTGTACACAGCCGAACTGTCATTCCAGCTACTTTTAGTCACAAAGCATAGCGGCCGCATTTACAGTCCCTTAGAACAAGGCTTCTAACCTCTGCACGACTGGCATTTGAGGCTGGATCATTCTCCGTGGTGGCTGGAGGTAGGGAGGTCCTGTGCAGTGTAGAATGTTTAGCAGCATCCTTGGCCTCCACCCACTGAGTATCTCTAGCACTCCCAAGTTGTAACAACCAAAAATATATGTAAACATTGCCAAATACGCCCTGCAGGAAAAAATCACCCTTTCTTTTGAGAACTGCTGCTACAGAATCAGCCACCCTTGGAGGAGGGCATCACCAAAACCTTGATTCAATTAATTGTTACTCTAAGAAACTGAAACATGAGTGCCTAGGCTAATTCAGTGCCATATTTAAAAATGGGAATGTCGCCAGATAATATAAACCAGCCCCAGCCAAAGCTCAAGATGATAAGGCTGCAAAAAGAAAATACATTCCCAACTCTTTCTTTCTGTTCTTTTGCAGACATCTTCATGCCACTAATACCCTGTTAGTGCAAATCACAGATCATTGACCTGAAATAGACCATCCTTCGGCCCTAAAATTGTAGTAACATCTTCTGAGCACTCAGAGTGTTCCAGATACAGGCAGGATTTGGGCAGGAGAGTATTTTACAGATGCATATGGGTTAGGTGTGCCCATCTGGCTCTGAATCTGTAGCTAAGTATCTATGTAACAAATGTTAAACAGAATTTATAGCATTCCATACGAATTGTTGAGCCTGGAGCAGCTACGCGAAGCTGTCAGTATCTGCCAAAATGGGTATGTCTTTAGGATGAAACTTACTAAGTATCAAATAGTAAAGAAGCAGAAGCAGGCCCTAAAGGTGCACACTGTGATCATCTGAAATTGTCTTCAGTTTCAGAAAGGTACCCATTGGTCCTGCCTCGACTGTAACTCTGTGACGGTTCCTGGGGCTGTAGAAGCTCCAAGGAAGGGCTTTGTAGATGGATGCAGTGATGCCTCCATCATTTACAAAGGATAGGAAAACCCACATGGTCAATAAGTTCTACGTCCACAACCAGAAATGCTTTACAAATGTGTCAGCACAGAAGGAAACAGCTCCTGGTGCCAACATGGGGGTGACTGTGAAACGGAGGAATTAGTTCGGGGCGTTCTTTGCAGCTGATGCGCAGGCATCTGATGGGGCATCCTGAGGCCGGCTTCCCAGTCCAGATGTTTTTGTTCTGCTCCCTCCTCCTAGAGACGATAGAATGTGTGTTCCCTCTACCCGGCGTGTGCCCCTACGGGCATCTACGCTGATGCTGCTTGGAAACCACACATCCCTAGGAGGAATTGTTTGTGTGGCACTCTCCAACCTTCCCTGGGGCCAAGAAAAGATTTACATTTTGCTGTGGGTGTTCCACAAGTCCCAGGCATTTCCGCTCCTTTCAAGAAGATTCCAAATGAACATAAATCTTACTCCGGCTCTGACAGCCTCCAGTCATCTGTTTACCAAAATAAACTTTAAGCATACATTGAAAAATAATTCCTAGTGAAATATGCATCCCCATGGCATTCCAGCCTGGTATTTAATGTCTTTTTTATGGTTAATAATGCATCAAAAGCATCCCTAGTCTGAAGCTGTCATTACATTACATACGTGATGTGCAGGGCCCCATTGCAATGACTAAAAAACTTGGAGTTAGTTTTTATTTCTTAAAAAAAAAAAACAAAAAACAAAAAAACTAATGTATAAATTACAGTGGCCTGTTTCCCTCTATCTGTGTTTCTTTTTAATAAATCTGTGTCTTGATGAGATCAATCCACTGAAAATACCTGGAGATGTTCTTTGCTTTATACAGATAAGGAGACATGCTATATAAACAACTCCAAAATCCCCTCATTAGATCTGGGTTCTGTTTGGAGAGCACCCTGGCCTTCCTTTTTTATGTTATTCTACTGAAAAAGAAAAATCAGCCAGGATCGTAGAAAGTAGTACAGCTAAGCCTTAGTCCTTCTTGGTAGATGTGGAAAAAAACAGAATAATTTCCATTCTGGCCCCTAAATTTAAAAAATTCAGGAAAGCCCCATTTGCCTTTGGTTCATTGCAAAACACACATGACTCTCAAAGTCCTTCTTTATTTCCTTTCCGGCTTTGGTCGCTGATGCTCAGAACAACACTGATGGTTGTAATGATGAGGATTAAAAGTTTCCTTCCTGAGTTATCTAGAGGCTCATATCAGCCTTGAAGAGCAACAGCCCCAGGTCCCATCACGGCCATTGGTAATGACCACATTCATGCCCAGAAGTGATTTCTCTGCCACCTTGGACCGTTGCAAATGGTCTAAGGATGATGTGACTCCGTGGGAACAACAAGCTCATAAGTGCTTGGAGGTTGGGCAGTCTGCTTAGCTTGATTTGTGGCTCTGAGGACCAAATGAGATAATTAGATAATGTATGTAAAGTGCTTCGAATGGGCCTTCCACCTGGGAAACACTTAGGAAATGGTAACAGGACTTGGAGGGGTAGCAAAACAAGCTGCTAAGAGCATGGCTGTGGACTCAGGTGGTCTGGGCTCGCGGGGACATCCTGAACTCAGAGACTTGGTGTCCTTATGCGTAAAACGGGGATAATAATAGTACTTGCCTTTTTCTGTTACATGCTTATAATGAAGATGAAAATGAGACATGTATAAGATGTGAAGTATCAACAGATGGCATCTATTAACAATAATGATACCAACAACAATAATGGCAATTAGCTCTGCCTATCTTCATATATTTGCAAACCTGCAGGTGATGTGATTTAACGGTCTCTTTGCGGCTGCTTAGACTTGTAATTTCCTAATAACACTGCACGAACTTGGAGCCAAGATGCATCCTAGGAGGTCCTACGAGTTTTCCTCTGCGCAGATAGAGTGCATCCCTGTTTTAGGAAGTAGAAAAAGCACTCAAAGATGGTCACTTTCATGTCTTGCAGGTTTTACATTTTGATTGTTCATTCCAGGAAACCATTACAAACCACAGAATAGAGGTTGAAGTCCAGCCCTCTTCTGTGCCTTAAGGGGATCCTCTGTCCAGAGGCTACAGTCCAGCCTTGTCCAGGACTGAGCTAAGTGGGTTGAGGGGGTGGGAGGGGCTGGCCTCCTTTAGATGGCATTAGCTTTCCCCCAGCCCCTGAAACTGGATCCTTGGCTAACCCAGACAGGCAGAGCACTTAGGAGACTGAATCCTCAGAGTTCCCACTGGTGCAAAAAGCATTTTTGGTTTTTTTCCTCAGTGCTTTTCTAAGATCTGAATTTATGGGGTTCCCAAAGGGACTCCTACCCTTAAAATTCCCCACAGGAGTCTTTCTTCCATTTTCGCCTGGAAAAAAAAAATCCCAAGATCCAAAGACAGAGCATCCGTGACTCCAAATGCCACCAGCACCCAGACATTGTGGGCAGTCTGCACATTTGGCAAATTTGCCGATCCTTCCTTCCTGGCTCTTGGCCTGAACTCCAGTTTCTGGGCCCCTGTCTCCCAGGGGTTGACAGGCCTCACAATCCGGAGACAAACACTGCTCACTGTCCCTTTCAGGGCTGACTTAAGAAGTTACCATTTGGATGTGTTCGCCACCGGCCAGCCTTTCAGTGCTCAGCTCCCTCCAGCCCGCCCAGTTCAGACCCTTTCTTAGTTTTCCTATTGTTCAACTCCACGGTACTTTTGAAGTGTCACAGCAAATTTGTGTTTCCAGTAAGAAAGCACCTTTTGCTTTTTGCCTTTAAAAAAAAATTGCATGTGGCCTTCATGATTCTAATTCCCATGGAAAACTTAACTGTATCCACAAGAAAAGGTACAAACGTGCACACAGACCCGGCCCGCAGACGCTCCTGCGCCTTCACACACCCGTGCAGATGCACAATTGCATACCGCAAAGCGGGCTAATGTTGATGCATCCAGGTTGGAAATGACAGGATATGGTGGAGGGCCAGTCACTTAACGAACCCCTGCGGGACCAGTCTTGGTTACTAACAATTTCTCTCCAACTCATCAAGCAGGGGAATCGCAGCCCTCGGTGTTTCACTCCATCACGTCCCCCACTGCCCCTTCTTCCTGCTCCACACAAACAAACCAATTACTGCAACGGATATAAATTGGACCCCCTTTCTGAAAATGCTCCCTCAACCTTTTTTCCACCCTTCCTTACTCAGTTCCAATCAGCCAGCCCACCAGGTGGACCGTGCGCCCACACGTGCACACACATGCACACACATGCACACGTGTACACATGCACACACGTGTGTGTGCCTATTTACACTGTTGTGTATGTTCTCTGCTTCCAGTTCTTTAGTCCAGCCTGGTGTTAGCTCTCTCTATTACCTCTTAATCTACTGTCTTATGGAATACAGGTTAAGAATTACTTCTCTGTAATGTTTTTTTTTTTATTTTCCATATGTACGACAGCCACCCCCAAGCCCTCCCCTCCCTCTGCCGTACCTTAGGGTAACTTCCTGATTTATTCTTGGACAATGCTTTGTGTAACTCATATTGACATTAACAGCCCTCCCTCTCAGTTATCAACTGATTACTTAGCTTGCAGGCTTTGTATACAGACCTGTCCCTGCTTTAAAAAAGGTATTAAAACATTGGATTGACAAACTCTTATAAGTTAAGGAGTGAGCAGTTTCATAGCTGGAAAATGAGCCACCGTGGGTAAGATGGCAGGACAGCTGTCTCAACCTCAGTGCTACTCAAAGCGGGTCCACAGGTCGTTCCTGGTCTGTTAACCATTTGACAGGGATTCTCAACAAGTTAAGTAGAGAAATTCAGAGTTAAGAGTTTAAAGACTTTTGTAGCCATATGACATGACTGCAACATTCAAGCGACATTTTATTTTTCTAGTAATTCAACTGTTATGTATTTTACAAAAGTATCAGGCCATGGGGAATTGGATATTAGCAACAAAAACAACTACCAAGTTGCCCTTCATGCTAGGTTATTTGAGAAGCAAGGTTCTCTATCATCAATGAAGACGTTCAAGTTTACCTGAGGAAACAAGGGTTCCCTTTGGAAGTTAGATCATTTTGGCTCAATTCAAGCTTTGTTTACAGATCCTTAACTCAGCGGATGGTGTGATCAAGAAAAGGTAGGAAAAGTTAAAACTAATATGTATTTAAATAACAATCACAAAGAAACAAAGATAACCCAGTCTTGAAATGCAGATATGTGGGAAAAAAATCATATTTTACAAAGATTCTGCTTTGAAATAAGTTTTGGCCAACAAATCTGTCATGTTCCTTTCCTGGACTAGTATTTTGACCACATTTCCATATAGAGGGTGACTCTTTTAAAATGCTGGAATCAGGTGGTCCTACTAACTTGCCTATGAAAAGCTGGATGCAGTTATTTTTTGGAGGAGGTTATTGTTAGTCTTTTGGCATCTACAAATCTCTATGGAGTCAGACCCTCGTTATAACAGGGCTCTCTATGTGTAAGCCTCCACACACATTTCAAAGAGAGACGTTTGTTCCCTCTGGCATGAGGAACAATTACCCAATTATCTATGCAGAATGATAGGTGTTTATGACAAATCGTAGGCTGGAGACATTTTAGAAATAATAATAACTTTGAATTTTTAGTACACTTTCCAGTTTTTATAAAGCACATGTACCTCTGTTAATTCTCAGGATGCTCAGAGCCGGCCAGCCAAGGGGACAGGGCTGGGCTTTGTGCCTCCATTTTAAGGCAGGCATCTGTTATCTAGAATTCAGCACGTCCCCTGTCGCTGCGTGTCCATCCAAATGCTGCACAAGGCCCAAGGAGATTTCCAGGGAACAGAGAGAGAACCTCCCCTTGCAGCCATTTTTGCTCTGTGTGCCAGGAAAACCCACAAGGGGACACCAGTGGAATCTGACAGTCCTCTGGGCTTTTGAGGTGTGTGTGTGTGTGTGTGTGTGTGTGTGTGTGTGTTTTGTTTTTTGTTTTTTGTTTTAAATGTACCTGTGGGTTTTATCGGCTGGATCGTGACTGGAGACAGTGCGGGAAAAAGGGAACACTGGGCATTAAAAATGACAAAGCACTTTCATTTGTGAGGGCCATCTGAGGAAGGTGGAAATGAACATATTTTTCTGAGGGAAAAGCAATTTCACAAGCCCTGCCTGCGTACAGATGAGCGGGACCACAAACCAGCTCAGAATGGCCACCGACATTCCCAGGGAAAGATAGATGATGGATGTTTTCTCATTAGGTGGCTGGGGACGGAATTTTATGCAAAATTCAAAGAAAGAAAAAAAAATCCCAGTTCCGCCCTTCTTCCTTTCATGAGGGCCTTCCTGTACCGGAGCCAGACAGACCTGGCCCTGGAAGTGACCCAGAATTACTCGGAGGTGACGGGGATGGCTTCCGGGGCAGGTAGAGAAGCCAAACACCAGCAGGCCTGGTGGCTGGGAAAGACAGTGTGCCCTCTGCGGAAGAACACAAGGTAATAAGTGGCTTTTGCAGCAATTAAACACAAGAGCAAAGGTGAACCGCCAGCTCCTCAGCGTTATCCCTTTTTTAAGGACAACAAAGATGACCAAGAGCCACCAACCCGGAAAAGCCTTGCCCCTAACCAGGGACACAGGCAAATGTCTGTTTGTTTGTTTGTTTTTTTCTATCAGTGAACTTTTCACTGCAGCTCCTTACGGGTTTCTTAGATCAGATGTTCGGGAGCAGCCGGGGGAGTCCCATTCCATCTTGCATTTGCTAAAATGCATTTGGAATCACATTATTATAGATTATGCAAGATTGGAAGACGGCGAAGATGAAAATGTAGCCCGGGATGCTTCTGAGGGAAGGAAGTCAGACTGACCCCCGTGGAGACCGAGCTGTGGACTCTTTGTTTGCCACAGATCTACTTGCCTGAGGGAATGGTTCAGCTCTTCCTTCCTTTTCATTCCCGTCTTGTGGGAAATGTGAAAACATGTAACAGGGAGAGAATATCCCCGCAAACTCCCGTCACACCAATAGCTCATGTACACACATACATGTGCACAAACAAAATGGGGCCACAGTTTTAGCATTTTGCTCAGACCTGCCACCTTGTTCATGCGGAAACTTGCTTATGAGAATGGGAAGTAAGGAAGGCAGGAACTTATATCTTCTCTGGTTAGCTGTGTGGCTTCAGGGCAATCACTTAACCTCTCTGGGCCTCAGTTTCCTCATCTGAAACAACAACAACAACAAAGCTTTGGGTGGGATAACCTTGGTGATTTTTTTTTTTTTTTTTACAGATTTGACATTCTCTGATTCACTAAATTCATCTCTAAAGAAAAGCCTCGCTCAGGATAGCTCGTGGGTTTTGTACATATGCGTGTGAGCACCTATGTCAGTACGTCTGTTACTGTGCATGCAGGCTTAGCTTTGCACAGGCAGTAATGCAATAACTCCATTTCATTCTTAAGCCCAGCCTCTGGGGGTGTACCCTCTGCTATCTAGACACACACACACACACACACACACACACCACACACCACACTCCACACACCACACACACACTCTTTCCACACACTTTTGATGGCCCTGTTATATCCAGACAGCTACATCTTCTGAAAATCATAATTAGGGTGATGCTGGAATGACACATCTCTCCAGTCCCCCAGCATGGAGACAAAACAGCACTCGATTCCTGTTGGAGGCAGTGGAGGTAACCACGGCCCACTCAAGCGTGCAGGGAGATTGGCTGCATGCTCCAGTGCACCGTAGCATGTCAATACTCCTGAATAAACTCATCAACCCATTTGCACCTTTGTGAAAACGCATCTTAGAGTCAATGAAATAGGTGTGGTAGAGAGAATACCAAGACTGAGTGGAGGAAAAAGAAGGATTATAAAAAACAAACTTGCTATCATGGGGTGCTGCGTGTCCCCAAGGTTGGAGAGATGTCTCGAATATCCAGGAAACCGGAGTCCCCTCTGCTTTCTTTCATGGGGCAAAGTATTTACCTCAGTGTTTCCACCCATGCCTCAGAGGAAAGGAACTCCCCAAGTTCCCATATCGTTTGTGACTATTGTTTAGTATAGAGAATATTCTACCTTTCTAAAAATTAATTCCACAAAAATCCAGATACTCAGGTTCCCATCCCTTCCCTTTAACATTTTTGTAGGGCTGCTTAAGATCCACTGCCAGCCGGGCACAGTGGCTCAGGCCTGTAATCTTAGCACTTTGGGAGGCCAAGACAACTGGATCACCTGAGGTCAGGAGTTCGAGACTGGCCTGGCCAACATGGCGAAACCCCGATTCTACTAAAAATACAAAAAAAAAAAAAAAATTAGCGGGGGGCATGGTGGTGCATGCCTGTAGTCCCAGCTACTTGGGAGGCTGAGACAGGAGAATTGCTTGAACCCAGGAGGCAGAGGTTGCACTGAGCTGAGATTGTGCCACTGCACTCCAGCCTGGGCAACTGAGTGAGACTCCATCTCAAAAAAACAAAACAAAACAAAAAAAACCACTGCCACTTATAAGTGTACTTGTGCTGGCAAGAGAGCAACAGTGGATGGAGGTCACAGTGTTATAGGAGTTCCCAGACAATGGGATCATGCCATCATCTACTACAAATGATGTGCTTATGGGTCGGCTTATGTAAGAAATGAGTCAGATGGCATCTGGGGATCCCATGCCATTTCTCTGATAAGTCTGGACACAAATTATGTGGGGACCAGTGGTGTGCTTACAGATAGGCTCTCAAAAATTTTTAGAGATCCTCCTATGGATAATTTGCTGGTTTCTGTGTTATAAATGCTCCACCCTGACTTCCACAATAATAGCTGTATTTAATAACTGGCTCACACAACTCCTGAAAATTTAACAAACAGCTATCATGAGCCAGTGCAGGCCGGCACCAGCACTCACAGAAATTCTCATGGTGCCAGTTGGAATTACCAACAGTGCGGGCTCTTCCCCACTTCCCTAGAAATGCTGATGTGTTGTTTATCCTAGACACTGGTGAGAAGATGCCTAAATGTCTGCTAGACACTTTTTCCCTGGTCTTCTCCTCTTTTTCTCCCATTTCCCTTTCCCTAAGAGGACACATCTAGGTCTGTGGCTTTAAATTCTGTTGATTTGCCGAAGACTCCTCAGTAATCTCTCCTGAACCCCCGACTCTCCATGTCAACCTCTAACAGGCATCTCAAGCTTAGCACTTTTAAAACAGACCTCTTGGCTGGGTGCAGTGGCTCACGCCTGTAATCCCAGCACTATGGGAGGCCTAGGTGGGTGGATCACCTGAGGGCAGGAGTTCAAGTCAAGCCTGGCCAGCGTGGTGAAACCCCATCTTTACTAAAAATATAAAAATTAGCCGGGCATGGTGGCCGACACCTGTAATCCCAGCTACTCAGGAGGCTGAGGCAGAAGGATCACTTGAACCTGGGAGGCAGAGGTTGCAGTGAGCCAAGATTGCGCCATTGCACTCCAGCCTGGGTGGCAGAGGGAGACTCCATCTCCAAAAGAAACAAAAGCGAAAACAAAACAGGCCTCTTGATGTCCCCCCCATTTCCAAGACCCCCCAAAGTCTTGCCCAGCTTAACAAATACCACCACTGCCCACCTGCTCAAGATAAGAACTGTTTTTCACCCTCCACTTCCAATCTGTCAGTCAGATCCATTGACTTTCTCTCCAAACGCATCCCTGAATCCAGCCCTTTCCCACATCCCCACTGCTAATAGCCTGGTCCAAGCCACCATCACTGCTCACTGAACCACTGCCATTCTGTCTTCGCTTTTCTCATTTCTATTCTTGATCCTTGCAGTCTGTTTTCTATGCCATCGCCAAAGGTGATCTTCAGTATGCAAATCAAATACTATCTCTTTCCTTCTCTCCCTCTCTCTCTACACACCCATGCCTATACCCACTTTAAAACACCCTAGTGGCTTCACATCACACTTAGAACTGCCTCCACTTACTCTTCCTCTGCCTCCTCTCAACCTCACCCAGTGACCCTCTGACCCCATCACTGCCTTCCAGTCATGCCACTCTTCTATTCCTCAGACACAAGTTAATTTCTGCCTTTGCATTTGTTTTGCTGTCTGCCTGAGCGCCCAGATCTTTGCATGGCTGATAATCCTTACTCTTCAGGTCTCATCATAAATGTCACCTCCTCAGAGAGGCCTCCCTGATTATCTTTGGTATTTACTGTCTGTCTAGATTATGAACTCCATGAGTGCATAGACTGCTATTAGACATCCATGTAAGTAACAAAGGCTATGACAAAGATGTCCCCAAATAGAGCAGCTGGATAAGCAAAGAAGTGAATTTCTTGCTCACAAGAGAGCCGCTTAGGTTTATTTCCTTATGCTGCTTCCACACTGCAGGGGGCATTGCCACCACCTACAGGATCAGTGTTAAGGTCTGGGCGGAGAAGTAGTTGGCGTCACTTAGGCTCATCTGTGCTGGTAAGAACTCATCCACATGGCCACACCTCACCACAAATGAGGTTAGGAAATGTAGGCCATCTGTGTACTCAGGAGGATACCCTGGTGCTTAGTGATATGGTTTGGCCCTGTGTCCCCACCCAACTCTCATCTTTAATTGTAACCCCTACATGTCGAGGGAGGGACCTGGTGGGAGGTGATTGGATCATGGTGGTGGTTTCCCCCATGCTGTTCTCTTGATAGTGAGGGAGTTCTCACAAGATCTGGTTGTTTGATAAGAGTCTGGCACACTTCCCCCTTCTGTCTCTCTCTCTCCTGCTGCCATATAAGATGTACTTGCTTCCCCTTTGCCTTCTGCCATGATTGTAAGTTTCCTTTCCAGCCTTGTAGAACTGTGAGTCAGTTAAATCTCTTTCCTTTATAAATTACCCAGTCTCAGGCAGTTCTTCATAGCAGTGTGAAAACAGACTAACACACTTAGTATGTGTTGAATGAATGAATGAAAAAAAATAAATGAGTCTTCTAGTTAACAATTAAACATGTCAATTCCCCTTTGAAAACTTTCATTAAAGCTGCAGAAGGAGGTTAGGAGGGTAAAATACAGCCTTCTCCAGTTTGAGCCTACATGGTATACTTGCACCGTGCAAGATATTCATAAATAAGCCAATCTTCAGTTATCATGGGTGTGACCTAATTCTCTGTCCTCTCCTCCGCATAAGCCTCTTCCCATCATACAAACTAGAAAGGAGTGGAGAAAGATGCCCGCCGGGAGGCTAACAGGGAATATTGTGTCTTTCCATTTTCTAACTCCCCATCTTCCATTTAGGTCCTTCAGCCACTTTCCCATAACTTCAACAGAATTGCTACATTCCTCTAAGGCCCTGGCCTATTTATTCCAGGTAGGGTGATGATTATGGAATAACAAAGGGAAAAGAAAACCCAAGAAGTGTATAGTAAGCATTGTTTTCTTCTAAACCTTGTTAAAAGTATAACTCTAAGATGTACATATAAGCATACTTAACAAAGTCCTGTGGGACAACTGGTGTGTGGGGAAACAAATTGGTAGATGTCTTATATATCTGCACTTAAGGTAAGTAATTAGGGTCTATTCGTGGGACTTGTATACCATCCCTGGGGAGTTTTACACATCAGGGCCCCTGTTCCAAGCACCTGTGGTGAGGTTCAAGTCTATAGGCCTTTTTAAAGTATTAGGCACATAATCACTTATGAAAGAAAAACAATTGGTGTCTTTTTATGTAGCCATATAGGGGCTTTAATAATTTCAGAAAAATAATCCATTTGCTAATAGTTAGGAGACAACAGCCTACTATGTGCCAGCTACAACTCTAGATGCTGTGGACAGGATAATGGGCAATTAGTTCAGAATTTCTTAAAGAAAAACAAGCAGAGCACGGTGCAGGGTGACCCTCTTGGCATGGGGGCCAGATGATTGGTTTTTGGGGGTGTTTTTGGAGACAGATCCTCACTTTGTCACCCAGGCTAGAGTGCAGTGGTGTGATCTCGGCTCACTGCAACCTCTGCCTCCCAGGTTCAAGTGATTCTCCTACCTCAGCCTCCTGAGTAGCTGGGACTACAGGCAAGCGCCTCCACACCTGGCTAATTTTTGTATTTTTAGTAGAGACAGGGTTTCTCCATGTTGGCCAGGCTCATCTCAAACTCCTGACAGAGGTGATCCACCTGCCTCGGCCTCCCAAAGTGCTGGGATTACAGGCATGAGCCACTGTGCTCAGCCCAGATGATCCTTTTTTGTGAGGGTGTCCTGTGCATTGTAGTATGTTTGGCATTATCCCTGACATCTCCCCTCTAGAGACTACCCTGGATTCCAGATGCACTCCTAGCCCCAGGCATGGCCACTGAAAATGTCTCCAGATATTGCCAAATGTTCTCTATGGGGCAAAACCACTCCTTATTGAAAACCACTGCTCTAGTGATAAAGAGCATGGTCTTTGGGATGACAGCTGGGTTCAAGTCCTGGCTTTACTAATGTGAACTTTCAATCCCAAGGCAAATGTCTTTACCCTTCTGGGCCTTGGTTTCCTTATCTGCCAAATGAGTTAATAAGAATGTCACATAATATGGTATATGTAAGATGCTTAGGTCAGTGTCTGGCACATAGAAGTACACTGAAAATGTTATCTAAGGGGTACAGAGTTCAATTTACTTTGGGACCATGTCAAAGCCTCAATTAATATAAAATCTAGGAAGTTATTTACCATACCAGTTTTTATAATTTCAGTAGGGTTTTCTGTACCATTACAAGCATATCTTTGTCCTTCTGTCTCTGTTCATGTAAAGTATTATTTCAAAATATTAAATAGGGCTGGGTGCAGTGGCTCACACCTGTAATCCCAGCACTTTGGGAGGCCGAGGCAGGCGGATCACTTGTGGCTAAGAGTTCAAATGCAGCCTGGTCAACATGATGATACCCCATCTCTACTGAAAATACAAAAAATTAGCTGGGCGTGGTAGGGGGCACCTGTAATCTTAGCTACTTGGGAGGATGAGGCACAAAAATCAGTTGAACCAGGAGGTGGAGGTTGCAGTGGGCCAAGATCGCACCACTGCACTCCAGCCTGGACAACAGAGCAAGACTCTGTCTCAAAAAGAAAAATATGTATATATATATCAAATATGTATCAGATATGAGACAGAGACTGTCTCAAAAAAAAAAAAAACAGAAAACAAAGATACACTTCTGGAAACGCTCTTAACCTGCCTTATTCGACGTTTTATCTGTTAGAAGGTTGAGACAGCCAACAGAGAAACTGCTAAATCTGGTCTTAATCCTAATAAATCAGAGGAACTGGTGGTGAAATCAATTGATGGGATCCATTTCGATAGGAATTTTATTTAGTTTTACTGTTATCAAAGTTACTTATATACACAGTTTTTAGATTCATACAGATATATGTATACATATATCACATATATGATATATATGATATATATACTTTATAATATATAATACATATTTTATATATATCTTATATATATCATATATTCATATATATCACATATATGATATACATGAGATATATATATATATAATAGGATATCTGTAGTGTTGGCATACAGGTAGAAAACCACTAAAGAATTAATGTTCTTAATTGAACACTTCAGTGTTTTCTAGCATTTTTCCTTTTGAAACAGTGCTTTTACCCACTGGATACTATGGTGACTCCCAAGAGAATGTGTTTTCCTGCAGGAACCATTGTCCTCTCGTTTTGGAGATTAGGTCCCAACTTTCATAGTTTATTCAATGTGATCAGAGCTAGGAAACAGCACACAGCATCAGAAGGAAGATTCACGTGAGAAGGAATGCATACGTCCAGTAGCAACTTGATTTTCTCGCCAGCGACTTTGAAGTTGTGAACAGCGCAAATACCTTTGTTATGTGCTCATCTCTGCTTCAAATCTGAGTTCATAATTTTGATCTCAAAGGAACTAGCATATGAACGACTGTCTAGATTGGGAGTACTGAATGTAACATTTGTATGGAGGAAAGGGGAGGACCAGGAACTGCAGTATCAGGAACGGTAAAATACTGTCAGTGATCATGGGGGATGTCATGGGCCCAGTCATCAGCCCATTGAGACTGACAAGAATGTACTGACAAGCAACATACTGATTTGACCAAAGAAATATTCAGCTTAAATTGGAAGGAAGGGCCGGGTACAATGGCTCCCATCTGTAATCCCAACATTTGGGGAGGCTGAGATGGAAGGATTGCTTGAGCCCAGCCAGCCATGCTGAGCTGTGAGCCAATGAAACTTCTTTCCTGGCCAGGCATGGTGGCTCATACCTGTAACCCCAGCACTTTGGGAAGCCAAGGTGGGCAGGTCACCTGAGGTCAGGCGTTCAAGACCAGCCTGGCCAATGTGGTGAAACCCCATCTCTACTAAAAATACAAAAATTAGCTGGGGGTCATGGCAGGTGCCTGTAATCCCAGCTACTCAGGAGGCTGAGGCGGGAGAATGACTTGAACCTGAGAAGTGGAGTTTGCATTGAGCAGAGATCAGGCCACTGCACTCCAGCCTGGGCAACAGAGTGAGACTGTCTCAAAAAACAAAAAAACAAAAAACAAAGATACACTTCTGGAAATGCTCTTGACCTGCCTTATTCGACGTTTCATCTGTTAGAAGGTTGAGACAGCCAACAGAGAAACTGCTAAATCTGGTCTTAATCCTAATAAATCCAGAGGAACTCGTGGTGAAATCAATTGATGGGGTCCATTTCAATAGGAATTTTATTTAGTTTTACTGTTATCAAAGTTACTTACATACACAGTTTTTAGATTTATATAGTCCTTCCAGCTTGTTGCAAAAATATATATAATTTCTCCCCCAAAATCCCCTATCTAGCTCCTACTCCCTTATGGATAAACTCTTTTAGTGCTTTAAACTGATTCCTTAGAACTTTACCTCCATATCTCTCAATAAAATGCTTTTGTTGCTATTTCTCTTTTTCACTCTTTTTTTTTTTTTTTTTTTTTTTTTGAGACAGGGTCTCATTCTGTCACCCAGGCTGGAGTACAGTGGTGTGATCTCAGCTTACTGCAGCCTCCACCTCCAGGGTTCAAGGGTCCCGTGCCTCAGCCTCCTGAGTAGCTGGGGCTATAGGCACACCCCACCACACCCAGCTGATTTTTGTGTTTTTGGGTAGAGATGGGGTTTTACCATGTTGGCCAGGCTGGTATTGAACTCCTGACCTCAAGTGAACCACCCACCTCAGCCTCCCAAAGTGCTGGGATTACAGCCATGAGCCACTGCGCCTGGCCTTGCTGCTGTTTCTTGATTTTTATTTCTAGGCATTATCTACTGACTTCCCACTGTGAAAAATGAGGGCCCAGCTCTCTTTTAAATTCCCCTTCAAAAAACCCTCATAAAATTCCCATCTTGCCAATATCGTGATATTGTCATTTTTATCAGATCAATATTTAGCCTAGCTGAGCCATGTAGTATATTCTGTTTACTCTTCTTTTCCCAAATGACTCTGTTTTCAGTGGTTCTGTTTTTGCTTTTCTTAGTCTTCTGTCATTGACATATACCTGAAGTCTTCCCCGGTTGTGTGCATCATCTCTCAATGTATCCAGATATATTGGGCATTCTACTAATTTTGTCTTCTTATGAAAGTTCTTCTAGAGCCTTCTGATCTGCCCCCCTTGGCACTGGTTGATCTCTAAGCCTGGAGCCCAGCTGTTGCTTCCAGATGTCCCTCCCTGTCCATCATCCTGTAGGTTCCTTTCTTCTCTTTGATATGTTAGAGTCTGTGTTCTGCATCCTATTTAATTTTGCCTCCACCTGGTAGTAGGTACTATTATGGGTTCCATTTTACAGATGAGCCAAACCAAGGCATGAGGAACTTAAGTAAAATTCCCTAAAGTCATAAGGTTTTGGCACAAGCAGCACAGCTAAGCCTCAAACTTAGAATCTAACACAAAGCCTAGACTTATTTTTTTTTTTTGAGACAGAGTTTTACTCTGTCAACCAGACTGGAGTGCAGTGGCATGACCTTGGCTCACTGCAACCTCTGCCTCCTGGGTTCAAGCAGTTCTGCCTGAGCCTCCTGAGTAGCTGGGATTACAGGTGTCCATCACCATGGCTGGCTAATTTTTAGTAGACACGGGGTTTCACCATGTTGGCCAGGCTAGTCTTGAACTCATCTGCATGCCTTGGCCTCCCAAAGTGCTGGAATTACAGGCATGAGCCACCGCGTCTGGCCAAAACCTAGGGTCTTAATGACTCACTGGACAGTCACTGCACAAGCTGGGCCTGTCCGCCCAAGGTGGCTAAGGGCCTTGTGCAGGCTGTGCCTCCCACGCTCAGGTCAGTCTATTGCCACAGTCCTCTCCTAAAGCACTTTTACAGGCCCTGACTCACTGTCCCTCATGGCAGTTTCTTATTTCTGGGATTAGCTGGTTTAAAAAAAAAAAAATAGCTTCTGGGCATGTGACACTATTCTCGGGCCTTTAATGTCAGAAATAATGATGGCGTTAAATTGGAGCTCATTACCACGGAATGAGACCTCATTGAGCCCTCTTTTGGGGGGGTTGTTTAATGATTTTTTTTAAAACCTCCTCAGTAACTCTGACATGGTACACCAGGGGGAGAAGTGGGTGTTTGGAGAAGCAAATTTTTAAATAATAAGAAAGATCTCCTTTCATTGATGAAAGAAAAGGGTCCATCCTCCATTGTTCCCACCAAATGCTGGCTGTTCCTTTGTTACGGTCTCATGGAAATTTCCTGAGCCCCTTAAGCCACTAATACCGATTGTATCCCCAGCAGCAACAACACATACTTAAGGCATTATTTTCAGTGCAGCTTTTCCCGTAATGAGTCTGACAATCCTGCTTTATGATTTGTTGAGTGGTTAATTCAAAATATACCATTCTCTAGAACCAGATTTCCGGTGGAATCCCCGCTAGGCCTCCAGCCACCGGTGCAAAGCTTGGCATATCCAGCTTCAGAGGGCATCTTGGGACCCGATGAGATGATGGGGCTACCCTGTGCCTGTGCCTGCTGCTCCAGAAAGACAGCAGCAAGCCTCTGCTCCTGCCCTCCAGAAGCTTCTAACACTTCACTGGTGAACTCTCAGCACCATGGTGACCAGGAATGAATGCTCATCTTGAGAAAGCACCTGATATCTTCACAGTACTCATGGCTTTCTAAGTTTAAGAGGGATATTAACCACCAAGAGATGCTACAGAGGTGGTGGGGCCTTGAGACCACACCACCTGAGGAACAGGTAGAGGGACGGGTTATTTTTTAACCTGGAGAAGCAAAATATAAAGGTGAGGCATGCCAGTTACCTCCAGATACTTGATGCTTTATTTTTTTATTTTTTATTTATTTTTTTGAGACAGAGTCTCGCTCTGTCACCCAGGCTGGAGTGCAGTGGTGCAATCTCGGCTTACTGCAACATCCGCCTCCCAAGTTCAAGTGATTCTCCTGCCTTAGCCTCCTGAGTAGCCAGGACTACAGGCGTGCGCCACCACACCTGGCTAATTTTTGTATTTTCAGTAGAGATGAGGTTTCACTGTGTTGGCCAGGCTGGTCTCGAACTCCTGACCTCAAGTGATCCACCCGCCTCTGCCTCCCAAAGCGTTGGGATTACAGGCACTAGCTGCCATGCCTGGCCGATTTTTCAAAAAGGATCGTCCCCCTTTTCCTGACTGGCCCCAAAGGGCAGAATGGGAACCAGTGGGTGGAAATGATAGGAAATCAGATTTTCACTGCGGATAAAAAAGAACTTTCCAATAGAGCTGTTGGGAAACATCACAGCTTCCCTGTGAGCAGCTGTGTGTTGCCTTTTACTGGAACCATCAAGAGAGATGAGACGTCCACAGGTATCCTAGAAGAGAATCACGTACTAGGCCATAAGTAGGACTAACAATCTAAAATACGCCTTCTAATTACATGGCTCCATGACTCTAAGAGGTACAGGTTTATGAATCACTTTTAAGATAAGAGAAAGACCTTTTGACAATTTTTAAGGAATAGATTTTCTAGATATAAGATGCTGCTTTAGACTAGAGGGCAGCAAACATTTTCTTAATGTGCCAGTGAGCAAATATTTCAGACCACATGGTCTTTTTTTGTGGCTACTCCACCCCGTTCTAGTGCAAAAGCAGCCAGACGATACACAAACGAATCAGCAGGTCTGTGTTCCAGCAAAACTTTATTTACAAAGCAGGCAGTGGCTGGATTTAGTTTATGAGTGATAGTGTGCCACTGCCTGCTTTGGAGGATGCTGGGTGCTGGGAAGCACAACAGGGACTCGAGGGGGAAAGGCTATGCTAACACCGCACGTATGTGTGAGTGTCACACTGATATACAATATACATATGCGCGTCTTTGCACATAGGGACGTGTATTTGTGTGAGTGTGGTTTGGAGAGTGGTGAGGAGGGAAAGAAACAGAGCACTGGACGCCTGCAGAGAAACAAAACCTCTAAGACGCCGTGGCCATAGTCTGTGCGGGCCAGCTTTCTGTCGTCGTGATGTAAAGACGCCAGCCCCAGAGGTACCCCAAGGGGAGTTGTTCACAGTGTCTGAAATTCTGACTGCTTCACTCTTTTTGCTTTGGGCATCTGCCTTGGGAAGGAAAAGATCGAACTAAATGTAACCATGTCCTGAAGGAGGGAAAACAGTTACTCAGATTGGTGCATCGGATTGGCTGGTTGTCACAGAGGCCTTCTAATAGGGAAGTTGGGCCAGATTGGTGTCTGATGCAACCAGGAACATCAGGAAGTCTTCGACTCTCAGGAGGAAAGGAGCTAGCAGGGGGAGGTTGGGGAGGGCAGAAACTTGCCTGCCTGCCTGGCAGGTTGGCTTAGGGATAGCCCTCCATGGAGCCTCCAATCCCCTGGCAACTTACCCGTGGTGGTGAGGGGGTCATTTTAAACAGGATATTTCAAAAGCGGCTAGTGCAGGGACTAGGATATTTTTGGTTACTTGAGCTGGCATGGTTATATAGTTTCAAGGTGGCTAAAATACTGTAAATTCTAAGTTTCTTGGGGTCAACGTACTTTCTTGGAACCTTGGATTTTCCCAGATCATTACCCTTTGGTGCTGTCTGACCACTTTCTTTGTCAATTGTCCATTCCTTCTAAATGCCTCCCTTTTCTTCACCCTGACTTTAAAAACCTGCTACCCTAGGAATACTCCACACAGGCCTGGATACACATAGACACTTCCTCAAGCATCCAAGAAGACCTGTGGCAGCCATTTGCTGCTGCTTCCTGTTTCCATGGTGGCCATTTTGTCACATCCAAGGAGAGGGCAAGAATAGCCTGCCGCATTGCTTCTCAAGTGCACTGTGTGGCACTGATTTTTTCCAATCATCTCTAAATAGAGGTTTCTCTCCCCCTCCTCCCAGCTCAGCATCCGAGGGCACAATGAGCGTGCCCTGCATTTGAAATCTGACATCTCCCTCTCTCACTCATTCTCTCCATCTTCAGCTTGGCAGAGCGTTTAAAAATTGGTATCCCTTTAACTAGGCGAGCTATTCTTCTGCTGGGAGATGACCTTTTACACAGAAGATAGGACTGTCATACATGATCTCTGACATATGGAAGTTTCCTGGGTGTTCCAACAAGGAACAGTAAGTACCACACCAAAAGCAGTGGGTGTTTATGTGCGACTTGTGTATAAAGATATATTATATTACTATACATGGTTCTAAATAAATTATTACCAGTTCTTAAAAGTACTGCCAGCCCTCTTGAGGCACATCTGTTCAATTTTTTGTTTTAATTGAAAAGAAAAATTTTCTCAGATTTAAAGACTCTTGGGGAAAAAGATGGGGGGAAGATTATTGAAAAGAGGCTATTTTTCCGTGGGTTTTACAGAAATTAATTGTAGTCTCAAAGTTATGAAAATAACCTTTAAAACAAAAAACAAAAAAACAAAAAAACCCTGCCACAGACTTGGGGAGTGAACCACTGAATGGCTTTTTCTTCTCCAAGATATGTTATCCTGAAGTCTTCAACATGACCCCTTGTTTCTTATAAGAAGCCTAATGTCTGATTTTCCCTCAAGCAGAACATTATTTGTTATTTTTTTTGCAAAATGTTAATCTATCTTGTCATGAAGTTGTGGGATTCACAAAGCAGAATGAAATGTGAAATTTCCACAATGGGAGATGAGAAGGATCTGCTCACCTGCCACAAATCCACTGGGTGCTGCTCTCAGCGTTCGCGAACCTGAACTTCAGAAGCTTGTCAGTTGCTCAAATAATGCAGGGACCATGGGTTTTTAGTGTAGCGTGGAAGCAGCACTCACACAGTCTCATACAATATGCTGTGAGAGAGAATGGACTGTGCCAGGGATGTACTGAGTCCTTGCAGTTCTCTCTAGTTTGTCAGTTAAGCAAGATGGCTGCTCTTGGAATGGAAGAACTACTCTCTTTGCTGTTGTTGGTCGCTTTCTCAAAACTACTGGAAAAATGGATCCTGAGAGAATTCCTAGGTTATGCGAGGGAGATCACTAACAGATTTACTCACTGGATGATGCCACCCCTGACAAAATAGAAGGAAATCCGATGTGGCAGGAGGCGTATGTAATCCCACCCTAAGCCAGTTCCAGGTAGCCCATCAGAATTCAGTGATGACAGCCTGATTGTCACTCAGCAACTCCTCCAATCTCTAGAATCTTTTTTTTTTTTGCTTCCACATATATGGCCTGAGTTTCTGATTCTCAGGGTCATTGCCTAAGGACTGTGTAGGGCTCTTGAACCCCTTCTTTAAGTAGCCACCTGTCAGATATAAACCTAGCAATAGGTCTGTCGCTGAGGCTGAAATTCTGACTTTACAGTTCCTAATGTTGGGTTAAGAAAGGAATTGCTCCCTATGAAAATGCAAACACCTCCAGGAGGCTAAAACAATATTAATGTTATGTCCGTAATATTATTTTTATGGTTTGATAATAGTCTTACACGTAACCACTATATGCCTTATCTCATCTCCCTATGATAACTCAGCAAAGCATATATTTAAAAAAATAAGCAAACGGGGATTCAGAGCATTTAAGTTGCTTATTCATATATGCACATCTAGTAAGGGGTGAACCTGGAATTCAAATCCAGATCTATCTGGTTAAAAAACTGGTGAACCTGAGTCCTGTGGGTTTTTTAATAAGGTCCTTTCCTATCTGCTTACTAGTTGAAAGTTGTTTTGGTAAGAGAGTTAAACAGAGAGAGAAAGAGAGAGAGAGAGACAGAGACGGTGGGAGAGAAACAGAGAGAGAAAGAGAGCGAGAGTGAGCATTGGTTACTTTAGGGTCAAGAAGATGCTAAGAGAACATGGAATGGTGCTAAAGAAAACATTACCTGGTATAGTTTCGCCTGAGATGACCTACCCTTCGGTAGTTTCTTTAGTGCTTCTTTGTGTTAGACCAAACCGCATCATTTTGTAACCCCCCACCCCCCACCATTTCACACATCTTGGTCAAGTGAAACATTCCACTGGGGTTCGGGGCATGAGACACATCCTGCCCAGCCACCTGACCACAAGGCACAGGAACATCCTTATCATACCCTGCTGGGAGAAAGTGCAAGGAACATCACCTTCCGTGGGAACAAAGGCCAAACTGCCTCATCATGGCAATGTCTTAGCAATATCATCCCAGGCAGCAAGCCATCCTGCCCAGGCCCCTCCTGCCCATACCTGTGAGTACCCCAGCCTGTAAGCAGTGGGGGGCACTGGCATTAGGCTGGTCCTCCACCTCTGGAGGTCTTATGCTGGACATAAAGCCTGCATTTGCTGTATAGCTGCCACTTCCTCTCTGTGTGTGTCTTTCTTTAACCCTCACCTTCCCTTCAAAACCTAACACGTTGCTCAGTTGACTCGTAGCAGGATTCCTGAACCCTTTCCCAGGATCCTTTTTCTTGAAACTGCGGGACTGTTTTGACATGAGCTGGTTGCAGTTGGAGAGATTGGAGCTGCCAGGGCCTATAAGTGATAGCAGCCTTGGTGATGGTCAAGGCAGCAAGTGCCTCAGCTCCAAGACAGGCAGCCGTTTATTCATGCTCCTCCTGCAGATGTGCCAAAATGTGTCCAAACATGCAGGAGTGTTCATGGCCCTAATTGCTCAGCCACAGTCAGACGGAAAGTTTTAGTAATTTTTCCTATCTGAATTTTTTTTTCAATTGCAAAGCACAAAAATTGGAACTCTAAATGGCAGAAGCAAAAAGGGATGTGTGGGCTCATATAACTGAAAAACCCATGGGAACATCCTGTGGCTAGGGGTAGCATTTGATCAGGAGCCTAAACAAAGTCACCAAGTTTCTTCTCCTTTGTGTTGCTTGGAACTGTCCCCTCCATGCTTGTTCTTTTCCTTCTTAGTGTGCCTTCTTAGCGTCATGAAATGCGTACAGCAGCTCAGATTCTATGTTGTCTCACTACAGATGCTCTAGGAAAGAGAGAACATTGTTTTCACAGAAGTCCCCGCAAAAGTCCCATGGGAACCCAGTGGGTCAGGTGTTCACCCCTGAACCAATCAGGGTAACGTAGGAGGGATGCAAGATGCTGATTGGGCTGAGCCTGGAGTCAGCCCTGCCCAAAGCACATTAATGGAAATGGGAAGAGAGAAATATTTCAAAATTGCTGCCTTCGGGTGAGGAATGAATGGATGCTGGAAGTCAAAAGGCAATGAATGTCCACTGAGCTGTCTGTCTAGATTTGTGGCTGTTGATGAACTAAACAGGAATGTTCCAGTCTCTTCCTTGGTGTATGCTGTGTATGCTGCTAGGCTCCTATCAGTAAGTGAGGCCTATGAGGTGAGAAACAGGGATGTCCAAGACTTTCTTTGATTACAGCTGACTCAAGTTATGTGATACTGCAGGGCCAAGTTCATGCTGTGTACAGGATTGGTACTTAATGTTTAATGGTTCATCATACTTTTGTTTGTTTTGGAAAAAGAGAGTGCCTAAAACCTTGCTTCGCAAAGGGTGTCTCCAAGACTAACTGCATCAACTTCAAGTGAAAGCTGCTCAGAAACATGAAATCCTTGACCTCACCTCAGACCTGCTAAATCCAGGACGTTGCCTAGAGCAAGAGTCTGCAAATTCTTCTGTGAAGAGCCAAATAATAAATATTTCAGGCTTTGCAGCCCATATGATCTCGTTGTAACTACTCAAGCTGGCCTACTGTTAACAGCTCAAAAACAGCCCATAGACTATATGTAAACACAGGGGTGTGGCAGTGTTCCAATAAATCTTTATTTATAAAAACAGGGTGCAGGCCAGATTTGGTCCTTGGGCTGCAGTTTGCCAATTCCTGGCCAAGAGCATCTGACATCATGGCAGGAATTGAATTCACATGGTTGTTGCCTCTGTTTGGGGGTCTACATATCCAGATGGATTATTAGAACGTGATTCCAAAATAATCTGCTCATTCATTCATTTCTTTCTTTGAAGTGTGTTCGTGGAGCACTCGCCATTTGGGAGGCCTTTAAAATGATTGCAGGATCCTGAATTTCCTGAGTGTCTACCACATGGCAGATACTCTTTGGAAGGCATGCATTCTTCTGGGTGTGCAGAAATGTGTGTTTGTGCAGAGCACGAGGCACCGCTGTTTTGTTAAAGACCAGCATCGTTGGCAAGCAGGGTCCATTGTGCCCATCTCCCTGGGAAACCAGACACAGGCTCAGTCATGGAGAATAGAGCATCCTCAATTTGGCCGGATGCAGCTGTGAGGGGCAGAGTTGGAGGGGAGCTAACACTGCCCACCCCCCACCCCTCCAGTTCCTTCGGATCCACTTTCTTGTGCTTGCTCCACAAGGGATTTCGGGAAACAGAGAGGCCTCCACAAAGATGAGCCGCAAGAGCTCTGTTGCTGGATGCGGGGTCCCTCTGCGGTGATGCTATTCTCTTCCCTTTGCAGAAAATGTCAGCTCCGCTGCCTCTCCCCGGCAGCTCTCGTCTGTGTGCGTTCTTTCATTTTTCTCCAGAGATCCCTCCTGTCCAGGATGTTTTTTATTTTACATTTGAAAAAGCGGAGGCTCTGCACGGAGCCTGAGTTACCAGCTCCAGGCCCAGTGCCGCTCTACAGCCTCGGCTTTTTGCCTCGGGCTTCCTAAACCTTGCAGAGGGAGGGAGGGACATTTCTTTGTGCTGCCTGTCACTCCAGCTGCTGTTCCTGCTGCTGGATGGGTGGCCAGAGTTTCCAAACCCACTTCCTAGCTGAGGAGAAGCAAGTCGTTACTTCGTTTTGACCACTGATCACTTGAAAACTGTTGGCTTCACGTGCAGACAAATGACTTGCAGTTAAGTCATTGGGTCCCCAAGCCTTAAGAGAAGAGATTATTCAGTGCAACCCCCTCCTCCCCATGTGGGGATGTGGAGAGCGGCCAAGCATGTGCTCTGTCATCTCCTGTGTTAGTTTAGGATCCCCCTTCCTTCTCAGTTTCATCCCCTGTCTCCTGTGTCCTGCCTCATTTAACTAAGAATTCACCGGTTCCTTCAGACTGCAACAGGTCTTCTTGCCTCCCCTTTCCATAATCAGAGCCAAGAGGGGCAACAGCACTGAGGTGTGGATAAGTATGGCAGGATTTCTCAGGGGTAGCCCTCATCCCAGCTCTTGGGTTTCATCAACCAGAGACACACATTTGTTTCTATTGAAAGTTGAAAAGAGTCTTACCACGTTCTGAACCTCACATACCCTCAAGGAAAGGATCAAGGAGTCAGCTCAAGGACACTTGGCCTAGATTCCATAGCGGGGTATGGCACAGATGTTTTCATCAAAAATCAGCCTACATTTATTGAACATCTATTAAGCCTTCTCTTGGGGCAAGTGGGGTAGTCTGCAAAAACATTCCAGCCAGCCTCCCTGGTTTCCTGATTACCTCCTGCCCCCCCACAATCCATTCCCCACACAGCAGCCTGAGTGGGCTTTTTAAAACATAAATCATATTATTCTCTTGCTGGAAACCTCCAAGGGCTCCAATCGCACTTAAACTAAAATCCATACCCTTTGTTCATTTTTCTGTTGGGTTGTTTGTCTTTTTCTTGCCAATTGGTAAGAGCCTTTTGTAGATTAGAGATATAAGTCATCTGTACTGCAAACATTCTTCTCAAATCTGTTATCTTCAGACTTTGTGTATAACATCTTCGTCGTATAAAAGTTTTACATTTTTATAAACTCAAATAGGTCCAGCTTTTCTTTTATGGCTTCTGAATTTTCTGACTTATGATGGATACCCTTCGTAATATAATCATACCTTATTGCACCTGGATTTTTCTTCTAAGAGGTTTATGTTTTACATTTAAGTCCTTGCTCCATCTGGAATTTATTTCTGTATTTGGTCAGAAATGGGGGACTACTTTATTTTCCTCTAATCCAGAGGTTGACAAACTATGGCCCACAGGCCAGCTGCCTGTGTTTGTAAATAAAGTTTTATTGGAACACAGCCATGCCCACTCATTTATGTATTGTCTAGCTCTGCTCTCACACCATAATGGCAGAGTTGTGTACTAGCAGCAGAGACCATAATATTTTAGACCAAAGTCTAAACAAGCTTGTCCAACCCGCAGTCCACAGGTTGCATGCAGCCCGGGATGGCTTTGAATGCGGCCTGTCACAAATTTGTAGACTTTCTTTAACCATTTTGAGATTTATGCATAGACTTTTATTTTTTATTTATTTACTTATTTTTAGCACATCAACTATTGTTATTGTTAGTATATGTTTTGTGTGGCCCAAGACAATTCTTCTTCTTGCAATGTGGCCCAGGGAAGCCAAAAGATTGGATATTCCTGGTCTAAAATATTTACTATCTGGCTCCTTATAGAAAAAGCTTGCCAATCTCTGCTCTAGATGACTAGCCATTGGTGCCAGCCCATTTTTTAAAAATAAATCACTTTCTGCCCTGTGAAATGAAATTCTGTCTTTGTAATAGATGAAATTCCAATGTATCCTAAGATCTTTCCCAGGATTTTTCCATTCTTTTCCACTCATCTCTTTGTCTCTCTCTCTCTCTGCCCAAACCACTTAGATTTGATTACTATGGCTTTATATACAGCTAGTCATATCCCTCATCACAATTTTTATTTTTCATGCTTTTCATAGCTATTCATGAAATTACCCTACCAAAAGAATCTAAGATATTTTTAACCGTTTCCAAAAATAATGAAAATGTTACTGGAATTCTGATTAGAATATCATTAAATTTATATATGTTTTCTGGGAAGAAAAGCTATTTTACAATATTAAGTCTTTCTATCTGAGAAGATATCTATTTGTTTAGTTCTTGTTTGGGGGGTCTTTCAATAAGATTTTATAGTTTATTCATATAGGTCTGCATCAGTCAGGGTCTGGAGAGAGAAACCACACCAGTAATTTAAACAGGGAAAATTTATGTAAGATTTTTAACTAGTAAAATAGTGGTTAACTACTAAAAGAGTTAAAAGAAGACTCTAAGGAAGATAGGAATAGTAAATGCGAGAAGCAGCTACTGTATCTAGGACTGAAAGAGAGCAAGCAAAGATAGAACAGAGAACCTAGGGTTGAAATTCAGACCTCACTGGTGAGGATAGAGTGACCCCAGGAATATATAACTCTGGGTCCAAGTTCCTCTTGTAGAGATGGGGTCTCACTGTGTTTCCCAGGCTGGTCTCAAACTCCTGGGCTCAAATCAGCCTCCCACCTTGGCCTCCCAAACAGTTGGGGATTACAGGTGTGAGTCCCTGCACCTGGCCACTCAAGTTCCTCTTACATTAAATTTCTCTCTAAGTATTTTTAAAGTTTTTTAAACTTCTTAATCTCTTGTCATTTTTTCCCATTCTCGTTTCTGGGTGCTTAATGCTAGTAGAGAGTGAAGCAATTGATTTTTGTGTATTCATCTTTACTATCTTTACTAAGTTGTCTAATTTATTTGACTAGTGTTTCATTAGAGTCTCTTGGGCTTTCTAGGTATTCAGATATATCAACACAAAAGTGATAATTTTATCTACTTTTCTCAATATTGATGACAGTGACTTCATTTTCTTGTGTCAGTGCGTTTCACTAGTTCTGCAGATAACATAACCATAGCAAGTTACCTATTCTACTGAGCTCTTTAAAAAATCTTGGATTCCCTCTGTTCTTATTTTTTGTCTTGTAAATATGTCTAATTCTGAGAGATGTCTATGGATACCTCCAACTCTTATTTTCATTAAAATCTTGTATTTTAAGCTCTTTTTTCCCTTATATACTTAACTGTTGTGTTGTGTGGTGCATAGAGGTTTATGGATATTATATGTCCTTTATCAGCTGTGCTTTTTAACATTATATAATGTCATTCTCCATTCTGTTTTATACCTTCAACCTTAAATTTCATTTTTTTCTGATGTCCACATTGCTACTTTTGCTTTCTCTTGTGCTTGGTTATGCTTCATCTGTACTTTACGTTTTCACCCTCCTTTGCCAGTTTTCATTGTAGAATCAATTAATGTAGCTATATTCTAGAGTTCCTCCAGGAGTTTCACAGTTACTGTGCTTTTAGTCTCCAAAATTTCTGGTGGTTGTTTCCAGTGACTCTCAGTAGGCCTGGATGCTGCCTTCGGTCAGAAGTAAGCATTGCACAGACACTCTGCAATTTCCATCCTAATTTACCCCTGAGTTGGCACAGGAATTATTAGTGCCCTGCAGAGTAGGATAAGTGCTTTAGCAGTGGACCCCAAATAAGACTCCACCCTTTGTCCCTTATTACCTTGGACATGCCTGACTTTATTTTTTTGCTCATGTTGACCCAACCTCTTGCTTCATGCCAAGACAGAAAAGACCAGCAGGGTCCTCTTCCTTTCTGCTTACATTGATAGCTTCCATGCATTGAGTTCTGGCTCTGTGGAGATAACTTTGCATACTCTATACACATTGTCTTACTTCATTCTCACAAGAATCCTGGGGAATATATTACTGTCTCTGCTATGTGGGTGAAGAGAGTTAGGTAGCCTGCCTATGGAGATACAGCCTGTAAGTAGCAGAGGTGGAACTTGGCTTTTATTCCATTTTATATTGTATGCTGCTTTTCCCTTGTCCAGAGTCTGCCAGCCCACAATACAGCACTGAGATTGGGGCTTGTGGGGTGATAGATTGGGGCCTGTGCTGAGATTGGGGCTTGGGGGTCAATAGAAGTAAAAAGCCAAGGCATTCCAGAATGACCCAATAATGGCTGCTTACCAACTTCAGCAGACTTCACTATAACCTCTACTTGCCCTTAACACCTTTACTCCTCCATGACTAAGAAATCAGGTATTATCGTTAAACATCTGAAAATTCAGTAAAAACATCCTAAAAAATATTTGGGATTATGCAGATACAAGGGTATAGAAATCTCATCTCCCCCTCCTCAACATGCCATTGACAGATCCTCCTTCGTGGGATCGTCAGAATCATCCACACACTGAGTTCTTGGGACTGTACGAAACACTAGCATAAAAGAACCTCAAGGTGTACTGTCTTCTTCCTTGAGAGTTTTACACTTCAGTTAGAACAAGTGCCCCCAAAAGGACAATCTTAAAAAGGTAGATGGCATGAAGCATGGGAAGGTACTACAGTAAGTATCTCGGAAGGTCAGAGGTGATATTCTCCCAGGGAAAGATTTAAGGGGATAATGCACTTGAGCTTGGCATAAAGGGAGATAAGAAACTGAGCAAGTGAAAAGAAAATTCTGAGATGAGAGCAATGAGAGCCAAAGCATGGGGGGAGGAATATGTCACATGGAGAAGGAACAGAGAGCAGACCAAGTTGGTCAAGGACGAGGGTTATGGTGGAAGAGAATACTGAGGTTAGTTTGGTGCAGATCAACCTCTGGTTAAAGACTTTGGCCCTTATCTTGCGGGAAGCAAGAAGCATGTCTTTTATCTTAAATTTATCTGTACGTATTTTTATAGTTTTTTTAACCTTTAGCATTTAACCTTTAGAATTTCTTAGAACAGCGAAACCAGGTACACAAGAGTTACTTAGAGATAGTAATTTCACAGTGTCATACCTGGTGGATTGGAGTGGTGTGAGAAAGAGCAGTTTAGTAACCATATAAGAACAAAAACAAATATTTTACAAAAGAAAAACCTTAAAGGGCCAATCATTTGGTGGGGATGAATGATTAGCTTTATGTGTTATCAAGTAAATGCAAATTAAAACAACTATGTTACCCTTCCTTACTCCTGAAATGCAAAAAGATTTTAAAGTAATGATATTCCAAGTTGTCAGAGGAAGCACGTTGACTCTTTCATAGGCTGTTAGTGGGAGTAGCAGGCCTTTCAGGAAAGAAATGTGGACCATGCTTTCCCAAAATATCTGAGCTCTTTGACCTATTAGCTCCATCTGATGAGTTAATCCTAACTAAGGACATAAGTATGTGTATAAGATTTTTTTTTTTTTTTTTTTTTTTTTTTTTTTTTTTTTTTGAGACAGAGTCTCTCTGTCACCCAGGCTGGAGTGCAGTGGTGCAATCTTGGCTCACTGCAAGCTCCGCCTCCCGGGTTCACGCCATTCTCCTGCCCCAGCCTCCTGAGTAGCTGGGACTACAGGCGCTCGGCACCACGCCCGGCTCATTTTTTGTATTTTTAGTAGAGATGGAGTTTCACCGTGTTAGCCAGGATGATCTCAATCTCCTGACCTCGTGATCTGCCCGCCTCAGCCTCCCAAAGTGCTGGGATTACAGGCGTGAGCCACCGCGCCTGGCCTGTATAAGATATTTAAATACAAAAATCTCCATTGCAGCATTGTTTATAATAGGAAAAAAAAAACACAAAGGAGTCACTTAAATGTTAAGGGATGGGGATTGGTTAAATAAATGGTGGTACCATGATGGTATGTTCATACGGCTGAGTACCAAGTAGCTACTGAAAGTGATGTCTGTGAATGGCAGCTGAGATGGAAAGATGTGCAGAGACAGTGGTGCTCATCTTTACACATTGATTTCCAATACCACCTCTGTCATGAAGCAAGCATCTAAATGTGCAAGGGTCTGTTTCTGTGCTCTTAGTTCTGTTCCATTGATCTAGTTGTCCATCTCTGTGCTGATACTGTCTTAATCACTGTGGCTTTATGGTAAGTCTTAATACCTGGTAGGTCTGAGTCCTCCTTGATGGTCACATGTGGGGGACAGAGTGAAAGCAGGGAGACCACTGGGGACACTGTTGCAGCAATCAAAAGTAGCCGTGGGCCAGGCATGGTGTCTCACGCCTGTAATCCCAGCACTTTGGGAGGCCGAGGTGGGTGGATCACTTGAGGTCAGGAGTTCAAGACCAGCCTGGCCAATATGGTGAAACCGTGTCTCTACTAAAAATACAAAAATTAGCTAGGCATGGTGGCACGTGCCTATAATCCCAGCTACTGGGGAGGCTGAGGCAGGAGAATCACTTGAAGATGAGGGGTGGAGGTTCCAGTGAGCCAAGATGGTGCCATTGCAGTCCAGACTGGGCAACAGAGTGACTCTGTCTCTCAAAAAAAAAAAAAAAGCAGTCATGATAGTGAAAATGTTTCTGAAAAAATTGGAGTTACTGTTTTGCAAAGCCCAGGATATTAAAGGGCAATAATTAGAAGGTCTTACCATAATATATTGGCAGCTTAGTAAAATGTCTTAGATCATGGAGCAACTCTCTGACCAGTTTTATAATTATCAAGACAGAGAAATCAGTTACTCAGCAGGACATTGAATGTAAGGTGGGTCATCTACTATGTCGTCCATTGACACAGAAGATGCACATCCTCCTCCTCACGACTGCCACATTCCATCCGCCTCTCAACCACGCCTCCTGGAAAGTGTAAATCTTCCCGTACGGTTGTTGCCATTATAAACACCATGAATTAAGATTTCAACATTGACTCCAGCCAATGATGCAAAAAGCACGACATGGCTGCTCACACAACAAACATGAAAAAGTCCCAGATGGCTGTGCCTTTTTAGAAGAACTAATAAATGATTTCAGGGGATTTCCTTCCTTTCATGAAAATGAAATGAATTAAAGTTCAGCAAGTAGGTGGTAGAAGCCTTGCTGACATGGCTGAAAAATTCTACGGACGAGCTGAGTGAAGGTCAGAGAGAGAAAATGGTCCAGAACCTAAAAGAATTTTGCAAGCATTTTCTACAATGTTAAAGAATTGTAACAAGTCGGTAATGACCTTCTTAAATTTGAACTGTTCTAGGATTTAAAACTGTACTTCAGCAATTATGATCCAGCAACAGTTTAGAAAACTTCATTCTATAATATATAAAACTGCTGATTCTATAACAAAAAAATTATATAAAATCTAACATAAAAAGGCAGCTGTCTGTATTGTTAAAAAGAAACCAAAAGAGTAAGCTATAACTTATCTTAAAGTTACCTGTAGTGGAAAGGAGGAGGAACAGGATAGCCATGATGGCAAGGAGATAGACTTCTCTGAATATACCTTCTTTTGTACATCTGACTTCAGACATATGTAAATATTTACAGAGGTATAAACCAAAAGTAAAATTTAGAAAGCTATCCTTCAAATCAAAATCAACATGAAATAAATGAACCCAACGGTGTATCCAGTGGATGGCATGATCACAGAGAAGGATCCATCTAAATTATTTTAAAGCATAGTAATTTGATGTACATCCTTAAGGACAAAAAGACCTATAAAAAAATAGTAAGCTGTTTTCAGTAATGATATCGCTGATGGTTGGATTTCTGTTTTCCTGGGACTATTGGGTGTCTAGTGTGGGATAAAGCAAATAAGTATTTAGATTATTATCATGGATAATTGAGATTTTTTAGCATGGAGAAAAGGAGATACAGCTGAAGGATCAATAAAGTTAAATAAAAACTTGTAACTGAATTTGAATGGGAAGTATCAGTATAAACTTATAATGTATTTTATCTTAAATATCTCTAAATGCCTATATAGTTATATCATGTTATATATTATATGGAGTGTGTGTGTGTCTACAATTTTTGCTGTGTTCACTGAAAAGGCTTGGAAAGGGTGACTAACCCATTAACAGTGACCAACCCTAACATCCAAATTATGGCTTCTAAATACTGCTTCTCACTAAAAGGACCCAGGGCTTTTTGGAGAAATGGCTAGTTTCAAATCTCAGGAAGGAAACATACAAGATGAGGCCAGAACATTTTGTCACATCAAAAAGGAAGGATGCATGAGTCAACTTGAAGTGCCATCAGCCAAAGACGACACAAAATGATTATCAAAAATAACTACCATGAATTTCAATCGATTGAAATGCACAGATCAAATATGTTTAAATCCGTGAGTTTATAATGATTCAAAATGAATGAAGGAAAACCAAAACCTCAAGGTAACCAAATGGGGGGAAAATTCATGCAATAGAAGTATTCCAGCTTTATTAAAAAGGAGGAAGAAGAGAAGGAGAAGGAGGAAGAAGAGAAAGAATGTTAGAATTAAGATGCCCATTTTGTGAACCTTAAAGAATTAACGGATGTAAGCAATTATTATAAATAACTATTCACATCAAGAAAAGAGATCAAAGCAGGCAATGAAATCCCTTGATAGAAATCCATACCACCACCTATGACACAGTCTTGCCAAAGAAGTTAACCCTGTCAAGCCATTGGATCTAATCACCAATTTACCAGAGAGAAAGGAGACAGCAGAACATGTAAACACCACCATAAGAATGCAATCTGCAAAATCAGACTGTGTGAAACTCTATAGCACTAACGACCCAGTTTCTTCAACAACAATTTTTTTAAAAACCCAGGACAAAAAGAGATTGAAAGTTCACCACATTGATTAAAGAGACTTAAAAAGACCTATCGACCATTGCAATGTAAGGACATTATTGGATCCTAATTCAGGCTTCAAAAATAAAATGTATAGGACAATCAGAGAAATTTGAATATTGCCTGGATGTTCGATGACATTAAGGAAATCTTTTTAGGTGTGATCATGGTATGATAGTTATGTTTTTAAACTGTATCATTGTTTTAGAGATGCATGCTGAAATAGTTACAGATGAAATGGTAAGTCTGAGATTTGTTTCAAAATAATAAAGTGAAGGAGAGTGGGAGGAATAGATGAACCAGGACTGGCCTTGAATGGCCAATGACCAAGCCTGGCCTTGAATGGCCGATGACAAGACTGGCCTTGATCATTGTTGAAGCTAAGCAGTGAATACATGGAGGTTTGTTATTTTCTGTAACAAAAAAAACTAAGTCATAATTTATATAATTTCATATACTATACAATTATATATATGTCTGTATATATGTTTAAAAATTCCAAACATGTCATTCTTTAAGAAATAACCCACCTGCTCTCTTTTGCTTCACGTTTTTCCTGTCGCCGGCTCCCTCATTTTCTGCGCTAACTGCTTTTCTTGCCTCTGCGTCGATAGGTGATTCTGATGGACCTGCAGAAGGGCTGGAGGATCTGGCAAATCTGCCGCATCCCAGTTTACCCCGTGCATGCTGCATTCCATCCCCGTTCTCATCCCAAGAGTGCACGTACTATGTAGCTTTGATTTTTGCAGATCCTGTCAATCTCATGTGCAATAACATAGCATTTATTTTAGCAGCATAACTTTCTTCAATAGCTTTGTAAGTGATTTGAGTCCAAAGTTTGCACAATCATTAATAGTCTGAAGGGTTAACTCAAAATTTCCAGCTACACTTTCTTGTATTGTGTAGGGAAATCATACATCATAGTAATGTCAGAGATGGGAGTTTGTGAAGCCCTCTTTGTAAATTTCTGAACCAAAGATGTGTTCAGAGGCATGGCCTGAGGCACAGAAGGATAATTTTTATCATGTACCGCCTCATTTTATTCTTTGAACACAGATAATCTCATGCACCTGTCCTTAGCAGAACCTATACTTTCTGCTTTCATTTTTCTTTGGCAATCCAGTTCATTTGGTGGTAGCTCGGTTTTCTGGCTAGCAGGAGTTGAACTGGAAGGGGACAGGATCCCCGGGGAGTTTCCACATCCTGATCTGCTAAGACTCTTTGGGGTCACCCCTGAAGGAATCTCTCATGGACAGGACAGTATTAAGAGGCTCTTCCATATTGCCCCACAAAGGTCCATCTCCTGAGGACCATTTGCCACTGCATGCTCGTGGCTCCTAGGTCAATGGGGGTAGAATGCATTTGGTCTCTTCCTATTTGATCCATCTCACCCAAAATTCCTGACCTGAGAGCGATGCTTCATGAAACATAGCACAATTCGGCCAAAGGGCTAGGAAATGAATAGCCACCCAATTGGTGAGAAGTGGAAGGTGAAAAGCAGTCGACAATTTCTCTCTCTTAAAGAAAATGGATCTGGAGACTTTGGAACCACCCCCCCCCCAAACCTCCTCACCAGCGCCCCACAAATATAAGTCCCCAGGCCCAGGTGTCTCTAATTTTTCACACTGGAAAAGTTAGAAGCCTCAGGACCAGTGGCAACTACAGGTGTGTCTCTGGATGTTCAACTCATTAAACTCTGTGAAAGCAACTTGACAGCATCTGGGATGTGTTTTGTCATTAGGGGTGGGATTGGGACTGTTATTTATTTTAGCCAGGAAGAGGTGTGTGTGAAGGTGTCTGCATGCGAGGGTGTATGTTTCGGATGTAGGTGTCACTGAGTTTGTGTTAATGGATGGCTGCGAGCTTTTTGAGGGTTTCATTACTATTTTTGTTTTGTGTCGGTCCTACTAAAGAAATGCCCCTAAGCCCCAGGACTGTGATTCATGTGGAAATTCTGTGCTTCTCTCCAGTGTCACCGGAATCATCCAAGGTCCTGTCCTTCCTCAAAATCATGGGCCATCTTGGCCATGGTTATTCTGAGCAGCCAGAGAAAATCATCGCTGAAATTTACATTTCCCTTTCCTTTTACCTAGAGGAGCAAGTTGTCATTCTAATTAAACAACAACTTCATTACAGGATGCAAGGAATAAAACCTTTGAATTAACTTTGACTAAATTCTAGTTTAAATAAAGTCTTGCAAATAATTACTTGAGTATAAATTATTTACCCATTAATTCTTTATTTGAATTTGGGGGAATTCAAATACGTTTTCTGGCAAGAGCTTCGTGACAAATGACTTGCGTAATTAGTAGTAAACGTGTTATTCTTATAATTTCTAATGTATAATAAGCAGAGCGCAGATATTTCTGTCTCACATGTTCCTTTTAAACCCTTTATTGCCCTTAAAAAAAAACCTTGTTTAATAGATCACAGACATGATCTTTTAAACTGTTTTCAGTAGTTATGCAAAATCTTCACAAAAGTACTGGTAGGCGGACTACAGGGACTTCTGGACTTTAATCAGCCATGAGAGTAGACAGGATTTAGAAGTCATTTCTCAACTCCGGATCACCTGCAGAAAATGAAAAAGTCCCAGGGAAGACTGCTGAGTATAAAATGCCATTGTGTACATAGACTTTTATGGACTCTGAAAAGCCCTTTGACTTCTTGGAAATAGAAGCTATGTTGGAAGTGGAAAGAGTAGAAAAATTCGCGTGACATGTGCATGTGAACGCAGCACTGATGTTTAGGCTTGAAAAAGAGTGAAGAGGTCCAGGAAGGGGGCTCATAGCCACTGAAAATCTTAACTGCTTGCCCAGAGGGGCTGGGCCGAGACCTTGAATGGGAGGGAAAGGGCATTGCGATCAGCAAGAGAGACTTTGAACTATTTACCAGTGACATTGACTTCAGGGCCCCAAACCAGGCAGCAATAAACCAGGAAGTGGAGCGAGGTATGGAAAATGGGCTTAGCATGAGGATGAAGAAACCATATTTAAAGGAAGCATGATAAAGGAAAGCTCCTGTTCCACAGAAGCTGCCTCTGTGAGCCTCACTAGTGCTTGCTACAGCAAACCAAGATGGACTGAGGGGTACACCCGGTGCACCAGTTCCTTTTGGTGGATGGAGCTTCCTGCCCTGCCTGTGCCACTTCTTATCATTTAACACTGGGAAACTCACTTAACTTACCTGGTACTCGGTTTTTTTACCTGTAAAATTGGAGGTTGGCAGGAAGTGGAGGTTGCAGCGAGCCGAGTTGGCGCCACTGCACTCCAGCCTGGGCAATAGGGCGAGACTCTGTCTCAAAAAATAAAATAAAAAATTGGGGGTTGGAATGACTGACCTTAAGAACCTTTGCATATGCAACATTCTACAATTCAATGATGAGGTCTTTTGTTTTGAGATGGAGTCTCGCTCTGTTGCCCAGGCCGGAGTGCAGTGGTGCGATCTCGGCTCACTGCAACCTCCGCCTCCTGGGCTCAAGTGATTCTCCTGCCTCAGCCTCTCGAGTAGCTAGGACTACAGGCACGCACCACCACATATTTTTAGTAGAGACAGGTTTTCACCATGTCGGCCAGGCTGGTCTTGAACTCCTGACCTCAGGTGATCCACCCACCTTGGCCTCCCAAAGTGCTGGGATTACAGCCATGAGCCACCACACCTGGCCAATGATGAGGTCTTAAGAGAGAAAAACTTGGCTTCCCAAAAGGATTCCAATCAGGAGAGCATTATCTCAAAGAGCTTCTTTGCTCCCTTCATTCCCAAGCATCTTGCACCTCTTGGTTGTCAGCCACCCATACATCCATCACAGATTGTCCAAAAAACAGGGAGGAACCCATTATGTCTGAGATGACTGGAAAAAGAGAAAGTGAAGGACAGACCTGTGGCCAGTGAGGCATATATTGGTTGAGTTTTTAAGCATTCAAGTGCCAAAAGAAAGGAGCCAGCAGTGTCCATGACAGTCCAAGATGGCCCTTTGATTGGATCAGGATGCTGAGCTGTGCATGGCACCGTGGGGATAGAAGCCTCCCGCAGTTGACCATCATAACCTGGTAATCACACTGACAGCCCCAGTATATGTAGTAGGGGAAAAAGTACAGCCTGGAAATTTGAGTTGAGCTTGCATCGTGTTATGGGGTTAGCACACGGGCTTTACTGACCCCCAGCTAGCCACTCCAGGGAGCTCTGAGCTTCCTATTTGTGTTTATGTGCCACCCAAATGACACCCCATTAATGGCACATGTATGTGCCAGCTTTGCCTTGTCCCCACTGCCCTGAAGCTCTCACATGTCTTAAACCTGCCTCCCATATGCTCGAACCTTCATTAATACTTTTGTTCAGGGAGAACGCAGTCTGCTAAAAAATAAAAATAAAAAAATCAAATGGCTTTGATGAGAGGATGCATGTGACTTGTCAGATGTAGCCGTTCTGACTCCCGAAGCTGACACCCAGGTGAAAATGCAGCTGAGTTACAGGAGCATGTGCCAGGTGGCATGAAAGCCATCACCATATGATGATCAGTTTTCTCCCTTGACTGAAGTGTTTCCAAAGAAAGGCTGCTGTGGTTTATCCATTCTCACTGGCACTGGTCTGTTCTAGTTATTTGGCAGCAGGAAGCCGGAAGACTGGGGGTGGGAGGCACTGACCTCAGTGTGAAAACTTTGGCCTTGACATTACAGTTGCAAGTGAGGAATCATCCAATGTCTGATGGCATAAAAGGGATCTTTTGTGTGTCCTGGAGCCATATCACAAACAGTCTGACCAAGCGATATATTGAAACAATTTCATAGGGTGAGTTTCAAAAGATTGGCTCTTCGAATATGCTTTGACTGTAATAGTTGAGAGACAGAGAGAGAGAGAGAGAGAAAGGACCATCCTAATTCTAAGTAATTAAGCTTAGTGTTCTTATACTAAAGAATATCTTTGGCTTGTTAGCACAATCAGAATCACCTTGAACTTTTTAATATCACAGAAGCACAGCCCTGCCCTCCTGATCCAAATCTTCAGGAGCAAGAGCCACCAGCATCTACATTTTTAGCAGGCTCACAGGTGGTCCTGGTGCATGGTTAGGATTGAGAAGCACTGGCATGCTGTTTTGTGGTGGAGCCGGACTTTTTCATCCAACAGCTTGTTTGGTTCTTCCTATAACCTGTGAGGCAGGAATGGTCTCCATTTTACTGATGAGCAATCAGAGAGACTCAGAAAGTTCCACTGCATTCCCCAAGACCACAGATTGTAGCTAAGGCAGCCTCGATTCCCACCATGGGTGCTGGCTTCACGGGCATTCGATTTGTGCATTTGCAAAGATTCTGATGCTTAGAAGCCCGGTGCTCGGTTCAGTGCGCTGCCATCACCATCTTGAAGTCCTTAATGTTTTTTGACAAGGACACCACATTTTACTTTGCAATGGACCATGGAAATTATGTAGCCAGTTCTGCGCCTAGACCTGTGCACTGTATTGTTTCAACCCTACTAAATCCATGCTGGCAAGTAGAAAGTATTTCTCTCCAAAGCAAACCCCAGGCCTGGAGTTGTTAGCTTAAGCGTGATAGAATGGCATTTTAGGAGACAATAATGACAATAGAAAATAATGCTTTCGTTTACTGAGCACTGTGTTCTGAGCTTTTCTCGCTCATCTCAATCCTCACAAAAACCTAGTATAATTACTGACACCATTTTATAGGTGAGGACACTGAGGCAGAGAAGTCACAGAGGTCACATTGTATCTGTCTGTGACAGTGGATTCTGGAGATGGCTTTCCCAGATTCCAATCTCAGCTGTGCCATTTATCAGCTGTGTGACCTTAGGCAAGTTACTTGACGTCTCTGAATTTGAGTTTCCTTACCAGTAAAATGGGGCTGGTAATAATTGCCTCCATGAGTTAATTGTTTCGAGAATTAAATGAATTAATGTGGACAAAGTGCCTAGCACATAATAGATACTCAATGAATATTGGGTCCTTTAACAACCTTTGCACTCAAGAATATTACCCATTACATACCGAAATAGGTATTTAAATGGTACCTTACTTAAGGATCTGAAGTGTTTTCACAGCACTGGATAATATAGTCAAGGTGCAATTAGCCATACATTATAATATTTTTAAGTGATTCAAGTGACACTTCTTATGTCTAAGTGTAATCTTTCCCACTTTAGCATTTATCATAGTTTAATAACTACTGAATGCTGTTGAATTAAAATACGATTCTGTCTGGGGATATGTTGACCCTTAGCATGATAAAGCTCATCCAAGGCTCAGCTAGA
The DNA here is from genome assembly GCF_000001405.40 of Homo sapiens. Taxonomy (NCBI): domain Eukaryota; kingdom Metazoa; phylum Chordata; class Mammalia; order Primates; family Hominidae; genus Homo; species Homo sapiens. The sequence goes on along the minus strand of NC_000016.10, from coordinate 73,368,442 downwards.
ACCTAGAAAAAGAGCTCACCACAGCAACTGAATTCACACTCTTTGGAAGCACAGGAAAAGACCATAAGTAAAATGGGGAGCCTGTGACCTTTGGAAAATGAGGCAGCTTCACACCTACACAGGCTAGGAGCTTACTCATATCATGATATTTCTGTAACATTTTACAGAGGCTTTTTGTTTTGTTTTGCAGCTCTTCCATACTTCATTAATTCATTTATTCTGCTCAACAGCCTGGGTGATAAAAGGGGATGTAGTGTTACGACCTTCTTTGCAGCTGGGTGCAGTGGTTGATGCCTGTAATCCCAGCACTTTGGGAGGCCAAGGCGGGTGGATCACTTGAGGTCAGGAGTTTGAGACCAGCCTGGCCAACGTGGTGAAACCCTGACTCTACTGAAAATAAAAAAATTAGCCAGATGTGGTGGCACATGCCTGTAATCCCAGCTACTCGAGAGGCTGAGGCACAAGAATTGCTTGAAAACCCAGGAGGTGGAGGTTGCAGTGAGCTGAGACCATGCCACTGCACTCCAGCCTGAGAAACAGAGTGAGACTCTGTCTCAAAAAAAAAAAAAAAAAAAGACCTTCCTTAATCCTCTATGTATATGTCAGAGTAGACCTACTACGTGCTTGTATCTTGTGTTTGGTGCCATACATACATTCACTCACGGAGTTCTCATATGACTTGCATAATAAGTAATGCCACCCATTTTACAGATGGGAAGAATGAGGCTCAGAGGATACCGTTGATTTGACTGGTGATAGAGGTATTCAAGCCCAAGGTGGGCTGGACAGCACCTGTAATCCTTAAGTCCCTTTCATTCTTTCCACACCCACAGCCACATGATTTTCTTGTTCTTTGATGGAAAGGGAGAAACCAAGCATGTGGGAGGTGGCCAGTAAACATTTGGTGACTGAAGGACTATAAGCTGGATCAGAACAGCACCAGAATGTTTTCATGTCTCTGTGGGCCAGCTTGAACACATGACCCAGTCAAAGGTACCATCATTTTTAATTATTCAAAAGCCGTGAAACATGTGTTTTTCTAAGTGGTTATTTTTCTTTTCTTTATTGCACACTGTTCTTCCTGCTCCACGCTGTGAAGTGTGCCACCTTGATATAAGGGCATGTGGTCTTCTGGGCGGTGAGCCATCTTGGTTCAATAGCCTCATGGGATCTCTTTCTGCCTTGAGTACCTCAGATTGGTTCCAAAGCCATGGAGCTCGATTTTCCCATGACCATGCATTGGGTGGCGATTTAATGTTTTGTAAAGCCCTATGAGGTCCCTGAAATGATTTTAGTAAGAGATTCCTTCACTCCTCAGAAGAGTTCCCTAATGAGGGAGAACCAGGAAGGAGAACTGGGAGACCAGATGGAAATTACTCACTGTGGGAGAGAAAGTGTGTGTGTGCCTGTGTGTGAGTGTGTATGAGTGTGTCAGCGTTGAATCCTGCAGAGCAAAGTCCTGGGCCCGCACAAAAATCATTTGTAATGTGGGTCCTCAGAATGTTGGGAGTTAAATGTTAGGCAAAAATACTTTTCAGCTATGTCAAAGAACTTTAGAATCCCAACCAAAAATGAACATTCTCTGTGGTACAATGATTTGAACTTTCCTCTATAGTCTTGATGTGATCATAGACCTATTTGGAAAGTAATGAAATCTTGGAGCTCTCACCTCATCTCAGGAAAAATTTACTCATACAGTGAGTGTGCACGCACACACACACACATGCATGTGCACACACATACTTTTGCCAACAATATCACGTAATTAATGGAATTTGTGGGCTACTCTGGAACCATTGCTCCATGGAGTTGCTTATCTGTCTCTCTCTTTCTCTCTTTTTTTTTTTTTTTTTTGGTTTTGGTTTGGTATTTTTGTAGAGAGAGGGTCTCACTACATTGCCAAGGCTGGTCTCAAACTCCTGGGCTCAAGCAATCCTCCTGCCTCAGCCTCCCAAACTACTGGGACTATCAGTGTGAACCACCATGCCCAGCCCCTGTCTTTCTCTTTTCATCTATTTGTTTTTTTCCACTTAGGAATCAAAATAGAGCAGATTTTTATTTTCTATAGTTTTCCCCCACTGTATTACATCATGAGCCTTTTAAAAATGGTGCTACAAAATCTTCATAATGATCTCTATTAATAGCTACATAGTATCCCATCCAGTATCCTTCTCAGAATTTTCCTAAGTTCTCCCCTATTGCTGGACACTGAGGCTGTTCCACTCTTTTGCTATTTTAAATAACATTTCAGCAAATGATTTGCCAACATCATTCCCATTCCCTACTCAAGCTGCCAAACCTTTTCCATTCTTTTAAAGTATCCTAGTGATCATCACTTGCCTTTATTTAATTTAAATGTTCTTGCATCTAACCTTCCTGCCTGTGCAGAAAACATCTTTATCACTTCAGCTGGATGTTTGGTTTGATCCCATCTTGCCACCATCAATTATTCCTTTTTGTTTTCTCTTGTACCTTTGATCTTTCCCTTTCCTGGACTCTTCCCTTTTCACCAAGCAGACCCAGGTCCACTCTTGTAGATACATCTCTGTTGTTTCTGTGAATTTGTATGTGCTGGTTCCGTTGCCTGGAACATTCCTCTTGCCTGCACCTGGGAATCTCTATCAAGCCTGAGCCTAAGAAAGACATTTTTTAAGAAGGTGGCTCCAGGATCAGGAGGGGAAGAATGTGACTTTCTACAGGCTGTGTTTATTTTGGTGAGCTGGGGGCCAGAGGGCTGATACAGATCTGTGCCCACGTTTAAGGATCTCAGCTTCTGTAGAGGTGGAGATCTTGGGCATCTTTGTAAGTTCCTGAAGCAGAACTAGAAAGATCACAGTGTTTAGAATTGGGCTGACATCAAGCCAAGTCTCAGCTGCACCATTTACTAACTCTGTGCTCCTCTATATGTCACTGAACAGCAGTTTCTTCATCTGTAAAGGGATTAATGAGATATTATTTGGCTTGGTGCTGAGCCCCATCGCTAGCAAGTCATAAACAATTTCTCTCCTCCATTATAAGCTTTCAAGCCCCAGCAATGTCTAGACTCATGTAAGGGCTCATAGTAGACACTCAATAAATATTTGTTGAATGAATAAACATGGACCGATAGCTCAGAGGTGTGGGCACCAGCTCTCGTCTGCATCCCCTCCTGTTGCCTGCTGCAGCCCCAGGCAATCTGTATGTGAAGCAGAAAAGTCTGTGATTGCAAGTGCACGGGCAGCCAGGCAGCAGCTGTCTCCAGATAAGGGGGTGGCACCTTGCCAAGTACCGGAGGTCTCTCCACAGAGGCTCAGTAATCATCACAATCCCTCATGGAATTCCTCTGGAGAATGCCTCTCTTCTCGAAACATGTGGCACTTCACAAACATCGTCTCAGTGATCTTCGCCACATGCCTGGGTGGGGGGAGAGGCGCCACAGGGCACCCCAGATGCCCCAAGGGCACATGGCAAAGGAGGGCCGATAATGAAAAAGGAGGGGGTGGGGTGGAGGCGACGTGTGTCCTCATTCTACAGGTGGACCATGGCAGAGAGAGGTTTCAGTGGCTCACCCGTGGGAAATGGGGCACAGGAAGCAAATCCATGATCTCTTGTCCCAATATCTAGACTTTAGCTATAGCACTCCCATGAATGGAAAAATGCCCACAAATGGCAACTGTGAGATGGGAGACAAAGGGAGATGGAACCACACGGTCGCAGGGTGCTTACAAGCCAACAGTTCAAGTCCATGGACTCCATAAAACTCAGTCCCAAGTCCTCAAAACCTTATATAACAAGAATGTCCTAAAACTCACCAGCTAGAGTCGTGATGACATCATACCAAGCCACTTGCTGTGCCTGGGTTCCCCGGCCAGACTAGGCCATGCTACCCTGTGATCATACTGTGGGACTTTCCTTTGTGGCACTTGGCTAATTTGTAATTATTTGCTTAGTAGAGTGATTATACATATAATCTCTGTCTCCCTGACCAGACCGAAAGAACTACGAGGTCAGGAAATACTTCTGTTTAGTTCCTCTTATGTATACCTACTAATATATTTGTTAGAAACTATTATTACTATTATTATTATAATATTACAATATTATAGTAATATTACTATTATTATTGAATTTATTATAAAATGTAAATAAACAGGAAAAAATTAAAGACACCAGTCAGAAATCAAATCACAGGCAAGAAAATACCTGTACCAGGATGAGACGGCATTTGTTATGGTTATATGTACCCATGACCTTACTTGTTCCTACTTAAAGTTCTTTTTTTTTTTTTGAAACAGGGTCTCACTCACTCATCGCCCAGGCTAGTGTGCAGTGGTACCATTTCGGCTCACTGCAACCTCCGCCTCCTGGTTTCAAGCAGTTCTTGTGTGTCAGCCTCCCAAGTAGCTGGGATGACAGGCATGCGTCACCATGCCCGGCTAATTTTTGTATTTTTAGTAGAGACGGGGTTTCACCATATTGGCAAGGCTGGTCTCAAACTCCTGATCTCAAGTGATCCACCCTCCTTGGCCTCCCAAAGTGCGGGGATTACAGGCATGAGCTGCCGTGCCCAGAACTGTAGCTACCTACAGTTCTAACATGAAATTAATTCTATGTTAGGCAGAATTAATGGTGTACATTTCTACAGCTCCATGAGGCCAGGGATGCTATCCGTCTTCCTTATCTGTTGTATCCTGGGGGTGAGCATAGTGCGAAATGCAAATTCTGTAGTAAATAAATATTTGTTGAAGGGTGGATAGAAGGAGCTCACAGATGCTTTAAAATTCATCCATCCATGCCCCATTAATTAAGAATATTGCATAATTAAGACATAGTTTAATTGTGTTTTTCCTTTCTATTTTATTTATTTATCTTGTATTTATCATTATTCCCTGCCTCATTTGGGAAAAAAAAAATTAAAGTGCCAGCAAGAGAAGTCTATTTCACTCTGTTCTTTTACTCAACAAATCTACGTTGAGTGCATATTCAGGGGTATGCACAGGGTGAGGAGATGGAGATAAAATGGGAGAAAAACAATGCCGAGTGTCTTTCTTCATAGATCGCAGTATTGAAATGATGTCGGCTAAACAAGTCAATAGAATTTGGAATCGTTTTTAAAATACGTAACAGTTAGCTTTTGGTGCATAACAAACCACCCCAAAACTCTCTATTTTGAAACAACAATCATTTATTTAATTTGTGATTCTGTGGGTCAGCAGTTTGATCCGGGTCCTCCGAGTTGTTCTTCTGCTGCCCTGAGCCAGGCTCAGTCAATCACGGCTGGGCTCATTTGTGAAATGGTAGGTTGGCTGGGGACTGGCTGACCATCAGCCTGGTGCCTCAATTCTATTCCGTGTGGCCTGGCCACCAGGACTCACACAATGTCACTTGTGCTGTCCTCTACGGCTGAAAGAAAGGCATGAGGCCAGCCCAGATCCCAGATAGAGAAATAGACTCCACCTCTTGATGGAATGAGTTACAAAGTATTGTGATCATTTGTTTAATCAAATATAACACCTTTACCAAAAATGTTTTAGGTCCTATAGGTTACTTTAGCAATTCTTACTTGTATATAAACTAAGCATGATAACTAAAGAGATACAAAGCTGCCAGGAGTTTTGTTTGACCGTACTCTGTTTGCTATTTTAGCTTCCTAATTCAGACAGCCTATCTGCCCTCCCCCTAATTTCACATTAGAGTGATGTTATTATTCATTTTCACCTCCAGGAGATAAGGATGGCTTCATAACTATACAGTCATGAGGACAGTGCCACTGGCTGGTGGGCAGGTGCCCTGTTTGCCCTGCCTTGTCTTATATTATGCCACACATTCTGCTCACATTCTAGGTATTGAAATATTAGATGAATTCATCGGTGGTTCTGAATGTTTCTTTGTGACTCATTTGCAGGATGTTCACTGATCCTTCTTTACACTCTGTGAAGTGTGTGGTGTGTGTCTGGTGAGGCCTAACACCCATTAGACGCTCCTGCTGTAAATTGGATGCACCATCCCCCGTGAGCTGGTGCCAAGGTGTGAATTAGATAGAGACACTCTCAACTGTTCCTCTGGCCTCTGACTCTGTTCCTGGGCCATCCCATGGGTGGTCAAGCCCCCAGGCAGCAAGCCTGACCTTGGCTGCCCCAGGATAAGGAGATTCCAAAGTAGATAATGGGGGGAACTCTGGAAGCCCCCATGTCCCGTTTGCAAACTCAGACAAAACATTGTGCCTCTCAGAGACCTGAGTTTCTCCTAATTCCTCTCCCCAGATACAAATATTCCTTACGTAGGGAATGTAGCAGGGAACAGAGGTACTGGGTGGGGGTTGGCAAGGAAGGCAAGGAGGCACGTGGCCCTTGTTGGAAAACTAAACCATTCTTGGCTGTCATCCTCCCAAATCATGCTGGAACAAGTTGTCCCAGATGGAGTTCTTCTCCATGAGGATATGAGAAATGACAATTGGCTCCTAAATTCCCTGGCTGATTGATTTAGGTTCATGACAAGCATGAGAGCAGACGGATGGGCTGCCTGATTGGGGCAAGTTGATTTTTTTTCAGACCATGTCAGTGTTGAAGAAGAGAAATCCCTCCTATTGGCCAAACTGTACCACGTGTTATGGGGGAGAACTGTCACCTTCATCTTCAAATACATCAAGGCGGTCACTTACAATATTGCCCCAAAGTTGCAGTAGGAAGCAATCTCAAAAACTGATATATTATCTATGAGTACATATTTGTGTATGTGAAAGTTTCTTTAAAAATCTTGGTTTGATGGACACCAGACCCCTAACTTGCTAACTTTTACAGTGGGGGGAAGGAGACCAAGATTGGGGATGGAACTTCAGCCTTTATCTGTAGTATTCTATTTTTTAAAAATGAAGAGATTCCTATACATTTTGTGTAATTGAAAATTATATTTAAGAGAGAAAATAAAGTCATTGATTCTGTTATTTATTTCTGCATAACCAGACACCTCAAGATTTAGTGACTTAAAACCACAACAGTGGTATTCCGCATGATTTCAGCTGGGCGATTCAGCTGTGAGCTAGGCCAGAGCTCTGTGGTCCCTCTCCACGTTTTCTCTCTCATCGCTCAAGCCAAAGCATCTTTGCAGGATGGTGGCTGGCTTCCAAGGGGGCAAGCCCCAAGTGCAAGCACCTATCAAGCCTCTTCTTGCTTTGAGCTTGCCACCGTCTCATCGGCCAAAGCAAGTCACACAGCCAAGGTCAGAGTTGGTATGGGAGGAGGCAAACAAGGGCACGAATCCCAAGAAGTGTGATTCACTGGAGGCCACCAACGTGCCAGCCTACCGGAGTCCTTTAGTTATTCCAGACCACTTGATGCTCTTGGGAATGGGACTTAGGCATGCAATGTGGCATTTGCTGACACTTTCCAGGCTTTGATGAGCTTTCCTAGATCCTCAAACTCAAAATGCCAAAAGTGCCCCCATTTCCTTATTTGCTTTTATGTGTGTGTTTTTGCTTTTTCATTATCTTTCTTTTCCTTTTCTTGTCTCCATCATCCAGTGTGGAGGCTGGGGTGGCTCATGACCCCCCATTGCTTTTTTTTGCATGGATCCCTGCACGGTTCCATTAGAAAAAACAGTGAGGCCCTCCAGAATCACAACTATGATTTCAGCAGCTTGCAAAGACTTAATGTAAGAGACAGCATGAACTTCTAGGTCTCCTATCAACATATATGCTGTCAATTATTAAGTAGCTATTTAGTGTCATATACCAGACACTGCAGTCTTATGTTAAAACTGTGTTCTCCAGAGTTAACAGTGCCAGCTCTGAACACAGAGTACCCAGCTTCAAATCCTGGCTTTATACGGCTGGGCATGGTGGCTCATGCCTGTAATCCCAGCACTTTGGTAGGCCAAGGTGGGTGGATCACTTGAGGCCAGCAGTTCAAGATCAGCCTGGCCAACATGGCGAAACCCTGTCTCTACTAAAAATACAAAAATTAGCTGGGCATAGCGGTGGGCACCTGTAATCCCAGCTACTCGGAAGGCTGAGGCAGGAGAATCAGTTGAACCCTAGAGGCGGAGGCTGTGGTGAGCCCAGATTGCACCACTGCACTCCAGCCTGGGCAACAGAGTAAGCCTTCGTCTCACAACAAAACAAAAAGAAACAAAACGAAACAAAACAAATCTCGGCTTTATGCTGTGTAAGCTTTGGCAAGTTTCCTCATTGGGTGGTTGTGATAATTAAATTAGTCTATACGCAACTCACGGTTGTGTTGTTGCAATTATTATTATACTATTATTGTCACGTGTATCTTGCTGTTTAATTCTCACAATGACTTCTTGCTGTAGATATTAACTGTCTTATTGTCCCTGTAAGGAACCTGAGGCACAGAGAATTTGGCTAACGTATCTAATGCCACCCAACTAATAAGTGATAACTCAGGATTCAAACCCACATCTCTCTGCCTTCAAAGCTGTGCACTCAATCACTGCATTATGTCTTACTCAGGTTTACAGCACCTCAAACAAGGTAGGTTCAGGTGGGTAATTCTTACTTAGTTTTCTACCCATAGTTATTTGATCATTTAAAAAAAAAATCCCATCTAACATGAACCACCCCCCATGATCAATACCCATCCACACTGAATCTTTAATGTTCTGTCTTATCAAATTAGCGGCTTCTCCCACAACTCAGGGCGGAAATCAATGTTCCCTTGACCTTAAACATGCACCAACTTGCAAACACTCATGCCTCGGGGCTTCAGTGACTTGTGGGTAATGGGAGCTATTCTCAGACTCACCCACTTCCAGAGAGAAGATAGCTCCAGACGTTCCATGCCACAGCTGGTCCGGCAGGGCTGGCCTCTCCATCCCCACATGGGGCCTTTCCTTCCCAATGCCTCTGGGCTCACAGACACAGCCAGCCAGCCTCTGGTCTCCAGTCCTAAGAACATGGCACCTCTCAGCCTTCAGGTTCTTCCGCCTCTAAACTCTCCTGTTTGCAGCACTTTTCGCAAATACTGAGTTAGCCACAGAGTTCCCCAATCCTACAGCATTGAGACTGAGCCTTTGCCGATGGTGTGTAAATTTCTACCCTAATTGATGTCATTTTCCCCCAGTACTCACCTTCCACTCCAGCCAAGCCTCTTGCCCTCTTATTCACCCCTGTGTCCCTACCTCTGCTTCTCTGCACATGCCATTCTCTACTCCTTCCTTTTGTGCCCACTTCGAGTCTAATAATCTTTCTTGCCTAGGTAAATCTTCACTGTGAAACATTCCAGGGGAGTCTATCCCTTTTTGTTTAAAAAAAAAAAAAAAAAACCTCTTCTAAACTCCTTCTTTTAGAACCTAAAGAACATGATGTAGCACCTAATTGTCTATTACCTTGTATGATCTTCCTTTATGAGCTGTGGCGTCTCCCTAGGCAGAAAGCAAGATGCTCAATTTCCAAAAATTATATTATACCCTCTCTTATCATCCTCATAAGAATGATAATAGGCAGCATTTATTAAATACTTATTATGGACCAGGTACTGTTTGAAACAACTTTCAAGTGTTATCTTGTTTAATCTTTGCATCCACTTTATAAGGTGACTCTTATTATTACCTCTGTTTTGTAGATGAAGAACTGAATCCCAGAGGTCACATAATGGACACAGGGTCCTCTGACTGGCAAGGAATAGAGCCAGAATTCAGATCCTGGTGGTCTGACTTCAGAGGCCCTGCTCTTGGCCACTAGGCCATTGTGCCTCCCATAGCTGGACACAGAGTTGTTTTACAGTCCATATCTGTTGCAAAATTGTCCCCTAAAGCGTACCCTGTCTGCATATATGGATGAGAGGTCATCTGCATTAGTTATCTGTTGCTGCCTAACAAGTTACCCTAAGACCTAGTGGCTTGAAACAATGTACCATCTTAGCTTCTACAGGGCAGGAATCTGGGCACAGCTTAGCTTGGGTTCCTCACAAGGTTACATTTGGTGTCAGCCAGGGCCGCCATCATCTCAAGGTTTGAATGGGGAAGGATCTGCTTCTGAACTCACTCGCCGGGTCATTTGCAAGATTCAGCTTCTCATGGGTTCTTGGCCAGAGGCTGCGCTCGGTTTCCCGCCAGTAGCCACTTCACAGTGCAGCTCACATCAGAGCAAGTGATGGAGGAGAGAGCATGGAGGCCGCTGTCCTTTGTGACCTAATCCTGCAGGCGACACGCCTTCACTTTTGCCATATTCTATCCATTAGAAGTGGTTCACTAAGTCCAGCCCACACTCGAGGGGAGGGGACTGCAAGAGAGTGCAGATGCCAGGGAGTGGACGGTGCTGGGGGCCATTTCCGGAGCTGCCTAGCACAAATCCGTACAAAGCAAGGCGTCTCAAAGAAGCTCCTAAGCTGACACTTGACAGATACAGAAGAGTTAGCCCAGCTCCATGCCCAGGCCTGGGAAGCCAGGCAGAGGGAGGAAATGGTGGGAGGCCCTGGAAGGAGCAGGGCTGATTCACGGAGCAGCAAGATGCTCCCGAGAGGGGATGGGGGAGGCTCACAGGGAGAGATCCAGACGTTGCTGGGTGGGCCCAGGGTACCTTTCCTTCTCCTGAGAGCAGTGCGAAGTCCCTGAAGGATATTAGACAGCAGTGGGTGGGCATGGAAAGTGGGTTGGAGCAGACCAGCCTGGAAGAGGGAAATGGGCAATTCCAGATGGAGCCGAAGGAATGTGAGGAGTCTGACAGAGTGACCCGGAAGAGGAATCCACTCAAACTACACACCTCCCGACACAGGCCACGGTTCAAATTCTCACGCCCTAAAAATTCCTGCCAGGTACAGCCTGAACCCTACCACTCCTCTGTCTGCTGGTCCAAGGGGAACCTGTCATTTTAGGCTCCTTTTAGAACCTGGAGGAATGGGGCCTATAGGGTAAGCCCTCTGGTTTTCTGGCAAAACCACAGTGACATTGAAGTAGCTCATCTGTAACAGGGCCCAGTGTGCCTCCAACAGGGTCTTTCTGTCTCTGTCTCTGTCCTCTCTCTCAATTCTAGAAGGCTCTGGCCTTCCCTGTACTCTTCTTAGTTGCCATCTCAGTTGCCCTAGGTTACTTCTGTCACCGTTTGTTTGCTCCCAGAAGACGTTACCATTGCTTCTCCATATTCCTGTTTTCTCTCTCTCTCTCAATTTTTGTTATTTTTTGTAATTAATTTCATTTTAACCTTCTTCCAAGATGCAAACCTGCTGATGCATTTTATGCCCCAAATTTTCAGTCGAGTAACAAATATTCTTGCTGGGGTTTTGTGGTGGGGGGTATTATTATTATTATTAAGATCTATTCTCTTAGTCTGGGTTTTCCCAGAAATAGAACCAGAGACAAAAATTTGAGAAATCATCTATTTGGAAGGTGAAACACTAGTAGAGGAGTGGGGAAAGGGAAAGAGGGGAAGGAAAGAAGTCCATAAAATGTGTATTATCTAGCACATTTCCACCATGGCCAATTGGAGCTGAGCTCTGCTGGGTAACTTTGGGAGGTGGTATGGGGCACACACTCAGAGTTGTCCACCCGAGGGAGGAGGAAATCCCAGTCAGTCTCTGGTTAACGGCTGCTTCCCACCCTGTTAGCTCTTGGGCACCTCCCAGCACAGGCCTAGTGTACTCCCATGGCCAGGAAGAAAAAAAAAAAAAAGCCCTCAGGTGAGCATCATAGGTGTTTGCAGCAAACAGCCTTCATGTATAGGATGAATGTTGAAAGGACGTGAGTGAAACCGAACAAAATCTAATGATAATATTGATAGCCACAAATACTTTCAGGTAATTAGTCTACTTAATCCCCATGGAAATGCTGGCTCCGTCCTTGACACAAGAAGGTGCTCAGCATATGTTAATTAAACTTGTTAGCATTGCCATTGTATTGTCCAAGGTCGCTCAGCTTGTAAGTGTCGGAGCTGGGACTCCCACTGGATGATCTGGTGCAGAGTCCATTGGTCTTTAGCATGTAGAACAAGGCATGTGTCACCGCCGTGAGGGGTCCCGTCTCAGCGTGGGGACAAGTTGAAGACAAAGCTGGAACTGGTATTACAGAGCACCGACTTTGCCAACATCACCGTCTTGCTCTAGGTCAATCCAATTAGCAGGGTTTTTCTGATAAAATTATGAAGAGGAAAACCCCAGAGTGACCCGTGGGGCTGTACATGAGACTGCAGGAAGAACAAATGAGGGTGTTACAAAGTGCATGCCAGCTGTCTTCATCGGGCCAGCCGTACCAGGCTGAAAAGCAATCAATTAGGTCCTGTCTTGTGTTTGTTTCTGGAGACCGAAGTAGCTTATCCAGTGGGTTGGCAATGGTCGGCGGGGGGTGACTCCGCCATTCAGAAAGTGCCCATTCAACGAAAACCTGGTTGGTTTCTTGGCTGTATTATTCTTGGCCTGGATCTCTTCTTTAATTCTGAAGCCTTGATGTTATTTCGGAAACTTAGGTCTCTGGGATGAATTCTAAGCAGAATGGAAAGTGTACAGTGGAAAGGTTGCTGGAGAGGCAGCGTGAATGTGGGGGAGGAAAAACCCTGGACTCGGGAAGGACAATGGCTCCAGGCTCAACTCTCTCAGTAATGAGCTGTGTGACCCTGAGTAAAAGAAAGGGAGGGGAGCAAACCTAGCAACAAATGCTCCTACTATGCGTCAAGCCCTATGCTTGGTACCGTCGCGCTCTGTTGGAACAGATCAGCAGCACAGCCCTGGAAAGTAGGCGTTATGGTCACCTTTGTACATAGTCTGAGATGTGAAGCGACTTGCCCAAGGTCACGCAGATATTAAGCAGAGGGAGCAGTTGAATTCAATTCTGCCTGACTCCAAGGTCCTTGATCTGTCCTCCCTGCTGTGCCTCAGTTTCCTTATGTCCTTTATAGGACTCTTGTATCACAGAAAGTGCCTTTTCTAAAGAGTCATTTCCTGTACATGACGATGTTGAGGATTGGATGAAGCAGACCATCCCAGCTCCTGCCCTGCTCTTTAGTGTCCCTATTCAGGAAGAGGTAGCCACCAAAAAGCTCCATGGCACCTGCCTTTTCTGCCCCTAGTTGAAGGAGTCTGTGGCTTGAGAGAGGAACTCCTTGGTGTGTGCAAATCAAGGGGACAGGATCTGGTTCTAGTTACAGAGTTAGAAAAAAACCCAAATGGAATTTTTTAAGCCAGGTTTCCTCTTATTATTATTATTCATGTCAGGAGTCCACTGGGAAAATCTTTATCTGCATTAAAACATACATAAGAAGAGAAGAGAAGAAAAGGCAGAAAAGAGTGTGTCCTACAAAGCGTTTCTTTGAGCCCAGCTCTGTTCCTCTGTAAAGTTCTTTGCTGCACTCTCCACAAAGATGGAATCTCGGTTCAAGGTTGAATGGAAGCTGGCTCCTAATGGAACACGTATCCCCCGAACACACCTCTAGGAGATTAGCCCGTCATTAAATATTTGTAGGATAACAGGAGAAGCCTAATTTAGTTTTTGTTTCTTTCTCTCTGTGGTTTAATCACAGATGAAAGAGACTAATAGCACTGCAGAGCTTTCTGGTGATCAAAGGCCAATCAATCCTCTTTGTGGAGTAATTAACTATTTGCTAAACTTGCAGAATTGATTTCCATTTAGGGCTAAGAGAGAGGGTTTTAAATGAAGACCGATTCACCAGGCAAGAGGAGGGAATCTTGGGGCTGATGCCGGGAGATACTCAGGGTGATGAATTGGAATCTGCTAATTAGAGACTGAAAAACGCAGCCAGAACCTGACCCTATTCAGGAGGACTTTAGGGGAAGGACAGGCAGGAAGAAGGGTGGATGAGGTCGCTGTCTCTGGCTGCCAGGCAGCTGTGCACACTGAAAGCGGGAAAATTCTTGGCCTCCTGTTTGGGGCAGAAAGAGCTTGCACGCAGGCAGACGCTGGACTGGGGAGGAGGTCAAATGCACGTGGTCCAGAGGCCATGCTGGTAACAGGCATGTTACCTGCAGGTAACAGGGCGTGGAAGGGAGACCTCGTGAAATGAGGGCCCCATATGGGCATGCCCCCCAGCACAGAGCTGGGCAGTCATCGTACATGCCTGAGATTCTACTCGGGCACTTAAAACTTTGGATTTGCAGCCAGTTAAGAATTTGGATCCTGTTGGCGTCTATACAGATGCACTGAGAATCTGATCAGATGAATACACTCGGGACCTTACATTTCAAGTTCCTGCCAGCTTAAAACTATAAAAACTTGAGACAACCTCATAATGCCTCTGTCTAGGGATGCCAGATGAAATATAAGATGCCAGTTCAGTTTGAATTTCAGATAAATGGATACATTTTTTTTAGCATAAGGATGTCCTAAATGATTTTTAGTTTTAGTGTAAGTGCGTGCCAGATGATCTGGGGTTTCTTTGGAATTCAGATTGAACTGGGTGTCCTGTATTTTTATTTGCTAAATCCCACAGCCCTACTCTGGTTAGATTTTGGTCCCATACTGACTAAGTTATAACCTCTCTGAGCCTCAGTTTCCTTCTCTCCGAGTGAGATTTGTAGTAATAACTGATTGCTTCATTATGAATATTAAATAACTGAATGTGAAGTGCTTCATACAATGCAGCGCATGGCGTATTTTATGCTCTCCATAAATGTTACCTGTCGTTATCATGAACACTATTTATTTGATAAATAAAAATAACAATATTAAGTATTAATAACGTATTTATCTTTTTCCTATCTCCTCCTGTTCTTTATGCCAAATGTCTTTCTTCCTTTCTCCTCCTGCCTCTTTTTCTCCTGCTTCCTTTCATTTTTCACCGCACACTGGGTCTATACTAACAGCATTCACGTGATTTTGTAAACTGCAGCATCTCCATCTACTTTCCTCTCTGCAGAGGGGCAGGATGGCTAAGTGGCCATGAGCTGGTTCAAAGTCCCAAATCTGTGATCTCAGCCATGCTCTTTAACCTCTCTGTGCCTTCGTTTCCTCAGATGAAATGACAGTGATGTTACCTGTCAGATTAAGTGAACTGATAGAAGAAGAGCACTTAAATAGTATCCAGCACATTATCAATCTTATTGCTAATAACACTATTGTGTTAGTTTGGGCTTCAGAAATGATCCAGTGTGTGCTCATTTCAGTCAGGTCGCTTGAGCCAAGCAGGATCCTGGGTCAACCCAGAGTGAGTAAATGGATGGCAGTCCTTGCTTTGGTTTTCATAGCTCCACTCTGGCCAGGGGGACTCGGTGAAAACCAAAACAGCTTTGGCGAAATGAGCCCATGGGTGATTTTAGTGTTTTTAAACAAATGGGAATATTTTTCTTGTCTCTTGCAGACGGGTTCTAACTGTGTCTTACCATTTGCCTGAGCAGAGCCTCCCAGCAGGTCAATCATGAATGCACAGTGTTTCTTGAGAACTTAGATGATCAATTTCTCTCATGGTCACTGCCACCATGAATTCATTCATTGTCACTGCCTGTGTGGATTCCCCCTGGAACTAGGGCGGGGCAGGCAGAGACACATCTCTTCGTGTCCTGCTCCACATCTCCTCATCAGCAACTCTCTACCCCTGGACCATGAGGCTTCTGGTCAGGCACACACACAGGCTTGGGACCCCAGCCCTGAACCAAGCCAGTTTAGGGAGGCCAGGCTGGATAGCACGGCTGATTGACCAGTGCAGCTGAGGATTTCACAGCAGATGAAGTCCCATATGAAGAAAAGCTTCAGGAAGGCTGTTTCTATTGGACACCCCTTGTACTACCCTGTAAGTGGCTAGTTGTGTCCCTTACTTAAAGCTTCTATGTGTCCCAGGTGCAGTTCCAACAGCTTGATGAGTATTGAAGCCTGGGCAACATAGCAAGACCGCATCACTACCCCAAAAAACTTTTTTAAATCAACCTGGCGTGGTGGCACATGCCTGTAGTCCCAGCTGCTCGAGAGACTGGGATGGGAGGATTGCCTGAACCCGGGAGGCAGAGATTGCAGTGAGTCGTGATCTTGCCTGGTGCCCTCCAGCCTGGGTGACAGACTCTGTCTCCAAAAAAAAAAAAAAAAAAAAAAAAAAAGAGAGAGAGAGAGAGAGAAACCAAAGGCTTGACAAATAGTGACACCGTTTATCCTTATAACAACCTCATGCCACAGGAGCCGTTATCCTCATTTCAAAGATGAAGAAATGCAGTCCAGGCACAGAGAGGTCAAGCTATTGCCCATGCTTACCGAGCTATTTGATTGTCCTTTTGTCATTAAAAATCACTTTAATTCAACTCCACACAGCGTTGCTGAGTACTGCTTTAGGCCATGCAGTGCACTGGGTGTCAGGAGGACAAGGATGCCTCAGACCTCACTCCTGCCCTCTCTGCGGGTGAGAGGCATGAGCTAAAAGGCTGTGTATAAAAGATAGTACCAGTATGGCGATTCCCCAGACTGAAAGAAATATGTAAGTTTCTCTCAGTCTGAATGGAAGTGATGAATGGGAAGGAACATTGTGGTCTTTGAGGCTTGCCACTATTCCTGCATCCAGGGAGAAGTTATTTTATTTGGATATCCTAGAAATGGTATAAAAGTTCTCATACCCTTTATAATGGATCTACCAGCTTTGGGAACCCATTGACATTTAGATACTTTTGTAATGTTCAGCTGAAAGTTTAAAGGTCATACTACATTTGACAGACAAGGACCTGGACCAGAGGCTTTGAGTGACAGTCTTTTGGGGGAGGGCACTATTCTGGGAGGTCACCCCCATGGACCTGCCCCCCTGGAAGGCTGGAGACCCAGAGGTAATGGAAACCGTGCTGCCAAGAAGGCTTTGAAGAAAGGAAGAGGTTAAACATTGAAGCGTTTTAAAAGGATTCCATTTGATTCCTTATCTTAAATTGAATTCACCTATCAAACAGCCAGGACTTGATATTCATTGGCACATGAGACCAAGGCCTCTAAGACAATGCCCACTTAAGACGGAGCTGTGCAAAATCCCCATCGCTCTTTAAATTATTTAGGAAGCTGGGAGAAAAGCAGCTGGGGGGAAAGAAACAGGTTCCCAAGTGAAGTTTGGAGAAGGCCCCTCTGCACAGCTGTCCCCTCTCCCAGGCTGACCAGCAGCGTTTAAATGCAGGGGCCGCCGTGAACTGACTCACTGCTGGATAATTACGTTAGGGACCAATACGGCCTGTTGAAAATCAATTCTGTTGGACCAGTGTGTTTGTTCGGAAAGCCACTCAGCCAATTCAGGAGTATATTAGGCAGCAGGCCCAGTGCGGTGACCTCTCCCGGATTGGGGTTGACACTTGAACGAAGGCGTTTGTCCAGTTAAAGGACAGTACTAGCAGCAGGCTCTTATCTCTCCTAAATTGGATTACTCAGATCTGCTTGTTCTCTTTAAAGATAGCTACTCTTGGGTTTTTTCCCCTCTGTTTCTATCTGTCTGAGATGGTTACCTGGTGATTACTGTTTAACTTGCCATCCTTACGTATTCTTGGACAGTTAACGCCAAATGCCACCAGTGTCACTTCCCTTTCTTATGCGGGGAAGGTCATCGGATGCTGACACCTCCATTTTTCAAGTCACTGGTTGGACCGGTGCATGGGTTTGGATCCCGATGAGCTGGCCCACATCCTCCCTTGAGGAGCTTGTGATACACTTTCCAGGAAGCAGAACTCAGGCTCTGGGATTGCCCAGACTTCCTTGCGCACATGCTGCTTCCCTACAAAGAGATTTCTCCCAAGAGACCGTCTTTGGCTTGCAGACTCTCAAAGCTGCTCACCAGCCAGTGTCCCTTGAGTAGCAATGCCTCTAGCCACCAGGACCATAAACAGCAGCCAACCATCTCATCTTCTGGAACATTCCAGCACTTGACCGAAGGGTCAGGATGCAGGAGAAGTGATGAGTGAAACATAAGCCTATATGAGAAGCCCGAGAAATCCCACATAGGGCCAACTCTCTCAGTTGAGTCTTCGCTACCTGAAGCTGCAACAGCTGCCTTCACCATGCCTGAAGTTGTGTAGGGTGTCCAGGAGACACTCAGGAGTCCAGGGAATCCCAAGTACCACCTCTTGAAAGAATCCAGGAAAGACGTATGGCCGGAATTATGGGTCTTTTAATGACACATAAAATGAACCACTCCACATATCCATTTGCTTTGACAGCTGAAGATTTCACTGTGATA